>NC_000003.12:140978301-141281331 GCF_000001405.40 Homo sapiens
TGTATTATGAGGAACGTACCAAAAACCGGTTTGTAACAAATCTGTAGAGAAGGTCTGAATCTATCGTGTTTGCCTTTTCAGGTGCCATTTCTACTGCCTAATACAGTGCCATTTGCCTTGTGAAGACCCATAAACATTCATTGTGTTGAATGTAAGATAGAGACTCTCCCTAGTCTTACTGATCTCAGTACCCCACAAATGATTAAGAATGATATGAAAACCAGCAGCTAAGGAACATCTTATTATTTAGTTGTAGCATATTCATAACAAGTGTCCTTCAAGGATAAACATATATTCTCTATTTGTATTTAGCAAGTAAAACTTGTGTTGACCTTTAGTGCATTATATTCAGCTTTTAACAGTATTATGTATGTACTGGAAAGCAAAGAAATCTTAGAGTCTTGGACATTGTTTATTTGTGCAACAACTAGAAAGGAGCAATGAAGTTTATTTCAGTTGTATTTTTCCCTAAGCACAATCTGCAATAGTTTATGTATGACAGAGATAATTCAAAAAGGAAAACTATATATAAAAGTTGTATATAAAGTTTGTCTCTGAAATATTTCTTTGAAGTTTTTAAAAAATCGACTCATGTTTAAAAACAAAAACACATATTCAGAGCATTGGACTTTTTTAACTTGTTTTCATCTGTTTATCATGACTTTTTTATTTCTGGTGTAGAGTCCACATTATTTAGTTTGTTGTACTTTTAAATTTCAAAGTTCAAATCTGAAGAATTAGCGTTTGTGATTTCGGGATACCATGCAGTGGTTTTAATCCCAGGAAAAAAACTATCACCAAAAGTTCGTTTGATTCTCATTATGTAACTTTGTAGAACCATCCTTTCTAGATGGGTCCACCACAGTGAATTTGTAACTTTGAAGTCAGGATAGAATATCATTAGATTATCTGTGAGATAGCATTACTATGTTAGGACCAGCAGAGTTTGGGTTGGTAAAAATAATGTTTGCTCTATTACTGGGTTACAGACATTTCAGCATTTTTAGGTTGGTTTTAAATCACTAAAAATATTTATTCGGATTTGAAGGATTTAAGTGCTAAAAATCAATCCATTTCTTGCCCTTCAATAATTGTCCATGCCTGCCTTTTGTTGTTTACATGCTCTTCTGCCCAGACTGTTAGTAATCTAGGGACCCCCTTTGGAGCTGATAAGTACAGTTCAGCCTTTTCTCCTCAAATATATAATGACTTTAACATTCCTAAGAATATAGGTATTTCTGAATGATTTAAATTTGAGGAATTTTAATACATAAAATACAATGTACAAACTTTCTGCCCACTCAGATCTCTTCTCCATCATGTACTTAGTATTTCCCATTAACCTACACACTGATTTTTATGCTACTCCTTGTAGAAACAAAATTCTGGTTTGACTCAGTTTTTGTGTTTATAAACTTTTGGAATGTGTACCCCGTTTATGTGAAGAATTATGACCTATCAGTCATAGCTAAATAGTGAACCTCAAAAGTGTTAACTTTTGACTATTCATGTGAGGTTTGGTATCTTGCATTTATGTACATGGCTGTAAATTATGTGCATTTACTCTGTATTTATGTTATCTAGCTGACTTTTACTTGAATTGTTCAAATTTTAAAAATTAAAATACGCTCATGAAAATATGGCTTTTTCTGTAATATATCAACATTTTATTGAGAACATAATCACACTTTTTTGGATTATCCTATGTGTGGAACAAAAATCCATTGCCATTTTCAGGTTAAGTTTTAGGCTCGCTTGATTCAGTCAGCAAACCTTATCTTGAGCACTTTGTATCTGTTAGATCTAGTGATGTCTGAAGGAACCCAAAGGTCAAGTAATCCAACTCCCTCATAGTGTACAAAGAAATCTTGCATATCTTCCACAGGTTTATTGACTTTTATCCAACACTTTTCATGTTTTAATTTCAGCCTTTGTGAAAGTTGATATTAAAAATACAGAGGTGAGAACTTGTTAGAATAACCAAATGAATCCACATAATGTTAGATCAAAATACAAATGACAAAGATAAAATGCTATGTAGTGCCTACCCTCTTTACATTTTGTCTATTTTATTTAAGTTTTTCTGTATTGTAGTTAACATCAAACATTGTCCAGTCTTGAGGAAACCAGGACGAAATATATTTTGTATTTCAACATTGACATAAATCTGAAATTGTTGGTTCTACTAATAGTACTCTGCACTGAAGGCACTGGCAAAATAATGGTTAAAATTGAGCACAGGTGTTCCAAGTTGTGTGTGTGTGTTTATTACTGAACATTGGGAGCCGTGATAGGGAAGTAATTTGTGAGTTCATGATTTCTTAAGGTTCTAGTGTGACATTTATACACTGATAAAACTCAGGCAAGCAAAATGTAATTAAATGTTCCCCCTGCCCCCCCCCCCTTTTAATATATATACACGGAGCTTCACTCTTGTCACCCATGCTGGAGTGCAATGACATGATCTCAGGTCACTGCAACCTCTGCCTCCCGGGTTCAAGCGATTCTGCCTCAGCCTGACTTCCCTTCTGTTTCTTTATTTTCGCACTGTGTAGACCAGCTGACTGCCTTAATATGTATTGAATCAATTCAAGATTTATGTTCATAGAGTGCTGTGTTTATACAGTGGTGTCATGTGATTTCTTAATAGCCTATAGATCCAATAAATACAGAGGAATATTAGTTACAACTGGAGTTTTTGACTTGAGTGCTCTGAATCTTAGTCCTGTGTTTTTTTATTTACTACACTAGGTTATTCACCAGCACTTGACAATAGATAGATGTTTTAGAAACTTCGTTCTAAAGGAAAGATGGATAGAAGTTGGCTCTGAATGAAACATTAGGAAGTAATCAGGAACAGAGTTGAATACATAAGAACAGTATGAACTGTCTAGAAGCTAACGTATATAGACCTTAGGTTACATCCTGAGGCCAGTGGAGAACCTCTCAAGGTTTTTTTCTCCCAAAGAATGATTAGCAACATCCTAGAAAGCCAGACTTAACAGATACTAGTTTGTCTTATGTAAGTTGCTCTTAATTAATACTGTCTTTGAGCCTCGGGAGTGTCAGAAGGTGATCTGTGTTCTCTGAAAGTAGTAATTCTTTTAGCAAAATCTTGGTTGCATGGAGAAAATGGCATTTTAACTAGGCTTTGAAACAGATAAAAAATTTTACAGGCTGACATGGGGAGGGGCATTCTTTGTTAAAGGTCAAAGTGTTTTAGCCCAAGTTAGGAAAAATAACCCATTTTCTTTTGTTCTTATCTCCTAGGAATTGACTCAAAAGGTGTAAATGTCTTGAGATTTTAAAACCAGGGGTAGACCAGGATTCCAAACCTAATGTAACTCAGGAGCTTATCAAATCCAACCAAACAATTTAGTACTAGACCTCTGATTTTCTGTTTCCCAGTCCCCTCCCTGCTCTTCCAATGCACTGTAGAATTCCTCCTTGAGTCATTGTCAAGGATAAATAGCCCTAACATTCTTCAGCCATTACTTCTGAATCTTACCTTTTAAGGTTCTCCAATATGATCGATCTCCTTAGTATGAGCTTAAGTGTTTTAGTGGCCCAGACTATTTGATCTATACCTTCCTAAATTAGATACTGATTTTTAGGGTTTTTTGTTGTTTTCCTAACTTGGAAAAATTGTGCTGGAGCAACTGGACATCAATATGAATTAAAATGAAGCATTATTTCACTTCGATGATCCAATCATCTCCCACCAGAACCCCCACTTCCAAAATTGGAGATTACATTTCAATATGAGATTTGGGCAGGGACACACATCCGAACTGTCACTGTACATTTAAGATTTGTTCATGTTAAGCATTTTTAACCTAATGCAAAATAAAAGCATAAACTAGATACTTATCTCTTTAAAATACTTTACCCAAAAGACAGCAAAGAGATAAGAAGAGGACTATATGGAAGAAAAGTTAGGTATCATGGAGAATGGGATAAGTATGTCTAATGTACTTCTGATCGGAGTTCCAGAGTAAGCAGAGAGGATGGAGAAGAGACAATATTTTAAAAGGTAATTGGAGGCCAGGCACGGTGGCTCACGCCTGTAATCCCAACACTTTGGGAGGCCGAGGCGGGCGGATCACTTGAGGTCAGGAGTTCGAGACCAGCCTGGCCAACATGGTGAAACCCTGTCTCTACTAAAAATACAAAAACTAGTTGGGTGTGGTGGCGGGCCCCTGTAATCCCAGCTACTGGGGAGGCTGAGGCAGGAGAATCACTTGACCCCAGGAGGCGGAGGTTGCAGTGAGCCGAGATTGCACCACTGCACTCCAGCCAAGGCGGCAAAGGGAGACTACTTCTCAAAAAAAAAAAAAAAATGATTGGAAAACTCCCAGCGTTGATGATAAACATGAATCCATAGCTCCATGAATCACAATGCATTCTAAATAAGATTAAAACATGCCTATAAACATTGTAGTGAAATGGAAGAATATCAAAACAAAGTGAAGATACTGATTTCTGCTACCTAGATGATGGGTTAGGAATGAGGGTGAAATAAATTTCAGAAAAATTAAAACAGTTTGCCACTAGCAGAAGCTCAAGCTCACCAAAGGAAATCCTGTTCTATACAACTGTAGGATGACTATAGTTAACAATAATAGATAGTTTCAAATAGCTAGAAGGAGGAATATTAAATGTTTCCAAAACAAATGATAAATGTTTGAGATGATGGATATGCTAATTACCGTCATCTGATTACTATACATTGCATGTAACAAAACATCACTATGTAGCCCTTGAATATTTTTTTAAATTAAATTTTTAAAGACGTCAGAAAAAAAAGGATGTGCTTTAGGCAGAAGGAATGTGATACCAGAAGAACTAAGATGGAAGAAAAAAAGGCAAACAAAACAGGTGGGCAAGTGCAAAAGGTGATTTACCATATTAAAAAGTAACAAGTAAAATATACACAATAGGCTGGGCACGGTGGCTCACACCTGTAATCCCAGCACTTTGAGATGCCGAGGCGGGAGGATCACCTGAGGTCAGGAGTTCGAGACCAGCCTGGCCAACATGGTGAAACCCTGTTTATACTAAAAATACAAAAATTAGCTAGGCATGGTCGCACACGCCTGTAATCCCAGCTACTTGGGAGGCTGAGGCAGGAGAATCATTTGAACCCAGGAGGTGGAGGTTGCAGTGAGCCAAGAGCGCACCAGTGCACTCCAGCCTGGGCCACAGAGCAAGACTCCGTCTTGGGGGAAAAAAAAAAAATATATATATATATATATATATATGTATATATATATATATACACACACATATATATGTATACACATATATGTATATATATATATATACACACAATATAGTCTATTACAATTTAATCAAAGTAAGGAGGGAGAGAAATGGAGTTAAAGAGTTCTACAAAGCATTGTGTTATCCAGGAAGAAGATGAAGACTAATTTTAATTTTTGTTAAGTATACATATTGTAATAAGTGGGGTAACCATAAAAGAACATAAATAGTGTAACTAGTATACTTGTAGAAGGAGAAAACATGAAAGAATTCTTTTTTAAAAATCAGTTCAAAGGAAGGCCAGAAAGGAAAAGTAGTATGAAATAATACAGTTTTAAATCCAAATCTATCAGTACCATTGACCCTTGAACAACACAGGTTTGAACTGCAAGGGTTTGCTAATACATAGATTGTTTTCAATAAATTTATTGAAACATTTTTTTGGAGATTTGTAACAATTTGGGGGAAAAAAACTCACAAACTATGTAGCCTAGAGGTAACAAAAAAATTAAGAAAAAGTTTCATATGTGTTCCATGACAGATCCATATATACAGACACAGAAGGGGCCTAGAAATCAAAGAATGAGGCAAACAAATCCGTTTGTCAGTATAGGGTGATTGGTTTAGAGAACTTACCAACAGAAGCATGGTCTTGGGCCACTGCAAGACAGGCAGAGCTTTGCTGTTACCCTCAGCCCCAGGGCTTTATACCATAGAAAAAGGGGGTACATGTTCTGTGCAAGACAGTTAGAGACCACCCTCCAGAACAGGCAAGAGAATCCTGTGTGCATCATAGCCTATAATTTGTGCAATAACATTAAGGTTGCTTTGATCTAAAGGCAAGATTTATAGTGAGTACATGCTCTTACATTAAGGATAGTAAATAAAGTGAAATCAGGAGGCATTCATGATACTGGGGCCAATCATAAGTCAACACGATGGATTAGCATCCAAGATGGTGTCACTTGTGTCTCCACAGTATGTGATGAATGCATAAAATAATTGTAGATAGTACTTTATAATTTACTACCATAGAATATATACAAATCTATTTTAAAAAGTCAAAATTTATCAAAATTTATGCTCACAAACCATACATGGTGCCATTCGCAGTCCAGAGCAATGTAAGCAAATGTAAAGAGGCAGTATTATAAGCATATAAAATTAACTAGTGCATACTTTACTACTGTAATAATTTTATAGCCACCTCTTGTTGCTATTGTGGTGAGCCCAAGTATTGCAAGTATCCATTTAAAATGCTGTGTGACATGACACTAATCATCTCAAATGAGCAGTTCCTCTCTCCGGTAAATTGTTCATTGCAGTAAAAAGTGGTATCTCTTGGTTCTCAGGTGTTTTTTGTAGTGTTTAGTGCAATACCATAAACGTTGAGTAACACCATTAGACTCATGCAAAATACAACTATAAGTGCTGGAAGTGCTCCCAAGAAGCAGAGAAACGCATGACATTACAAGAAAAAGTTTAACTGCTTGATGTGTGCTATAGACTGAGGTTCGCAGCTGCATTGGCCTGCCATTCAAGATAAATTAATCTAGCTAAGGACCGTTGTACAAAAAGGAAAAGAAATTTGTGAAGCCATGGCTGTGGCTACACCAGTAGGTGTGAAAACCTGGCACTTTTTTTGTGAAATACTTTTTTATCTCATTGCAAATGCAGCTTTTATGTAAGGCAGGATTGCTATAAAAAAGGCATTACCTATAGACTAATACGATTTGAGAAAAGGTGAAGTCACTATATGGCAACTTAAAACAAAAGGAAAGTGAGGGGTCTAAAGCTAGAGAATGTAATGCCAGCAAAGGATGGTTTGATAATTTTGGAAGAGATTTGGCTTTAAAATTGTCAAGATAACAGAAGAAGCAGCTTCTGCCAACCAAGAGACAGCACACACATTCCCAGAAACCATTAGGAAAATCATTGAGGAGAAAGGATAGCTGCCTACACAGGTTTTTGTTTTGTATTGTTTCCATTTTTGTTTTCTAGAGAGCGAGTCTTGCTCTGTCACTTAGGCTGGAGTGTGATGGTGCAATCACGGCTCACTGTAACCTTGAATTGCTTCTGGGCTCAACCAATTCTCTCACCTCAGCCTTTCAAGTAATTAAGACCATAGGCACGCATGACCAGGCCCTGCTAATTTTTTTTCCTTTTTTTTTTTTTTTTTTGTAGAGACAGGGTCTTGCTATGTAACCCAGGCTTTGAACAGGTTTTAATGCAAACAAAAGTGCCCTATTCTGGGGGGAAAAATGCCACAAAAGACATTAATTAGTAAGGAAGGGAAGTGAGCAACAGGATTTAAGGCTGGAAGGGATAAGCTAACTCTACTGATGTGTGCAAATGTAGTTAGGTTTATGATCAGGACTGTCCTTACCTATAAAATCTGCTAACCCCCAACCCTTAAAGGGAAAAGATAAAAATTAGCTGCCAGTCTTCTAGTTGCACAACAAGAAGGCCTGGACAAGAACCCTTTTTCTGAATTGGTTCCATCAATGCTCTGTCCCTGAATTCAGGAAGTACCTTGTCAATAAGGGACTGCCTTTTCTTCTTTCTTTTTTTTTTTAAATTTTAAGTTCTGGGATACATGTGCAGAACGTGCAGGTTTGTTGCATAGGTATACATGTGCCATGGTGGTTTGCTGCACCTATCAACCCATCATCTAGGTTTTAAGCTCCACATGCATTAGGTATTTGTCCTAATGTTCTCCCTCCCCTTGACCCCCACTCCCTGGGGACTGCCTTTTAAAGCTCTTATGATACTGGATAATGCCTCTGGCCACCCATGAGTTCAACCCCATGAATTCAATACCAAGGTCATCAAAGTGGTCTACTTGCCCCAAACCCAATGTCTCTACATCAGCCACTGACCACCAGATCATCAGAGATCTGGGGGTCATAAGGTTTAAGGTTAATTAAACACAGTATTCTGTGGAAGGGATTGTCAATGCTGTGCAAGAAAACCCTGACAGAGAGAACATCATAAAAGCCTGGAAGAATTACACTATTGAAAATGCCATTGCTGTTGACATATTCTTAGATTGTTTCAGGTATTTGGGCCCTATGACATATTTTTTATAGACATCAGATTTTCAAGACAATCTAGTTAAGACAATTCATTTAGATTGTCTTATTACTTGAAACAGGAAATTCCTGCTGGAGAAAACTGTGTCCAGATCTTGTGCATGAATTCAGAGGATTCATGACAGAGCCAATCACAGATATCATGAAAGAGACTGTGGCTGTGGGCAAAACAGATAGGGAGTTAAGAGTTTTAAGATACAGATCTTGGAGAAATTCAAGAGCGAATAGACACCATGCCAGAGGAATTAAGAGAAGTTGACTTGACAGAGATAAGTGCTTCCAAACCAGTGCCAGATGATAAGGATGAAGATGTAGAGGAGGCAGTGACAGAAAACAACTTGACATTAAGCAATCTGGCAGAAGGATTCTGATTATTCAAGACTACTTTTGACTTCTTTTACAACATGGAGCATTCTATGATACCAGAAATGAAGCCAAAGCAAAGGTGAAAGGAGAATTGGTACCTGATATAGTTAGGATATTTGTGTCCTCCAAATCACAATTTGATCGCTAGTGTTGAAGGTGAGGCCTAGTGAGAGGTGTTTGGGAAGTAGGGGCCCATCCCTCGTGAATGGCTTTGTGCCCTCCCCACAGCAACGATTGAGTTCTCATTTCATTACATCGTGACAGCTGGTTGTTTAAAAGAGTGTGGCATCCCTCACCTTGCTTTCTCTTGCTCTCTCTCTCACCATGTGACACACTGGCCCCCCTTCCCCTTCGACCACAACTGGAAGCTTCCTGAGGCCTTCACCAGAAGCAGGTGCTGGTTCCATGCTTCCTGTACGGTCTGCAGGACCATAGCCATATAAACCTCGTTTTCTTTGTACATTACACAGCTCAGGTATTCCTTTACAGGAGTGCAAAATGGACTAAGTGTCATATGGTAACATTTTTAGAGAAATGAAAAAGCAAAAATGGAGGGGCCGTTCCAAGATGGCTGAATAGGAACAGCTCCAGTCTACAGCTCCCAGCGTGAGCGACGCAGAAGATGGGTGATTTCTGCATTTCCAACAGAGGTACCAGGTTCATCTCACTGGGGCTTGTTGGACAGTGGGTGCAGGACAGTGGGTGCAGCCCACCAAGCGTGAGCCAAAGCAGGGTGAGCATTGCCTCACCCAGGAAGCGCAAGGGGTCAGGGAATTCCCTTTCCTAGCCAAGGGAAACCATGAAGGACGGCACCTGGAAAATCAGGTCACTCCCACCCTAATACTGCACTTTTCCAATGGTCTTAGCAAATGGCACACCAGGAGATTATATCCCACGCATGGCTCACAGGGTCCCACGCCCACAGAGCCTCGCTCATTGTAGCACAGCAGTCTGAGATTGATCTGCAAGGCAGCAGCGAGGCTGGGGGAGGGGTGCCTGACATTGCTGAGGCTGAGTAGATAAACAAAGTGTCCAGGAAGCTTGAAATGGATGGGGCCCACTGCAGCTCAAGGAGGTCTGCTTGCCTCTGTAGACTCCACCTCTGGGGGGAGGGCATAGCCAAACAAAAGGTAGCAGAAACCTCTGCAGACTTAAATGTCCCTGTCTGACAGCTTTGAAGTGAGTAGTGGTTCTCCCAGCATGGAGTTTGAGATCTGAGAACGGACAGACTGCCCCCTTAAGTGGGTCCCTGACCCCCGAGTAGTCTAACTGGGAGGCAACCCCAGTAGGGGCAGACTGAAACCTCACACGGCCGGGTATCCCTCTGAGATGAAGCTTCCAGAGGAACGATCAGGCAGCAACATTTGCTGTTCAGCAATATTCGCTGTTCTGCAGCCTCCACTGCTGATACCCAGGCAAACGGTCTGGAGTGGACCTCCAGCAAACCCCAATAGACCTGCAGCTGAGGGTCCTGACTGTTAGAAGGAAAACTAACAAACAGAAAGGACATCCACACCAAAACCCCATCTGTACGTCACCATCATCAAAGACCAAAGGTAGATAAAACCACAAAGATGGGGAAAAAACAGAGCAAAAAAGCTGAAAATTCTAAAAATCAGAGCGCCTCTCCCCCTCCAAAGGAATGGAGCTCCTTGCCAGCAATGGAACAAAGCTGGATAGAGAATGACTTTGACGAGTTGAGAGAAGAAGGCTTCAGACAATCAAACTTCTCCGAGCTAAAGGAGGAAGGTCGAACCCATCACAAAGAAGCTAAAAACCTTGAAAAAAGATAAGACGAATGGCTAGCTAGAATAACCAGTGTAGAGAAGTCCTTAAATGACCTGATGGAGCTGAAAAACATTGCATGAGAACTACGTGACGAATGCACAAGCTTCAGTAGCCGATTCCATCAATTGGAAGAAAAGCTATCAGTGATTGAAGATCAAATGAATGAAATGAAGCCAGAAGAGAAGTTTAGAGAAAAAAGAGTAAAAAGAAACAAACAAAGCCTCCAAGAAATATGGGACTATGTGAAAAGACCAAATCTACGTCTGATTGGTGTACCTGAAAGTGACGGGGGGAATTGAACCAAGTTGGAAAACACTCTACGGGATATTATCCAGGAGAACTTCCCCAACCTAGCAAGGCAGGCCAACATTCAAATTCAGGAAATACAAAGAGCACCACAAAGATACTCCTCGAGAAGAGCAACTCCAAGACACGTAATTGTTAGATTCACTGAAGTTGAAATGAAGGAAAAAATGTTAAAGGCAGCCAGAGAGAAAGGTTGGGTTACCCACAAAGGGAAGCCCATCAGACTAACAGCTGAGCTCTCAGCAGAAACTCTACATGCCAGAAGAGAGTGGGGGCCAATATTCAACATTCTTAAAGAAAAGAATTTTCAACCCAGAATTTCATATCCAGCCAAACTAAGCTTCATAAGTGAAGGAGAAATAAAATCCTTTACAGACAAGCAAATGCTGAGAGATTTTGTCACCATCAGGCCTGCCCTAAAAGAGCTCCTGAAGGAAGCACTAAACATGGAAAGGAAGAACTGGTACCAGCCACTGCAAAAACATGCCAAATTGTAAAGACCATCGAGGCTAGGAAGAAACTGCATCAACTAACAAGCAAAATAACAAGCTAACATCATAATGACAGGATCAGATTCGCACATAACAATATTAACCTTAAATGTAAATGGGCTAAATGCTCCAATTAAAAGACACACACTGGCAAATTGGATAAAGAGTCAAGACCCATCAGTGTGCTGTATTCAGGAGACCCATCTCACCTGCAGAGACACACATAGGCTCAAAATAAAGGGATGGAGGAAGATCTACCAAGCAAATGGAAAACAAAAAAAGGCAGAGATTGCAATCCTAGTCTCTGATAAAACAGACTTTAAACCAGCAAAGATCAAAAGAGACAAAGAAGGCCATTACATAATGGTAAAGGGATCAATTCAACAAGAAATCCTAAACATATATGCACCCAATACAGGAGCACCCAGATTCATAAAGCAAGTTCTTAGAAACCTACAAAGAGACTTAGACTCCCTCACAATAATAATGGGAGACTTTAACACCCCACTGTCAACATTAGACAGATTAATGAGAGAAAGTTAACAAGGATATCCAGGAATTGAACTCAGCTCTGGACCAAGCGGACCTAATAGACATCTACAGAACTCTCCACCCCAAATCAACAGAATATACATTCTTCTCAGCACCACATCACACTTATTCCAAAATTGACCACATAGTTGGAAGTAAAGCACTCCTCAGCAAATGTGAAAGAACAGAAATTATAACAAACTGTCTCTCAGACCACAGTGCAATCAAACTAGGACTCAGGATTAAGAAACTCACTCAAAACCGCTCAACTACATGGAAACTGAACAACCTGCTCCTGAATGACTACTGGGTACATAATGAAATGAAGGCAGAAATAAAGATGTTCTTTGAAACCAACGAGAACAAAGACACAACATACCAGAATCTCTGGGACACATTTAAAGCAGTGTGTAGAGGGAAATTTATAGCACTAAATGCCCACAAGAGAAAGCAGGAAAGATCTAAAATTGACACCCTAACATCACAATTAAAAGAACTAGAGAAGCAAGAGCAAACACATTCAAAGGTAGCAGAACTGAAGGAGATAGGGACACAAAAAAACCTTCAAAAAAATCAATGAATCCAGGAGCTGGTTTTTTGAAAAGATCAACAAAATTGATAGACCACTAGCAAGACTAATAAAGAAGAAAAGAGAGAAGAATCAAATAGATGCAATAAAAAATGATAAAGGGTATATCACCACCGATCCCACAGAAATACAAACTACCATCAGAGAATACTATAAACACCTCTACTCAAATAAACTAGAAAATCTAGAAGAAATGGATAAATTCCTCGACACATACACCCTCCCAAGACTAAACCAGGAAGAAGTTGAATCTGTGAATAGACCAATAACAGGCTCTGAAATTGAGGCAATAATTAAGAGCCTACTGACCAAAAAAAGTCCAGGACCAGATGGATTCACAGCCGAATTCTACCAGAGGTACAAGGAGGAGCTGGCACCATTCCTTCTGAAACTATTCCAATCAATAGAAAAAGAGTGAATCCTCCCTAACTCATTTTATGAGGCCAGCATCATCCTGATACCAATGCCTGGCAGAGACACAAGAAAAAAAGAGAATTTTAGACCAATGTCCCTGATGAACACTGATGTAAAAATCCTCAATAAAATACTGGCAAACCAAATCCAGCAGCACTTCAAAAAGCTTATCCACTATGATCAAGTGGGCTTCATCCCTGGGATGCAAGGCTGGTTCAACATATGCAAATCAATAAACGTAACCCAGCATATAAACAGAACCAACGACAAAAACCACATGATTATCTCAACAGATGCAGAAAAGGCCTTTGACAAAATTGAACAACCCTTCATGCTAAAAACTCTCAATAAATTAGGTATTGATGGAACATATCTCAAAATAATAAGAGCTATTTATGACAAACCCACAGCCAATATCATACTGAATGGGCAAAAACTGGAACCATTCCCTTTGAAAACTGGCACAAGACAGGGATGCCCTCTCTCACCACTCCTATTCAACATATTGTTGGAAGTTCTGGCCAGGGCAATCAGGCAAGAGAAAGAAATAAAGGGTATTCAATTAGGAAAAGAGGAAATCAAATTGTCTGTGTTTGCAGAAGACATGATTGTATATGTGGAAAACCCCATCGTCTCAGCCCAAAATCTCCTTAAGCTGATAAGAAACTTCAGCAAAGTCTCAGGACACAAAATCAACGTGCAAAAATCAGAAGCATTCCTATACACCAACAACAGACAAACAGAGAGCCAAATCGAGTGAACTCCCATTCACAATTACTACAAAGAGAATAAAATACCTAGGAATCCAACTTACAAGGGGTGTAAAGGACCTCTTCAAGGAGAACTACAAACCACTGCTCAATGAAATAAAAGAGGACACAAACAAATGGAAGAACATTCCATACTCATGGATAGGAAGAGTCAATATTGTGAAAACGGTCATTCTGCCCAAGGTAATTTATAGATTCAATGCCATCCCCATCAAGCTACCAATGACTTTCTTCACATAATTGGAAAAAACTACTTTAAAGTTCATATGGAACCAAAAAAGAACCCATATAGCCAAGACAATCCTAAGCAAAAAGAACAAAGCTGAAGGCATCAGGCTACCTGACTTTAAATTATACTACAAGGCTACAGTAACCAAAACAGCATGGTACTGGTACAAAAACAGAGATATAGACCAATGGAACAGAACAGAGCCCTCAGAAATAATACCACACACCTACAACCATCTGATCTTTGACAAACCTGACAAAAACAAGAAATGGGGAAAGGATTCCCTATTTATTCAATGGTGCTGGGAAAACTGGCTAGCCATATGTAGAAAGCTGAAACTGGATCCCTTCCTCACACCTTATACAAAAATTAATTCAAGATGGATTAAAGACCTAAATGTTAGACCTAAAACCATAAAAACCCTAGAAGAAAACCTAGGCAATACCATTCAGGACATAGGCATGGGCAAGGACTTCATGTCTAAAACACCAAAAGCAATGGCAACAAAAGCCAGAATTAACAAATGGGATCTAATTAAACTAAAGAGCTTCTGCACAGCAAAAGAAACCACCATCAGAGTGAACAGGCAACCTACAGAATGGGAGAAAAATTTTGCAATCTACTCATCTTACAAAGGGCTAATATCCAGAATCTACAAAGAACTTAAACAAATTTACAAGAAAAAAATCAAACAACCCCATCAGAAAGTGGGCAAAGGATATGAACAGACACTTCTCAAAAGAAGACATGTTTGCAGTCAAAAGATACATGAAAAAATGCTCATCATCACTGGCCATCGGAGAAAGGCAAATCAAAACCACAATGAGATACCATCTCACACCAGTTAGAATGGCGATCATTAAAAAGTCAGGAAATAACAGGTACTGGAGAGGATGTGGAGAAATAGGAACTCTTTTACACTGTTGGTGGGACCGTAAACTAGTTCAACCATTGTGGAAGACAGTGTGGCGATTCCTCAAGGATCTAGAACTAGAAATACCATTTGACCCAGCCATCCCGTTACTAGGTATATACCCAAAGGATTATAAATCACGCTGCTATAAAGACACAGGCACACGTATGTTTATTGTGGCACTATTCACAATAGCAAAGACTTGGAACCAACCCAAATGTCCATCAATGATAGACCGGATTAAGAAAATGTGGCACATATACACCATGGAAGGCTATGCAGCCATAAAAAATGATGAGTTCATGTCCTTTGTAGGGACATGGATGAAGCTGGAAACCATCATTCTCAGCAAACTATTGCAAGGACAAAAAGACAAACACCGCATGTTCTCACTCATAGATGGGAATTGAACAATGGGAACACTTGGACACAGGAAGGGGAACATCCCACACCAGGGCCTGTCATGGGGTAGGGGGAGTCAGGAGGAGGGATAGCATCAGGAGATATACCTCATGTAAATGGTGAGCTAATGGGTGCAGCATACCAACATGGCGCATGTATACATATGTAACAAACCTGCACGTTGTGCACATGTACCCTAGAACTTAAAGTATAATAAAAGAAAGAAAAAGAAAACATGACAGACAGAAATTATGATGTACTTCTATAGAGTGTATACGGAGTGTGCCAGGCTCTCCTGCCTCCCCTTCCATTCCCTCTACCTCTTGTGCCTCTGACACCTGAGACAGCAAGACCAGCCCCTTCTTCCTCCTCCTCCTCCTCATACTAAACATCACAATGACGAGGATAAAGACCTTTATGTTGATCTGCTTTCACTTAATAGTAAATTTATTTTCTCTTCCTTATGATTTTTTCTCTTAATTTATTGTAAAAATACAATATATAATATTTAACATATGAAATGTGTGTTGATCAACCGTTTATGTTATTGGTAGGTCTTCTAGTTGACAGTAGACTATAAGTACTTTAGTTTGGGGAGTCAAAAGTTACACATGGATGTTTAACTCTGGGGGGGCTCGGTGCCCCTAACCTCAACATTATTCGAGGGCCAAACTATAGTTACATGAAGTGGGAATGGACCAAATGTTCTGATTTAAAGATTATCAGACAGGATTTTGAAACTACAACAACCAACAAACTATTTGTAAGAGACATGGCTAAAACCTAAAGGTATGCTAAAGTTGAAAATAAAGGAATGAAGGGGATAAGGCATGAAAACATTACCCAAAGGAAAACAGTCATATTACTCTCAAACAAAACTCACTTTAAGGCAAGAAAGCATTACTAAAATTCAAGGTTACCTCATGATAAATAAAAGGTTTGTTTCACCAAAGATATAATGATTAAAAAGTTTCATATATTTAAAAAATTTCCACAGTACATAGAGTCAAAGGTGAGATTGAAAAGAACCATAAGAATTGAAAGAACCACAAGAAGAACCTCAACCACAAGAATTGAAAGAACCTCAAAAAATTCCAAAGTATTATAATCATATAGAGGTTGTTTTCTGACCACAATACGACTAAGCTGGAAATCAACAAGGAGATAATTGAAGAACCAAATATGTTTGGAAATCAAAGAAGCACATATGTTTGGAAATTAAGACATTATTCTAGGTGACCCATAGGTCAGATAAATCAAGTGAAACAAATATTTTTGAACTGAATGATAGTAAAAATTCTAAATGTCAAAACTGGTGAGATGCAGCTTGTATTAGGGTTCTCCGAAGAAATAGGACCAATAGTATATATTAGGAAACTGGTTCACGTGATTATGGAGACTGATTCACATGATTATGGAGACCCAAGAGAGCCAGTGCTGGAGTTCCAGTCCAAAGGCTGGCATGCATGAGGCCCAGCAAGAGCTCATGTTTCCATCTGAGTCTGAAGGCAGGGAAAAACCAATGTTCCAACTTGATGGCAGTCAGGCAGGTGGAGTGTTCTTACTTTGCCTTTTATTCAGGCCTTCGACTGATTGGATGTGGCCCACCCACATTAGGAAGGGCAGTTTGCTTTACTCAGTCTACTGATCTAAATGTTAATCTCAGCCAGGCGTGGTGGCTCATGTCTGTAATTCCAGCATTTTGGGAGGCCAAGGTGGGCAGATCACTTGAGGTCAGGAGTTTGAGACAAGCCTGGCCAACATGGTGAAACCCCATCTCTACTAAAAATACAAAAAAATTAGCTGGATGTGGTGGTGCACACCTGTAGTCTCACTATTTGGGAGGCTGAAGCAGGAGAATCACTTGAACCCAGAAGGTGGAGGTTGCAGTGAGCCGAGATTGTGCCACTGCACTCCAGCCTGGGTGACAAAGTGAGACTCCAACTGAAAAATAAATAAATGTTAATCTCATCCAAATCACCCTCACGAACACACCCAGAATAATGTTTGGCCAAATATCTGGGCACACCCTGTGGCCCAGTCAAGGTTAACCATGAGGCAGCTTAAGTAGTCTTTAGAAAAACAATTTAAAATTTAAGTCTGTGTATTAGAAAAGGAAAAAGGCTGAAAATTAATGAGATAAGTATTTAATTAAGGCAGGCTAGAGCGCAGTAGTATAGAGACATAAATGCATAGTGGTTCAACCTGGTAGACATTTATTTGTTCCTCATTTAGTAGTCTTGGACAGAGGAATGAGTGTTCTTCTCCAGCAGCCTTTCAGGGACTCAGCTGCCTGAGGCTCTGCTATTCTCCACATGTGCCTTCTAAGGTTGCACTGGGGCTGTGGTTCTCAAACTTTAGCATGTATCCAAAACACCTGGAGGGACGTTTAAACACTGATTGCTGGGTGCTACCCCCAGAGTTTGATTTAGGAGGTCCAAGGTTATGGCCCATGAATTTGCATTTCTAATAGGTTCATGGGTGCTGCTGCTGCTATTGGTTCAAGGACCACGCTTTAGTATCTATCTCTAAGTCAGCTGAAAAGAGAATGATTATAGGGGAATACATAACTTCTGCTCACGTTTTACTGGCTAGAAGCCAGTCAGATGGCCACATCTACTTGCAAGGGAGGCTGGCAACTACCCAGTAGCTGTTGGCTCATGAAGAAAAGGAAACAATTATTACTGCTGTGTCTTCCAAATGGTGACTTTCTATTTCCATATTCCTTCTACATTTATTCATTGGAATTCTATTATAAGGAAGAATGGTGTCTTCACCCAATTTATTTATTTATCCAATTATTTATTACTTTCTTTATAGAGATGTGGTCTCACTATATTGCCCAGGTTGGTCTTGGCCTCAAGAGATCCTCCTGCGATCATCCCACCCTGGGCTCCCAAAGTGCTAGGATTACAGGCGTGAGCCATCACACCCAGCCCAATTATCTAATTATTTAACCACTATGGTGGTTGTTCGATTTATTCTATGTGTAATAATCTACTGATTATTACATGTTCTTTTGCTCAAATTGTTCCAGAGTTACCCACTAGGATCTCCTTCAAGTTTTCTTCTGTCTCATTTTAACATACCTTCTTCACTATTTTTGTGCATTTTCTTACCTTCTGGCACCACAAGATGTTTCACATTCATCTTGTACTTGCCCTATTCCAGCCATGGGAATCAGACATTTCTCCAAGCATCACTAGTTGCTTTCATTGGAGGATGCTGTTTAGAAACAATATCTAAGCACTGGGTGTAATCATTGTTCATGGGGTATCATGGCTTCTAGGCCATCTCAGCAATAGAACCAGTATATACACATACATGTATATATCTGTATCTATAGCTGTATATCTATTTGTATATAACTGTATATCTAGTACCATGAGTTCATACTAATACATTCTATTCCAAACCAGCACCACAGTGTTCATTCTAACAGTCTCCTTTCCTTTATTTGTAACTTCTTTCTCTGACAGTGAGAAACCTGGTTCTCATTGTTCATGGTGAGTCCTAGAATACACATAAGGCCATTTAAAAATTGTAAATTTCACTCCTCTGAAAAACAAATTTACAAAGTAGAGTACAATATTGTACACTTTATAGTCAAAACACTGTTTTCCAAAGTTACTTAGAATTGTTCTTTCTTCTCTGCCCTCTTCAGTTTGGTTACATTGAGCACCCATTTTATTTATTTATTTATTTTCTTCGATATTTATTTATTTATTTATTTATTTATTTATTGAGACGGAATCTCACTCTGTCGCCCAGGCTGGAGTGCAGTGGCACAATCTCCGCTCACTGCAAGCTCCACCTCCCGGGTTCACGCCATTCTCCTGCCTCAGCCTCCCAAGTAGCTGGGACTACAGGCGCCGGTCACCATGCCTGGCTAATTTTTTTGTATTTTTAGTAGAGACGGGGTTTCACTGTGTGAGCCAGGATGGTCTTGATCTCCTGACCTTGTGATCCGCCCTCCTTGGCCTCCCAAAGTGCTGGGATTACAGGTGTGAGCCACCGCGCCCAGCCTAACTTTTATTTTAAGTTCAGGGATACATGTGCAGGGTGTGCAGGTTTGTTGCATAGGTAAACATGTGCCATGGTGGTTTGCTGCACAAATCAACCCATCACCTAAGTATTAAGCTATTAAGCCCAGCATTCATTAGCTATTCTTCCTGATGCTCTGTCTCCCTGCCCCTCCAACAGGCCCCAGTGTGTGTTGTTCCCCGCCATGTGTCCATGTGTTCTCATCATTCAGCTCCCACTTATAAGTGAGAACATGCAGATGCACCCATTTTAAATACAGATACACAGAGAGATTAGAAGTAAATAAAAGGATGAAAAGAGATATACCATGCAAACACTAAGCACAAGAAGCTAAGTGGCTATATTAACATCACATAAAGCAGACATACTCCAAGCAAAAGCTTACAACTGAAAGTAAAAATAGACAAATCCATAACTATTGTTGGAAACATCAACACTCCTGTCTTAATAAGTGGTAGAACAAATAGACAAAAAGTCAGTAAAGATATACAAGATTTGAACAATACTATCAACCAACTTGATCTAATTGGCATTTATAGAATACTCCATCCAATAAAGCAAAAAATTTTCTTTTCAATGCATACGGTTCATTCACCAACATAGACTATATACTGGGTCATAAAAGAAGTCTCAATAAATGTAAAAGGATTTAAATAATACAGAGTATTATTTAAAGTAGAATAAAATCAGAAATTAATTACAGAAAAATACCTGAAATATCCCTCCTAATATTCTGAAGTTAAACAGCATACTTCTAAATAATCCATGGGTCAAAGAAGAAATCATAAGATTCTTTAGAAAATACTTTGAGCTGAATGATCACGAAAACACCATATCAAAATTTGTGGGATGCATTTAAAGATGTGCTTTAAAGGGAAATAAATGGCTTTAATGGTAAAAATAGAAAAGTATAAAATAAAAGATCTAAGCTCCCACCTTAAAAAACTAGAAAAAGAAGAGCTAATTTATCCCTAAATAGAAAAAAGGAAATAATAAAGATAATAATAAAGAAATCAATAAAATAAAAAGTGTAAAACATTCATGAACTAAAAGCTGGTTTTTTGAAAGATTAATAAAGTTGATACAACCCTGGCTAGACTGATAAAAAGAATAAGACAGGCTGGGCGTGGTGGCTCAAGACTGTAATGCCAACACTTTGGGGGCCAAGGCAGGAGGATCACTTGAGCCCAGGAGTTCGAGACCATCCTGAGCAATATAGTGAGACCTCATCTCCATCAAAAAATTTAAAAGCTAGCTGGGCATGGTGGCATGTGCCTGTAGTCCCAGCTACTTGGGAAGCTGAGGTAGAGGGATCACTTGAGTCCAAGAAAGTTGAGGCTGCAGTGAATGCACCACTGTACTCCAGCCTGGGTGACAGAGTGAGACCCTGCCTCAAAAAAAAAAAAAAAAGACTAAGACACAAGTTAGCAATATCATAAATAAAACAGAGACAAATACTACCAATGCTACAAATACTGAAATAATAAGATAATAAGCAAATGTGAAGATCTTTATGCCAATAAATGCAACAACTTAGAGGAAAAGAATAGATTTCTTGAAATGGTGATCTATGTGATGCCATTCCTTGTCCACTATAGTCCAGATCCACCTCTCCAGTGTATTGCGGAAGATTTGAACAACACTATCAACGGGAATTCCAGTGGGATGCTCTTGCTGAAGGAAACTTAAGAGGAAAATTGCAGCTGATCTTGAAGCTACAAGTATACTCATTGCTTCCCTCTTCCCCAGTTTATTCTAGATTTCCCCCACTCTCAGGTCACGCTTATGCTGGTCTTAGTGGTTCAAATGATGACACAATGCAGACACTCATCTCTGCAGTGTCTCAATGTCTGGTCACCATACCTTTCTCAGGACAGATCTGCTGCACTTGCCCAGCTACCATCAAAACTGGGAAAGCGAATACCAGGAGGGATCCAAGTGGATCTTCTGGTTCCCCTTTATTCCTCCCTACCCTCATTGTGCAGCAGAAAACCATAAGTTTCTCCTAATGATGAGGGCCAATTCTCCTTGATAAAATGAAGACCCCTCTTCTTGCCTGCTGGCCATGAAGAACTTGACATGCCTAGGTGGCAGATGCAGCTTATGGTTCAAGTGGGTTCTTGGCATAAGTGTTCCTCTCTTTGGGGACCCAGACCTCTAAGTTTGCAGAGCCCAGAGTTGCAAGAAGATGAAACTCACCAGCTAGAGGTGATAGGTGGAATCACCCCTTTGGATGCATGCATTCCTCTTTTTGGGGATGCAGATCCACCTAATAGTTTTCAGTTTGTATACAACATCCTGGAGGATAGTGTCCCATCTTGATTCAGTGTCACCTGTGAACTGGAACTTCAGCTGTGCCTTCAGCAGGCCATTGCAAGCCTATGAGGTCAGAAGCTTTTGGGTGGTAAGTGTGATATAACCAGTAGATCTTGTGATCACAGGCCTGCTCCTATACCTCCTTCCCTGGAAAGTGGGCCCCCTGGTCTGATGTGATGTGCAAATGGGTCATATTTTCTGTAAGTTCTCAGATGGAGGTGCTGTCAGGAAAGGCAAACCCATATGTAAAATATGTGTCCATTTCTGTCCAAACACATTTCTGGCCCTTCCTTAATGCAAAAGGACAGATATAGTCAACTTCCCACTTCCTGGCTGCCTGGTCCCCTCAAGGAATGGTGTCATGTCTGGGGCTTAGCATTGGTCTCTGTTGCTGGAAGGTTGGCCACTTGGTGGCAGCAATAGCTCGATCAGCCTCTACGGGTGGAAGCCCATGCTGCTGGGCCCAGGCAGAGCCTTCATCTCTGCCACTGTGGTGACTTTGTTATTGTGCCACTTGTCAGCACTAGAGTAGGCATTTAAGATTTTCAGAAGCATCAACTCAGATGACTCTGTCACATGTGCCCCATTCTTTCCCAATCAGAGCTCTGGCCTGGGCATAGCAGACCTACTTTGGTTGGGAATTCAATCTTTGGAGCTGGTCTGCTCTGATGATTAGATCCTAGGCTTGGTCCTTAGTCTCCTTGCCCTCCCACTGCAGAGATGAGCCCTTCTTTGTGTGCTGCTAAAGAAGCCCCCCTGGCTTTCACACTTGGCTTTCAATGACCTGCTAATCACTCAGCCATTTGTTAATTTTTTTCTAGAGCTGTGATAGAGCTTATATCTCTATATACTAGTTTCCCCTGATTTTTCAAATGCTTGATATGTTCTACCACTTAGTGCATTTGCCTTTGCAGTTTCAGCTATAAAATAGAAACCTTGCGCTAGATGTCTATCTCTACTTGGACCATATCTCACTCCCTTTACCTTTTTACTCCCTCTTGCCTGGAATGCTGTCATCATGCTTGAGGCCAAGCAACCTGTGACAAGGTAGTCACAAGCACACAGGACATGACTAAGCAGCAAGACAAAGAAATCATCCCAGATAGCAATGTGGAGCAACGGTACCACTCTAGACAACCAACCTTTGATCTTACCATTATACAACAAAAATGAAACCAGCTGAAGCCACTAGATTTTTTATTTCTGTTTCAAAAAAATGTAACTCATCTTAACTGTGTTGATTATCAAAATATTATACTAAGCATTTTTTAAATTTAGATGAAATTAACAAGTTCATGAGAATCACTTGCCAAATTAATTAGTACTGGCTTATGAAGAGAAATTTAATCTGTGGTTTAAAATTTTCTCATAGCACACCCAGAAATCCTAGATTTTAACCATCAAGTTTCATCAACCACTTATGGAACAGATCATTGCAAATGTACGTATATTTTTCCAGAAAACAGAAAATAATGGTACACTCTTTAATCATTTTTTGATTATTATATCTTGATTGCAAAAGCAGGAACAAGAAGGCAGTATGAAAAATTGCAGGCCAATCTCATTCATGAACTTGATAGGCTCAAAGCAAAAGGAATTTATTGATGGCATTTTTAAAAATATAATAAATTTATAATTAAATTGGGTTAATCCCAGTAATACAAGGTTAGTTAACATTTAAAAAATTATCAGTGTAAATTTTTCACATCAGCAGATTAGTGAAGAAAAACCACATGATTCTCACAGGTGTGGAAAAAGCATTTAGTGAAATGTTATATTCATTCGAGATAAAACTCTTTGCAAACTAGAAATGGAAGGGGAATTATTTAACCAGATAGAAAATATCTTCAATAAACCTATAGAAAACATCATACTTAAAGTGACATATTATAGTAGTTTCTTCAAAATCAAGAACAAATCAAGAACGTCTGCTTTTATCACTTTTATTCAATATCATAATTAGGGTCCTAGCCAGAAACAATTAAGAAGGAAGAAATGAAGCTGTTATGATCATCAATATGGAAAACAGAAAATAATCCATAGGTAAATTATTAGAATTAATATATGTTTAACAACATTGCAGGATATATAGAAAACACTGTATTTTATAGTAGGCAAGAAACAAAATATAAATTTTAAATAATGCCTTTTTTATAAAAGCAACCATGAAAAATCATATAGCTGAACATAAAGCTCAGAAAATATAGGAAGAAAATGTGGAAAAAATTATAACTCTTTTGGAAAACTTTTGAAGAAGTCCCAAATAAATGGATAGGAATTGTTATGGTTAGAAAACCTTGGTATTATAATGATGCCAATTGTGTCTAATAGACCTATTGGTTCTACAAAATTGAAGCTCAATAGCTTTTTTCTTAGAATTTGTTAAAATAATTCCAAAATGTACATGGTAGAACAAAGAACCAGCATAGCCTAGATGCTTCCAAAGAAGAAGAATAGGATACAGTAACATTATTATTATAAAGTTAGAGTAACTAAGACAGTATGGTTTGGGTACAGGGATATAAACTAGAATAATGAAACAGAAGACAGAGCCTAGAAACAGAGACACACCTATGAAGAAACGTGACCATGTCAGAGACAACATTGCAAATCAGTGAGAGATGGATCGACCATCCAACAAAATGGTGCTGTTTCAAAGTTATCCATATGAAAAAATATAGAATTAAATATTCATATCCAATTGGTGGATACCTCATGCTATACTAAAAGAAGCCATTTCGGATGAATTAGACTTAAATGTGAGAAGCTAAACTTTTACAACTGTAAGAAGAAGAAAATATAGGAGAAAGTCTACAAATGAGTGAGAGAAAGGGTTTTCTTAAGCAAGATATTCAAAGTGCTTTAAAAAGATATTAAAAATGATTGATAAGTGAGCCTATGTTAAACTTCAAAACTTTTTTTTCTCAAAGTACTCCAAAAAGAATGAAAAGATAATTCAAAAACTGGAAAAATATATTTTCCACACAGATGACTGATGAGGGATAGAAATAGAATATATAAAGAATATCTATGAATCAATCAGTTAAAGACACTCCAGTAAAAACCTGGCCAAAAGTCATAAGTATTTCACAGGAGAATAAAACCTGATATGTAATAAACATGTTAAAAATGGTCATGTTAATAGTATGATAATTAGGAAACTGCAAATTAAAATCATAATGAGATGTCATGTTGCAACTATCAAAAAGGCAAAATGTAATAAATCAGACAATATCAAATGGATATGAACAAAGAAATGTTTATGTACTCTACTTGGGAGTGTTAAGTGGTATCAGCATTTTGGGAAAAAATTTGTACTATATTCTAAAGTTGAAAATACTTATAACATATAAACTGGCACTTTCACTCCTAGGCCTATAATTCCCCAGATAAATCCTGACTCCTGTGTTCTAGGAGTCACACAGCATGTTCATAGCAGCCTGGTGGCAATAGCAAAACACTGAAAGCATTCTGCGAGTCCATGGACAGGAGTATGCGGAAACACGTCACATAACGAACTATATCATCAATGTGGCTCAGTCTCAGGAACTTAATTTTGAATAAGAAAAACAAGTCACAGAAGTATACCGATAGCATGATTCTGTTGAAGTTAAGTATAAAATCTGGCAAAACGCAACAAAATATGTTTAGGCAAACATATATCCATGTCAAAATGATAAAGAAAACCAAGGGAATAATAAACACAAAATTCTAGATGATGGTTACCTTTGTCAGAAGAAAATATTTTTCCTATCACTGCATAACAAATTACTCTGATACTCAGTAACTTAAAGCAACAGGTATTTATCATCTCATAGTTTCTATGGATCACGAATCTGGGTTTTCCATCTCCGAAAGAGACTCTTACAGGTTGCAAGGTGTCACCTGGGGCTGCAGGCAACTCAAGACTCTACTGGAAAGAAACCACTTCTAGGTGCCCTCACGTGATTGTTGGCAGGATTCAGTTCCTCGTGAGCTGTTGGACTGAATTCTCAGATCCTTGATAGCTTTTGGCCAAAGCCCACACTCAGTTTTGTGCCATGGCACTGGCTTTATTAGAGTGGGTGAGCGATGGAGCAAGAGGCAGGCCAGAAAGAAGCCAGAGTCTTTTATAACCTAATCTCAGAATGACAACCTGTTGCTTTTGCCGTATTCTATTCATTACAAACAAGTTACTAGGGCCAGCCCACACTCAAGGGGATGGAATTACCCAAGAGTATTCCAGGAGGCAGGAATTACTGAGAGCCCTTTTAGAAGCTGCCTACCTCATATCTATCTGTGTGTGTGTGTGTGTGTGTGTGTGTGTGTGTGTGTGTGTGTGTGTGTTTCTGTATTAAATCTTCCGTAGCAACAAAACCTCCTCAGTAGCTCTCTGGGAACTTCAGGATCAAAAAAGCAGGTAACCCCATGCTAAGAGGCTCAGTTCCGTGACCTGGCCCTGTTTTCTCTTCCTTCCTCCCCTGTCTTTCCTATCAGACAATTGATTTAAGTTTCCCAAATAAGTAAGGCTGTTAAGCCTCCAAGCACTTTTCCATGCTGCACTCCACCTAAAGTGTCCTCACTTACCTTCTCCACTCATCTGGTGAACAAGCATCCCATCTCCCAGAAAGCCTTCTCTGCCCCTGCTCCTCATCTTCCCCCACCCTCAGGCCTGTGCTGGGTTCTGCTGATCTCATGGTAGCTTGGGTATTCGCTCCCTTCCACTCTGGGCTCTTGAAGAGTAGGGCCCTGCCTCCCTGGTACCAGGCCCAGAGCCGGGCACATAAACCACTGTCAGTGAAACTGTGCTGACTGAATGATGGGACATTGATACTTCTGCAGCAAAGCATATGCGTAGTCATAGCAAGGGAGTAAATCGAGGCCATAAAGAGCCTTATGGCAGTTCAGGTGGGGCTTTGTTGCCAAAGAAGTTATTTTAAAAACTCAGTTTTCAGAGCTTTTGACCTTTAGAATTTTAGATAAGGGATTGTGGTTGCTTGAAATATCCAGCATTATTGTAAGGCTTTTTTAAGTTAGACTTTTTATTTTGTGAAAAACATTTAAACCCACAAAAAGCTTCTAGTGTATTGCACTTAATTTCCATATATCCTTCATTTCTTCCATTTTTATTTATTTATTATTTGACACATAATAATTGTACATGTTTGTGGAGTACAGAGTAATATTTTGATACATGTATGCAATATGTAATGATCAATTCAGGGTAATTAGCATATCCATCACCTCAAACACTTATCATTGTGTTAGGAACACTAAAATCCTCTCTTCAAGCTGTTTGAAAACATGCTATAAATATTGTTCACTGTAATCCCCCTACAGCACTGTAGAACATTATAACTTATTCCTCCTAACTAGCTGTACTTTTGGATCCATTAGGGAACCTCTTCCTCTCCACCCACCCCGCTACCCTTCCCAGCCTCTAGTAACCAGTATTCTACACTCTACTTCTATGAGTACAACTGTTTTAGTTCCCACATATGAATGAGAACATGAGATCTCTGTCTTCCTGTGCCTGACTTATTTCACTTAACATGTCTTCTAGGCTCATCCATGTTTGCCATGAATTACAGGATTTCATTCCTTTTTATGGATGAATGGTATTCCATTATATATATACACCACATTTTCTTTTTCTGTTCATTTGTTACTGGACACCTAGGTTGATTCCATATTGTAGCTATTGTGAATGGTGCTGCAATAACCATGGGGTTACAGATATCTCTTTGATATGCTGATTTCCTTTCCTTTGGTTAAATACCAAGTAGTGGGATTGTGGGATCATATAGTAGCTCTATTTTTAGTTTTGTGAGGAACCTCCATACTGTTTTTCACAATGGCCATATGAATTTATATTTCAACCTGTAGTGAATAGTTCCCTTTTCTCCACACCCTCACCAGCATTTGTTGTTTTTTCGTCTTTTTGATAATAGTCATTCTACCAGGGATAAGATGATATCTCACTGTGGGTTTTATGTGTATTTCCCTGATGATTAGTGACGTCGACCATTTTTTCATATACATTTTGGCCATTTGTATGTCTTCTTTTGAGAAATGATCTGATGTCTATTCAGATCATTTGCCCATTTTTAAACCAGATTATTTGTTTTTTGCTATTGAGTTGTTTGAGTTATTTGTATATCCTGAATATCAATCCTTTGTTCAATGAATAGTTTGTAAATATCTTCTCCCATTCTGCAGATTGTCTCTTCACTCTGTTGATTGTTCCCTTTGCAGTGTAGAAACTTTTATTTTGAGATGGAGTCTTGCTGTGTCACCCAGGCTGGAGTGCATTGCCATGATCTCGGCTCACTACAACCTCTGCCTGCCGGGTTCAAGCAATTCTCCTGCCTCAGCCTCCTGAGTAGCTGGGATTACAGGCACACAGGCTATTTTTTTTTTTTTTTTTTTTTTTTTTAGTAGAGATGAGGTTTTGCCATGTTGGCCAGGATTGTCTCGAACTCCTGACCTCAGGTGATTCACCTGCCTCAGCCTCCTGAAGTGCTGTGATTACAGGCTTGAGCCACTGTTCCCAGCTAGAAACTTTAAAATTTTCCATAATCTTATTTGTCTGTGTTTGTTTTTGTTGCCTGTGCTTCTGAAGTCTTATCCATAAAATCCTTAGATCATAAAATCCTGAAGCATTTCCCCTATGTTTTCTTCTAGTAGATTTATAGCTTAAGGTCTTACATTTGTCTTCAATCCTAATGAGTGGATGTTTGTATATAGTTAGAGATAGGAGTCCAGTTTCATTCTTCTGCCTGTGGGTATCCAGTCCAGCACCATTCACTGAAGAGGGTGTCATATTCCCACTGTATTTTCTCAGTGCCTTTGTTGAAAGCAGTTGACTGTAAATACATGAATATATTTCTGGGTTGTCTATTCTGTTTCATTGGTCTATGTGTCTGGTTTTATTTCTAGTACCATACCGTTTTGGTTACTATAGTTTTATAGCATTTTTTTAATGTCAGGTAGTGTGATGCCTCCAGCTTTGTTCTTTTTGCTCAGGATTTATTTGACTATTCAAGGTCTTTTGTGGTTCCATACAAATTTTAGAATTTTTTTTTCTATTTCTGTGACAAATGCCATTGGTATTTTGATAGGGATTACATTGAATGTGTAGAATGCATTGGGTAGCACAGTCATTTTAACATTATTCTTCCAATTCATGAATATGGGATATAGTTTCTTTTTCGTGTGTCTTCTTCAATTTTTTCATCAGTGTTTTATAGTTTTATGGTAGTGTTCTTTCACTTCCTTGGTAAAATTTATTCCTAGGCATTTTATTTTTGTAGCTATTACAAATGAGATTGCTGTCTTGATTTTCTCCTCAGCTAATTCATTATTGGTGTATAGAAATGCTACTGATTTTTGTATGCTGATTTGTATCCTACAACTTTACTGTATTTGTTTATCAGTTCCAAGAGTTTCTTAGTGGTGTCTTTAGGTTTTTCTGTATATAAGATCATGTTGTCTGCACACAGGAATAATTTGAATTCCTCTTTTCCAATTGGGTTGCTCTTTATTTCTCTGTCTTACCTAAGTTGCTCTGACTAGGACTTTCAATACTATGTTGAATAAGAATAATAAGTAGGCATTCTTATCCTGTGCCAGTTATCAAAGACAAAGCTTTCAAGTTTTCCCTATTTAGTAAGATGTTAGCTGTGCGTTTGTCACACCTGGCCTTCCTTTTGTTGAGGCATGTTCCTTCTATACCTAATTTGTTGAAAGTTTTTATCATAAAGGGATGTTGGATTTCATCAAATGCTTTTTCCATGCCTATTGAGATGATTATGTGGTTTTTATCCTTCATTCTGTTAATGTGATGTATCACATTTAGTGATTTGTTTATTTTAAACCATTCTTGCATCCCTGAGATAAATCCCACTTGGATGAGAATTGTCATGGTGCATATACCCTTCATTTACTGTTAACTTGTTAACATCTTGGAATGTTTGCTTTCTCGTGTGTGTGTGTGTGTGTGTGTGTGTGTGTGTGTGTGTGTGTGTTATACAGACTAATGATTCCCCAAAGATGTCTGCATCTTTATCTCTGGAGCCTATGAGTATATTTTGTTACATGGCAAGAAAGAATTAAGATTACAGATGAAATTAAGGTTTCTAATCAGCTGACTTTAAGATAATGACAGTACACTGGATTATTCAGGTCGACCCAATGCAATCACAAAGGGCCTTATAAACAAGGAAAATGGAGGCAGGAGAGTCAGAACCAGGGAGATAGCATTGTGAGAAAGACTCAACCAGCCATTACTTGTTTTAAAGATGAAAAGGGGCCAAGAGCCAGGGAATGCAGGCAACTTCTAGAAGCTGGAAAAGGCAAGAAAACAGATTATCTCCTCAAGCCTCCAGAAAGGAATGCAGGTTGGCTGACTCCTTGATTTTAGCCCAGTGAGACCCATTTTGGATTTCTGACTTCCATAACTGTTAAATAATAAATTTGTGCTACTTAAAGCCCTAAGTTTCTGGTAACTTGTTAAAGCAACAATCAGAAGCTAATATAGTGTGCATACTATTTACATATCCTCATTCAATTTTTTGTTTTAATTCCTTTTTTTCAGTTAAAAGTAAATTGCAGAGATTAAGAACATTCTCTTATATAACTATAGTCCAATGACCAAATATGGGGAAATTAACATTTATGCATTGCTGCTATCTAATGTACAGTGCATATTCAAGTGATTCTCCCAAAAAGATTCAGTTCAGAATCACAGGCTGCATTTAGTTATCACGTCTGTTTAGTCTCCTTCAATCCAGAGCTATTCTCAGTTTCACTTTGAAGACACTAATCCTTTTGAAAGTACAGATCAATTATTTTGTAGAATGACCTGTAATTTGGGTTTGTCTTATTTTATCTTTATGATGAGATTGAGGTTATGCACCTTAGGGAAGGAATACCACAGAAGGGATGTTGTGTGGCTGCAAGGTTAATTCTATTCCTGAAACAATTAGAAAATAATTACAAATGCAACCCAATTTTCAACTTAGGTGAGAAATAATTTAGAAAAAAATCCACCCTGACAATTTTCCCAATCGAAACCTATTTCTAGTTGAAAAGATTTTAGAAACAGAGTTGACTTGAGACTTAAATAGAAATAAGGTGTCGCGCCCCTTCAGAAGCCTAGGGGGTGTCCAGCAGCTGCTGTGGGGCATGGAGCCACTGTCTGGATGTCCACAGTGGTTCTTCCCCTCTGAGCTGAGGAGCAGGCACTGAGAACCTTCAGAACCTGGAGACAGCATCCACCCACAGAGGAGTGTCCCTGAACATCTGTTAGATTAACGTTTTATCAAAATGCACAAGATGCCCAAGAGCCTGATAGATGACAACCATTAAAACACAGAGAGAAATAAAGAATGGTTTCATAGTCTTCTGTGATGATAAAGGGCAAATTAAATATGGTTTGAATAAACTCATTTGCCATTAGGTACTTGCCCTTTAACAGACTATTTAGTACTGTTGTATATATACAAGTTTGTGCTGCATATTAATACTTTTGTGATTGAATGGTATAATTTAGCTAGAATGAGATTATGAAGTTGAAAACAGCAGCTGGGTGCTCCCAGACTCCCTACTTCATAGAAGAATAGTCTGTAAAACGTTGACATTGTTTCTTTAAAACAATTTGATTCTGATTCTAATTGCAGTTGTGATAAATGCTCTCTTTTTAATCTCCCTCTAGCCCCCCTCCACTTTTTTGGGATGGGATTTCATGCTGACTTGAGTGGGCACGAGAGCAAATGCTTTGCTATGTCATGCAGGAAATCAAGGATTTAAAATAATATTGTGTTTATTGGTGCAATTTCCTCTCTGTTCCTGGAGGGCTTTACTTTAAAGCAGGTGGGAAGAGGGGAAGAGCCCAGGCCTGCAGTAGGCCTGTTCCAGCACTTCCCTTAGTCCTCACTCATTGAGAAACTATTCTCAGGCTGGGAAGCACAGAATACAGTCATTGGTTTTCTTGTTTATTCGTTTATTCATATTCAGCATATGTTTACGGAATTATAGTGAAATCATGGCAGAGCTTCATGGAATTTAGAACTTCCTTCAACAGTTCTTCATTGTGTATAGTGAAAGACCATTAAAATTGTGCTCACAGTTATATCTGTGGGAGAGACAGAGCTGAGAGGAGAAAGAGCTCCTCTCTAAAGGCCCCTGCAAGTAGAGTTTCCATTTACGATTGCGCCCCTGGAGTTTCAGATTTGGGAACTGAGACAAATTCTAAGGGCAGAAAGTCCAGCTCTTTGTGCCACGCAAAGATTTATGTTAAGGCTGGGTGTGGTGGCTTATGCCTATAGTCCCAGTACTTTGGGAAGGTGAGGCAGGAGGGTCACTTGACACCAGGAGTTCCAGACCAGCCTGGGCAACATAGTGAGACCTCGTCTCTACAAAAATTTAAAAAAATTAGCTGGGCATGGTGGTGTGTGCCTGTAGTCCCACCTACTTAGGAGGCTGAGATGGGAAGAACACTTGAGCTCAGGAGTTTGAGAGTACAGTGAGCTATGATCACGCTCCTGCACTCCAGCCTGAGTGACAGAATGAGACCCTGTCTCAAAAAAAAAAAAAATGCCCAGTGGGGCAGTGAACACCATGTCCTGTGTGAAACAGTGGAGGAAGGCAAGGTTATACAAACAAGTGGTTACCAAAGGGTATCATAAAATCACTACGGTTTCCTAGTTCAGACAGATCTAGGTTCAAATCCTGAGGCTAGCACGTGCTTGGGAACTTGAGCAAGTCATCTTCTCTTATTTTTCCCATCTGTAAGATGGCAATTATAATGACCAATACGGTTGCTTTGGCCATTAAATTTGATGAGCACCTGTGAGAAGGTTTGGTACACAGTAGGAGGCTGGTAAGTACAGGGTCCTTCATGCCACCCCACCCCAATCCCCTCCCCAGCTGGAGGAAAGCAATCAATTGCACTTTCATTTAAACCCTTTAGCTGCCTGATGTATGCTTAGAGAAAATTTTGCCAGCCTTAGTCTTTTCCTCTTCCAAAAAAAAAAAAAAGAAAAAAATGAGCATTGAGAAAAGAAAGAATATATATATATTCTCATATATATATATGAGAAACTTTGTCAGTAAGTCAGGTGTTCATCTGTATGAAGGAAAGAAATCACAGTGTAAATTCACCTTGCCTCAAGTTCCGCAAAGCTAAAGTCAAACCATAATTTGGGAGGTGAGAATAAATTGGTCAATTTTTGGTAGAAGAAATATAGATTTTTCACATTGATTCCTCTCATGCCATTGCTCTTAGGAACTCCCATAATAAATTCCTTCTTGCGGCTGAATACCAGCCGTGTGTGTTCTGTGGGACCATGTGCCTAAAGGGAGTCCCTGCTTATCCAGCTTGCATTTTGGGCTGAGTGGTTGTTAGCAGAAGAGTGACACAGAGGCATTTCATCTTTACTCTTATGATACTAGCAAAACATCGTTAGATTATAAATTCATATTATCCAGGGATTCGTTACCCCAGCCCAAGTTAATTGGCATGGCAAGTGTCTTATGAGAAAAATCTGCAGCGTTAGCTAAGTGTTTCTATATGAAACAGAGACAGTTGTGTAGATGGTTAGATGTCCTTACTCTTTGTTACTTCTCTTAGAGACTGAGAATTCAATTGTTGAGGTGCTCAGGGTGCAACTGTTTCAGCATCAGTAATTTCCAGTGTCTTCTGCTTCTTCATCTGGCAAATGGAGACAATAATACCCATCCCCTAGAGTTGTTCCTGAGATCCAGAAGGAGCATGAAAGAGAAGGCACTCTCGTTGTGATGATTTTGCTCTCATTCTGGAAGCTGCAGAGGAGACGTCTGCATTTCAGAGAGATGCGCTGTGCCAGCGATTCTCAGCAAGAACAGGACTGTGCACGAGGGGGCGCTCGGGAGGCTTGAGCGGTGCTTTCCGCCTTCAGGCTGATAGGAGAGGAGGACACTTGGTGGGTGTGGATGGGGGTTGCTGGCAGCCCTGCAAAGTGTGGGACAACTCCATACAACACAGCTGTCATGAACCTCACATGAATTCTTAGTATTCTACCAGAAACTGACGTAGTGAACCACCTGCTCATAACTACTTGATCCTAGAACTCTGTTTTATAAATAAACAGAAGTATTTTTGGGTGGTTTCAATATACAGTGTTTCCTAGAAATGCATCTACTGTGTAAATCAAGGCAAAATTCGTTTGATTGAAACTTTGCCGAGAGTTGTTTGCCATTTCAGACAGCCACAACACCAGTGACACTACCACTCCTGTATCTGAGTCACAAATAACCCCCCTGGTTATCAGCCTGCATTTGAAGCTGCTTTGCTCACAGTGAGTTTACCTGTAAGTATTGGCATCTGACTGCTTCATCGTATCTGCTGCTGAAATTGTGCCCGAGCACCTATATATTAAACTACATATTATTACAAATCACTTTCCTTTTATTTCTCCTTTATATTGGAATTAGGACATTATATTGATTGGGATATATTACATGTACATTTTTTTCAAGATGATAAAGGAGGCCTTGCAAAATATTTGTTATACAAAGGGAAGTTTGATCAGGAAGGCTGAAACCTTCTGAACTAGGAGATCACTGAAGTTCCAGAATTCTGCATCATGTCTGATTTGGATGCTGTGGTTTATATCGATTTAAATTAGGTTCATCTGCCTGGAACAAAATACCCAAGTAAGAGGCTTAAACATGACAGAAGTCTGTTTCTCTTTCTCAGAAATGAAGTACAAAGATAGGCATTTGGGGCCGGCATGTCAATTCTAATGGTCATCCATCAGGGACCCAGCCTCCTTCTCCGTTCCTATTCCCTTATCCTTAATGCCAGGCTTCCATTTTCAAGGCTGTTGCATGATCCAAGATGATATTGGAGCTCCAGTCATCATGGCCACAGTTAAAGCAGGAAGCTAGGAATGGGAGGAAGGCAATAGGGTGCCCCGCCACTATCTGTTCCCTTATAAGGAGCTTACTCAGAAGTCCCATGCCACAACTTCTACTCATGTCACATTTGCCACCCCTAACTGCAAGATAACTTGGGAAATGTAGTTTTCAAGCTGAGCACATTGTTCTCCATTATAAAATCAGAATTCTATAATAAGAAAGGAAGGGAGAAAGGATATTAGGGTGGCATTTACCAATTTCAGTTGGGGCTGCTGCTAGTGTTGTTGATATGCAAGTACCTCCCTCCCCAGGCTTAGGGAGCCCATTGTCATGAAAAGAACAAAGGCTATGAAGCCCAAAAGACCTGGGTCACATTATAACCCTTCCATTTACTTATTATTAATATATGGTGACCTTAGCCAAGTGACTGAGCCTGTTTGAGCCTCATTTTCCTCAGCTGTACAATGGAGATACAAGTAGTACCTACCTTCTAGGGTCATGATGAGGTTTAAATAAGAAATTGTAAAAGCCCTTAGTGGCCGGGCGCGGTGGCTCACGCTTGTAATCCCAGCACTTTGGGAGGCCGAGGCGGGCGGATCACGAGGTCAGGAGATCGAGACCATCCTGGCTAACACGGTGAAACCCCGTCTCTACTAAAAATACAAAAAAATTAGACGGGCGTGATGGCGGGCGCCTGTAATCCCAGCTACTCGGGAGGCTGAGGCAGGAGAATGGCGTGAACCCGGGAGGCGGAGCTTTCAGTGAGCCGAGATTGCGCCACTGCACTCCCGCCTGGGCCACAGAGCGAGACTTCCTCTCAAAAAAAAAAAAAAAGCCCTTAGTAACCATTAGCCTCTCCTCCCACTCCACTCCTCCCATGTCACTCCCCCTTCCATTACACAGTTCACAATAGCACTGTCCAGTGCTCTGTGAGGAAGCCCAGCACACTTTGTTGCAGATATCAGCTGGATGAGCAGAGAGAGCAGGTCTGCAGGAAAACACCAGCCTCACACCTGTCAGCTCTTGGCCAGTTGCTCTCCGGGAAGGATGAGAAGACAGCTGGCCTTAGTTTTTCTGGGCTTTTCTCCATGGTCCTTTCCGGCAGGGCCAGCCAGAGGCCAAAATCTTGAACATAGTGAAGTCGCTTTGCAGCATCTGCCTCCCCTGGCTGCACCAGGAAAGATCTGACCAGTGATTTTTGAACTTCTCGTCTGCTTCATTTCCAGAGAGGAAGTGCTTTTGAAATGACTTTGTTCATGTAAGCACCATTTACCACCAAAAGGAACCAGGACTCCTTGGAGAAATGATTGATTCCAGGGCTGGGGCAGGATACGTACAAGATATGCCTAAGACATCCTGTGCCAGCGAGCAGGAAAGCTCTCAGGACTTCCAGGCTATGCCAGAAGGATATAGAGTCCAACTTGAAGGAGCTTTCAGTGGCCAAAGATGAGACAATTTGAGCATCAAAAAGAATAATAATTATAGTGTACTGAAATATCATACATATTAGAAATCCTCTTTAAATGATACTCAAAAACTTATTTTTTTGGCGAATAAATTTATTTATTTGTTTTTATTTTTAAAATGGACATATTATAATTGAACATATTATGGGGTACATAGTGATGTTTTGATCTACAAAATATATAGTGATCAGATCAGGGTGTATTGTGAGTTTCTCGGTTTGTTTTGTTTTGTTTTGTTTTAATTTACAGGGAATAAGTCATTATTCTGAAAAAAAGGTAAATAAAAGAAAATAACCAAGCATTAACCCTGCCTTTACTGGATGGTCTATGTTTCAGAATAGTCAAATGGTTGATGGGAAAAACTTTATCTTTTTTTTGCTGAGACAGAGTTTCACTGTTGTCACCCAGGCTGGAGTACAGTGGTGCGAACTCGGCTCACTGCAACCTCCGCCTCCCAAGTTCAAGCGATTCTCCTGCCTCAGCCTGCAGAGTAGCTGGGATTACAGGTGTGCACCACCACACCCAGCTAATTTTTGTATTTTTAGTACAGACAGGGTTTCACTGCGTCGGCCAGGCTGGTGTCTCAAACTCCTGACCTCAAGTGATCCGCCTGCCTCAGCCTCCCGAAGTGCTGGGATTACAGGCATGAGCCACAGGGCCCAGCCTATCTTTATAGAAAAATCACAGCTTATAAAACTAAGAAACATGATCAAACATGATTAAATTAGAAAACCAGCATTTTGCAACTCTTATTGAAATCTAAGCCTCAATCATTAATGCTGCTAAAATCATTAGGTAAACGGTGAGGGTGTCTTATGATGGATAAATCAGGATGACACCAGCTGAACCCGCTGGTCAATTTTAACATGGCCAAAAGCATAACATCTAGATGTAAGGTTCCTCAAGGCGTTATGCCATAGAAAATACACAGCACCATCATGAAGTATTCTTGTTAAAAAAAAAATTGAACTAAACCAAGCTTATGGACAGTCCTACCACTTTACAGGAAATACAGGGGATGAAACAACGTGTTAAGAAACGCTGTGAGGATACAATCTGCCATGTCCAGAATGTCAGAAATTCCACAGGATAAATGACTCTTTCTTTAATCAATAAGTAATACAAGATTAAAAAGTCAAGGAGGATATTGTTATAGGTTAAAATAAATGTAAAAGACATTAAGACACATAAGCCATATGCAGTGTAAGGAGCATAATTGGATTCTGATTTAGACAAACCAAATACAAAAAGACATCTTAAGACAATTGGAGAAACATGAACACGGATTGGGTATTAGATGATTTTAAGAAATCGTCATAATGGTATTGTGGTAATGTTTTTTAAAAGTCTGTATCTAAGGGTAAAATAATATGATATCTAAGATTTACTTCAGAATGCTCCAGAAAAAAAAATAGAAGTGAGGAGAGAATAAGTGGACTAGATGAAAGAACTCGGGCACATGCTACTGACTGACAGGAGACTGACAGTCTTTCTGGGCACCCATCCTCTGCCTGCTGGGAACTCCCAGTGATTCATGACTATGCATCATGACTGGGAATATGATTCCTGCACTTGAGGTTAAAAAGAAGAGAAAGGGAGCTGAAGAAGTTAGGTGAAATCAGTGGAAAAAGAAAACGAACGGGTTTAATCAAAATTGGGTATTGCTTTGCTCACATACTTGAAAGCTTCAAGCAATGCAGGACTCAGGCCCCCAGGACTGTTCCTCCCTCATCTCCTGGTCCTATTTTCTTTATAATTCAGCCTTGGGAATGCTTACTCTGCAGGATGCTCTGATCCCTCAAGGCCAATCACCCACCTATTGTTTCTGCCATTCCAGTGGAGAGAGGGCTCCTCTTTTCTAAGAAGACAGCAGAAGTCCCAGGATGGGGTCTCCCTGGCGGACTTGGGTCACCTGCACAAACCTGAGCCCATTGCTTTGTCCCAGGAATTGAATATGATGAGGGGCCTTGGCAAAGAAGACATAAAGAGATTCCTCTATCACTTCACTATCTCCAGCCTCCATTTCCTCGTCTGTAACATGGACAGTGCTGTCTACCTGAGGAATCAATGGGATCTATAAAATTCCTAGCACTCAAAATGTGATAAGCATAACTGCTCTTACCTCCACCCTCACTGTTGGTTCTACTGCTATTACTTTATGTGGAGACAGAGCTTGTGCTACAGGCTCCCTTTGAGTTGGCATGTGTGTGCCTCATGACAGCCACCTCATGTCACTACCCTCTTCCTCAGGGACATCAGAGAGCCCTAGAATTGGCAAAATACCTGGTAAAGTGGGGGTCGCTACACAGAAATTGGTTAGGCCACTTCTTTATGTTTACAAAATGTGTTTAGTCGTCCAGATTGGTTGTGCTCCAGCACAAAGATGTGTGGTCAAAATCTCTCTTTTTCAAAAACAATTATTTTAGGTCAAGCATGGTGGCTTATGCCCATGACCCCAGCACTTTGGGATGCAGAGGCTTGAAGCCAGTTTGAGACCAGCCTGAGTAACATAACCAGACCCCATCTCTACAAAATAAAAATACAAAAATTAGCCAAGTGTGGTGGTGCGTGCTTGTAGTCCCAGCTTCTAAGGAGGCTGAAGCAAGAGGATCACTTGAGCCCAGGAAGTCAAGGCTGCATGAGCTATGATTGTGCCACGGCACCCCAGCCTGGTTGACAGGGTGAGACCGTGTCTCTAAAATAAATAAATAAATAAACATTTAAAAACACATATCTTATCATCTTATTATGATATGAATATCTCTAGTCAAGCAATTTGGCAGCTTGATTCATTTGTCTCTATTGAACATGCTGGCTTGTGATAACACAGGTTGAGGAATTTTCAGTGTTTTGTCTTTCTAACCTTGGATAGAAGTCATGTGCAGAGGCCAAGAGCTCAACATTCATTCTGTAAAAAGAATCTGGTGAAGTAGATCAAGAACATAGGCTTTAAGGCAATCCTAAGCAAAAAGAACCAAGCTGGACCAGGGGCAGTGGCTCACGCCTGTAATCCCAGCATTTTGAGAGGCTGAGGCCAGTGGATCGCTTGAGCTCAGGAGTTCAAGACCAACCTAGGCAACATGGTGAAACTCTATTTCTACCAAAAATACAAAAAATTAGGTGAGTGTGATGGCTTGCCCCTGTGGTCCTGAGAGGGGAAGCCGGCTGGGCTTTTGGGTTGGGTGGGGACTTGGAAAACTTTTCTGTCTAGCTAAAGCATTGTAAACACACCAATCAGTGCGCTGTGTCTAGCCAAAGGTTTGTAAACGCACCAATCAGCACTCTGTAAAAACGCACCAATCAGCACTCCGTGTCTAGGTAAAGGATTGTGAATGCACCAATCAGCACTCTGTAAAATGGACCAATCAGCACTCTGTAAAATGTACCAATCAGCTCTCTGTAAAACAAAGCAATCAGCAGGATGTGGTCGGGGGCTAAATAGAGGAATAAAAGCTGGCCACCCCAGCCAGCAGCAGCTACCAGCTTGGGTCACTTTCCATGCTGTGGAAGCTTTGTTCTTTCGCTCTTCACAATAAATCTTGCTGCTGCTCACTCTTTGGGTCCGCACTACCTTTATGAGCTGTAACACTCACCGCGAGAGTCTGTGGCTTCATTCCTGAAGTCAGCGAGACCACGAACCCGCTGGGAGGAACAAACAACTCCGGACGCACCACCTTTAAGATCTGTAACACTCACTGCAAAGGTCTGTGGCTTCACGCCTGAAGTCAGTGAGACCACGAACTCAACAGAAGGAAGAAACTCCAGACACATCTGAACATCTGAAGGAATAAACTCCGGACACACCATCTTTAAGAGCTGTAACACTCACTGCGAGGGTTCACGGCTTCATTCCTGAAGTCAGCGAGACCAAGAACCCACAGGAAGGAATAAATTCTGGACACAGTCCCAGCTACTGGGGAAGCTGAGCCAGGAGAATCGCTTGAACCCTGGAGGCAGAGGTTTAGTGAGCTAAGATCACACTACTGCACTCCAGCCTGGGCAACACAGCAAAACTCTGTCTCAAAAAAACAAAAGAAGACATACATGCAGCCAACATATGGAAAAAAGCTCAACATCGCTAATCATTAGAGAAATGCAAATCAAAACCACAATGAGATACCCTCTCATGTCAGTCAGAATGGCGATTATTAAAAAGTCCAGAAACAACACATGCTGGCAAGGTTGCAGAGAGAAGGGAACATGTACACTGTTGGTGGGAATGCAAATTAATTCAACCATTGTGGAAAGCAGTATGGCAGTTCCTCGAAGGGCTAAAAAGCAGAACTACCTTTCAACCCAGCAATCCCATTACTGGGTATATAACCAGTAACATAAATCATTCTGCCATAAAGACACATGCAAGTGAATGTTCACTGCAGCACCACTCACAATCGCAAAGACGTGAAATCAACCTTAATGCCCATTAATGACAGATCAAAGAAAAGAAAATGTGGCACATATATACCACAGAGTACTATGCAGCCATAAAAAAGAAAGAGATCATGTCTTTTGCGGGAACATGGATGGCACTGTAGGCCATTATCCTTAGCAAACTAACTTGGAAATGGAAAACCAAATACCACATGCTCTCACTTATAAGTGGGAGATAAATGATGAGAACTCATGGGCACAAAGAAGGGAACAACAGACACTGGGGCCTACTTGAGGGTGGAGGGTGGGAGGAAGACAAGGAGCAGAAAAGATAACTGTTGGGTACTAGGCTTAGTACCTGGGTGATGAGACAATCTGTACAACAAACCCCCTTGACTTGAGCTTACCTATATAACAAACCTGCACATGTACCCCTGAGCCTACAATAAAAGTTAAAAAAAGAAAAGAATTGCCTAGCTAGGCAGTGATGTGTGTTTGGCTTATTAATGTTTGTGGGAAAAAGCATAAAAATAACATAGGCTTTGGAAGCCGACTGCTTGGTTTAAATCGTGAGTGTGGCCTTGGACAAGCACTGTCCTCATCTGTAAAATGGGGGTTAGAATGTGGCTGTGAAATTTGGAGGAGAAAACTGGGTCCCAGTTTCCCACAAAGGGGCAGCTCCCTTGCCTCCTGTGTGGAGGTGGTCTGAGGCACAGTGTGCGCTTGAGGGCAGCAAGTGGGGGCTCTTGGCGAGGACTGAGCTGTGCGGCTCTGGCTGCTTTGTGCGCCCTCTTTGTTGACCATCTGCCTGGCCCGGAGGTGCCGTCTGCCATCTGGGCCTAGACTGCTCTGCCTCCCTAGGCTCGGGCCGCCCAGGGCCTCCCTCTGAACAATGCCGAGGACGCCTGCGGGGTGGGCCAGCCTCTGCTTGGGGCCTGCCCCTCGGCCCCTCTCCCTCGGAGCCAAGCCCAGCTGCGCCCGCGGCCCGGGCCCCTGTGGAGGACTTTCCTGGACTCCCTTGCTGCCTTGCTGCTCCACCCCAGGCCTGCCTCCGCGCTGTTTCCTGACTGGGATGGTTCTGACTTGGTGTAGGAACTGACTAGGCCTGGAGGCACGAGTGTGTCTGCATTTACGAGAATGTTACTGAGTTAATTCTGTTTCCTGCGCGTTATTCTCCTTCTTCCTCCTTTTTGGACATGGACCCATCATCCGTGTTTAGGTGGTGTTCATTAAAGAAACTCCTCTCTGTAATTTTGTTGCAGTGACTCTGTGGATGTTTCCTCAGTTAGGCTCTGCACAGGGAGAGCTGGTGGGCAGAGGGTGCGTGATTATGTACAAGGGGCCTGGGGAGGGTAGGAGGAAAAATAGAGAAGAAAACAATAGTTTCAAATAATTGGGGGAAACAGTCCCATTTTTATTTGCATATATAACCTCAGGCTTTGAACATTTAGGTTTTAATATTTCACAATAAAATGAGCAAGACTCCAAAAAATATAATAATAAACAGACTTGTCTTCACAGAGAAAGAAATCAAATGAGTTCCTTGTAGAAGAATTTTACTTCCATTGTGCCTTTGACCATCACCGATATAGCCCTGTGAGGCAGGTAGCATTATCACCACAGCAGAGCACGGGAAGGGAAAGCTCAGAGAAGGTAAGTGACTTGCCATAAATCACACAGCTGGCCAATGGCAGAGGCTAACTCAGATCCGGGGTTCTCTGGCTCCAAACCCTGTGCTCGCCTCAACAGGCTCACCCAGTCCATTGTGAGGCATGGAGCCCTGTGGGTGTAAGTCTTGTGTTGCTCGCTCATTGATGGGTGATGTGACCTCAGTGGGGAAGGCCCACCAGGCCTCAGCCTCCTTCCTTGTAAAGCAGGGGTGTTACTCATCCTATTGCAGAAGGTGCTCCTAAGCCTTAAGTAAAATAATAGATAAGGAGGAATTGTTATAAGTACAGAGAGCAGCTGTTCTCTGTGTGGATGCTGCTTTTTATCCCAAGCCTGTGAACCCTGTAATTTCTTTTAACAGGTGGCATGCGCCACAGTGGCTCAGGGATCTCCCTGCCATAGAGAAGAAGAGAAATGCAACATCTCTGGCAGGGTTGCAGGAAGCTGAATGTGATGGCTTCCAAGAGGAGGAAGGAAGCCACAGTGAGGAAGAGGAGGGGATGAAGATTCAAAGTACAGCTGGCCACAAGGAAGGGTAGGAGAGATGACTCAGGCCTTGGAGGCAGAGCCAGGGAAGAGGAAACACACAAATGGAAGAAAGAAAGCCACAGCAAAGAAACCACCTCAGTGTCTTGACCTTCCAGCAACTCCTGATGCCCCACAACACATGCACGTAGCCCACTGGGTGTTCCCAGTGCTTTTCCCAGCCCACCCCATAACAGCCAGGGTCTCCAACCAGGGAAAGAAGAATTAAAGCTGCCAAGACCCCATTTTGTTTTCCCATAAGTATCCAAAAGGGTATTGTATACTTCTGTTAACATTCTATATATTTTTTATATGTATACATTTCATTGTTCATTTCTATTTTTTTGTGTGTTTGTTTGTTTGTTTTGTTGTTGTTGTTGTTTGAGACAGAGTTTCATTTCTGTTGCCCAGGCTGGAGTGTAGTGGTGCAATCTCGGCTCACTGCAACCTCTCCCTCCTGGATTCACTGCAACCTCTCCCTCCTGGATTCAAGTGATTCTCTTGCCTCAGCCACCCAAGTAGCTGGGATTACAGGCACACCTCAGTAGGCCTGGCTAAGTTTTTTAGTATTTTTAGTGGAGACTAAAAACTTTAGTGGGTTTTGCCATGTTGGCCAGGCTGGTTTCAAACTCTGGGTCTCAAGTGATCCGCCCGCCTAGGCCTCCCAAAGTGCTGGGACTACAGGCATGAGTCACCGCGCCCATTCCCACTTTTTAAAGTGAGTTATTTGTTGTCTTACTATTGAACTGTGAGAGTTGTTCATAAATTCTGGATACAAGTCACTTACCAAATATGTGTTTTTCACATATTTTCTGCCCACTGTGGCTTATCTTCTCATAGTCATAGCAGTCTTTCAAAGAACAGAAACTTTTCATTTTGATGAAGTCCAACTTATCAATTTTTCTCTTAAGGTTCATGCTTTTTATGTTCTCTTTAGGAAATATTTGCCTAAGTCTTAAAGTCAGGAAGATGAAGATTTGACATTAACTCTAGGATCCATCTTGAATTAATTTTTGCATATGTTCAAGTTAAAGATTAAGTTTTTTTTGTGCATGTGGAGGTCCAAATGGTTTAATATTATTTGTTGAAAAACCTATGCTTTCTCCATTCACTGATCGTGGAACTTTGTTGAAAATCAATTGACTATACATGTGTAGATCTACTTATGGTTTCTATTCTGTCCCATTGATCTATATGTCCATTCTTATGCCAATTCCACACTGTCCTGATTATTATAGTGAGTTATGAAAGCAGGTAGTGCGAATCCTCTAACTTGTTCTTCCTTTTCAAAATGGTTTTGGCTACTATCAGTTCTTTGTTTTCCCATATGAATTTTAAAATCAGCTTGTAAATTTTGAAAAGCCTCCTGGAATATTGATTAGGATTGTGCTGAATTTATACATCAGTTTTGGGGAATTGATGTTTAATCTTGAGTCTTCTGATTTATGAATATGGTATGTCTGTTCATTTATTTGAGTCTTCTTTGATTTCTTTCATACATATCTTGCACATACTTATTAAGATGTATCCCTTTGTGTTTTTTGTTTGTTTGTTTTTTGAGACAAGATTTCTCTCTGTTGCCCAGGCTGGAGTGCAATGGTGTGATCTTGGCTCACTGCAGCCTCTGCCTCCTGAATTCAAGCTATCCCCCATCCTCAGCCTCCCAAGTAGCTGGGACTACAAGTGCACACCGCAGTGCCTGGCTAATTTTTGTATTTTTTGTAGAGAAGGGGTTTCACCATATTGCCCAGGCTGTTGTCAAACTCCTCTGTGCAAGTGATCCACCTGCCTCAGCCTTCCAAAGTGTTGGGATTATAGGCATGAGCCACCATGCCGACTGTTTTGTTTTTATGCTCTGATAAATGGTACTATTTTATAAATTTTATTTCTAATCATTCATTTGTAGTATATACAAATACAGTAGATTTTTGTATATTGACTTTGTTTCCTCTGAAGTTGCTCAATTCTCTTAATAGTCTTAATTGGTTTTTTGTAGATTCTTTAGAATTTTTTACCTATATGATCATGTTAACAAATAAGGACAGTTATATTTCTTCCTTTCCAATCTGAATGCCTTCTATTTCTTTTCTTTGTCTCATTGAGCTTGTGAGGATCTCTACTATGACGTTGAATAGAAGTGCTGAGAGTGAATATTTTTATTTCCATTCTTGGGGCAAAGGCTTCAGTTTTTCACCAATGGTATTAGTTTAGCTGTAGGTTCTTAATAGATACCCTAATCAGGTTGAGAAATCTCTTTGTTCACTTCTATTAGTTTGCTGATAATTTTTTAAAAGTCATAAATTGAATTGAATTTTGTCAAATACTTTTTGCAACTATTGAGACGCTTATAAAGTTCTTTTTTTTTTTTTTTTAGCCTGTTGATGCTGTGAATTACCTTGAATGATGTTTGAATATTCAGCCAACCCTGCATTCCTGGAATAAACCTTACTTGGTCATGATGTACTATCTTTTAAAATATATTATTGGGGCTGGGTGCAGTGACAGCTCATGCCTGTAATCCCAACACTTTGGGAGGCTGAGACAGGCAGATTTCTTGAGCTCAGGAGTTTAAAACCAGCCTGGGCAACATAGCAAAACTCCATCTCTACAAAAAATACAAAAATTAGCTGAGCATGGCACCTGTAGTCCCAGCTACTTGGGAGTCTGAGATGGGAGGATCTCTTGAGCCTCAGAGGTGGAGGAAGTTGCAGTGAGCTGAGATTGTGCCACTGCACTCTAGCCTGGACAACAGAGGGAGACCCTGTCTCTCTCTCTCTCTCTCTATATATATATATATCTATATATATAGATAGATATAAAAATATAATAATACATATTATTATTTATATATGTAATATATGTAATAATACATAGTATATATTATATATATCTATATTAGATATATATTAGATAATATAGATATATATGTATTTGGATAATATATATACACACATATATGTATTTGGATTAGATTTGCTAAATTTTAAAGAAATGTTTGCATCAATGTTCATAATAGTCTGTGGTTTACTTTTCTTTTCATGTTGTCTTTGGTATCAGGATAGTGCTGGCCTCAGAATGAGTTGGGAAGTGTTCCATCCTCTTCTATTTTCTGGAAGAGTTTGTGTAGAACTGGTCTTATTTCCTTCGTAGATGTTTGTTAGAAATCACAAGTAAAACCCTCTGGGATTGAACTCTTTTTGTGAGAATATTTTAAACTCTGAATTTAGTTTCTTTCTATATAGAGAGCTTTTCAGGTCATATATTTCTTGTCAAGTGAGTTTTGGTAATTTGTATCTTTCAGAGAATTTGCCCATTTAAGGTAAGTTATCAGTTTTATTGGTACAAAGTTGTTTGTAAAGTTGTTCATAAAAGTGGTATAAAAATTTTCCTTTATTTTTCTTTTAATATTTATTGGATCTATAGTAATGTCTCCTCTTTCATTCCTCATAGCGATAATTTGTGTCTTTTCTCTTTTTCTCTTGATTAGTTTGGCTAGATGTTTATCAACTTTATGTATCTTTTTTTTAAAAAAAGTTCATTTATTTTTATTCTTTCTTTGTTTTCAATTCCATTTATTCCTGTTATTCTCTTTATTGTTCCCTTCCTTCTGCTTGCTTTGGGATTACTTTATTCTTTTTCTAGTTGCTTAATGTAGATGATATTATTGATTTAAGGCCCTTTCTGTTTTCTAATATCAGCATTTTGTAATATAAATTTCTCTCTAAGCATTACTCTAATTGAAAAAGCTATAGATTATGTTATGTTGTGTTTTTATTATCATTCAATTTAAAATATGTTTAATTTTCCTTGTAACCTTCTCTTTGACTTAGGAGTTATTTAAAAATGTGCTGCTCAATTTCCAAATATTTGTATATGTTCCAAATATCTTTCTGTTTGATTATATTTAACTGACTTCTGGTTTAATTTTGTTCAAATGATTATACTTTTTGTGATGCTGATTTTTTGTAAACATGTTGAGATTTGTTTCACGGCATAGAATATGGTTTATTTTCATGTTTGTTCAATGTGTACTTGAAAAGATTGTGTATTCTATTTTGGGTTAGAGTGTGCTATAAATGCCAGTTAGGTCATGTTGGTTGATCTCTCTGTGACTTCAATATATTGAAACTTGTTTTGTGGCTCATTATATAGTCTATGTTGCTGAACATACCTTATGGGCTTGGAAAAATAATATGTATTTTTTCTTATTACAGATTTTTTTGTGGTTATCGTTTACTAAGAGAGGGGTTTTAAAATCTTTACCTACAACTTAGAAATTGTCTATTTTTCCTTTAATTCTGTATAATTTTGCTTCATAAATTATACACCTGTTATGTTGAGTATATACACTTTTATGATTCATGTTATGATGTTGAATATATATATATTTATAATTCATGTCTTCCTGATTAGTTTACCCCTTTATAATTATGAAATGACCCTTTTTTTAATCTCTGTAACATTTTTTCTGCCATTAAGATAGCCACCATAGCTTTCTTAATCTTAGTGTTTACCTGCTGTATTTTTAAAAATCTATTTTCTTTCAGTCGCTCTGGATTTTTATTTTTAAAGTGCATCTCTTAGTGGCACTTAGTTTTAAAGTGCGCCTCTTAGTTTGCACTTTTTTTAGTACACTTTGACAATCTCAGCCTTTTCATTAGAGGGTTACTCAAAACATTTGGTGTAGTTATTTATATAGTTGAATTTGAATTAATAACTCTATGATTAGTTTTCTGTCTCCTCTTTTTTAATTTTTAAATAATTTTTCTTTCCCTCCTTTTCTATTTTATTTCATATTGAGTCCTTTTTCTAGCATTTCATTAAATTAATCGATTGGCTTTTATCAATATGTCTTTGTATTTCTTTTTGTTAGTTGCACCAATGATTACAATATATATCCTTAACTTTCCATGGTTTATTTAAAATTAATATTGTATCACTTCATGAAAATATGGGACCGTATTTTGCAGCCTTATATGTCTGAGTCCACCTAATTTCATTCTTTATGCCATAGTTGTCATAGTATTACTTCTACACATATTATAAATCCCATAAGGTAATATACTTTTTTGTTTAAACAGTTCTATGCATTTTAAAGAAGCAGATCATAATAATAATTGTTTTATTTACACAAATATTTACAACTTTTGATACTTTTCATTCCTTCGTGGATATCTGAGTTTTCATATAGTATCATCTCCCTTCACCCTGAGGAATTTTCTCTGCCTTTTTTGGTCATGTAGTCCTGCTAGCGACAAGTTCTCTTAGTCTTCTTTAACTAAAAATATCTTAGTTATCCAAAGAATACTTTCACTAGATGTAGAATTCTGAGATGACAGTGTTTTTCTTTTGGCTCTTAAAAAAATGTTTCACTGTTCTCTGGCTTCCACAGTTTCTGATGAAACACTCGTTGACATTCAAATCATTGCTCCTTTATAAGTAATGGGTCATTTTTATCTAACTGCTTTCAAGATTTTCTCTTTATCTTTGGTTTCATCAATTTAACTGTGATATGCCTAGATGTGATTTTCTTCTTATTTATTCTATTTTTGGTTCTCTAAGTTTCTTGAATCTTCAAATGTATATTTTTCACCAAATTTGAGTGATTTCCAGCCATTATTTATTTGAATATCTTTTCTGCTTCATTTTCTTTCTCCTCTGGGATTCCAACTACACCTATGTTGGATCTTTTGATACAGTCTTACAGGGTCCGGAATCTTTGTTCACTTCTTACAATCTTTTTTTCCCCCTTTCTGTTACTCAGATTGAAGACTTTCTCTTGATCTATCTTCAAGTTCATTCGTTCTTTTTTTATTTCCATTCTTCTGTTAAGCCTATCAGTACCTTTTTAAAAAAACTTCAGAGATTATACTTCTCATTTCTAGATTTTCCATTTGGGGTGTGTGTGTGTGTGTGTGTGTGTGTGTGTGTACCTGTATGTGTGCTGTGCTTTCATGTATTTTCCTCTACTTGCTTTAGCACAGTTATAATAGCTGCTTTAAAATTTTTATATGCTCATTTTAACATCTGTGTTATCTCAGGGTTGGTCTTTGTTGATTTTTTTTGTCTTGTTAATTGGTTAGATTTTTCTGATCTTCACGTGTCAAATATTTTTGGACTGTACCCCAACATTGTGAATATTATATTCACAATGTGAATGTGAAAAACACTGTCATCTCAGAATTCTACTTCTAGTGAAAGTATTCTTTCAGGAATAAAGAAAAAACTATTAATAAGATATTTTTAGATAAAGAAGACTGAGAGAACTTGTTGCTGACAGAACTATATGACAAAATAAAAGCACAGAAAATTCTTCCGAGTGAGGGGAAATTATACTATGTGAAAACTCAGTTCACTTATTTTTTTTCCTAACTCAGATGCTCACAATCTGCCCAGGTATGCATGGATCAGGGGCTATGCAGAGATTAGGGTAGAGATTTTGCACAGAATTTGGGACTTCTCCTCTCTAGCTGTGTGCTTTACAGAATCCCTCCTCACTTCTCAGTGGCTTCAGTTGCCCTGAACTCTGTCCTCTAGTTTTTTTAGGCCAGAAAGACTATTGGTTTTCAAGCAGATATTTAGCTACCATGTGTAGTACTGATTTAGACCTGGAACAAAGGTTAAAAGCCACACGTGTGAATAATTCAATCTGTGCCATTCATTTTTTCCAAGTGTAGATGCCTCTCCAGAATCTATTTGCTTACCATCATTCTTCAGGCCCAGGTCATTTTTTTTTTTTTTTTGGTATGTTTATCCAAGTTTATATCGTTCTTTCTGGGAGGATCAGATCCATTGGCCATATTGGCAGTGAAAATCTCCTTTTGCCTTTGTTTTGTCTATATACTCACTTTTGTCATATTTATTTTAGGCCTGTTTGACATATGTATGACAAAATGTGTCCAACATAAAATAAACATTTCTTTTGCTGAGTTCTAACAACGTTAAAATGAACAAAAATCTAGGAGTACTAAGATGAAGCCTATTGACACCTTCTCCAGTTTTCCACAAGAAAGGGTTCATTCTTGTGTGTTCTAACACTTCTAAAGGGAAGACCTTTGCAGGACACTTTCCTACAACAAAGGTAAAGAAAGCCATTGGCTCAAATTATGAGACCACTGAGTAGGAAGAACTTGAAAGGGGCCATGCTAAACAATGCCCCACTCCATATTGGGAGACTTGCCCCCTGCAACCTCCCTAGTTGATTCATTTACTCATTAATATTTATGGAGCACCTCATATGTGTCATATGTGGTGCTGAGTGATAGTGAAATGATTAGCAGCAATTTACTAGGGGAGCCAGATGTGAAACAATAGCCCACAGATACAGAATTTTAAACTGCGATTAGTGCCATGCATGAAAAGCACTGGGTGCTACAAGAATGCATAATGGGGAACTTGGCCCAGCCTGAGAAGTCACGGAAGGCTTCCCTCAGGAGCAAGAAGTCATTTAAAAGAGAAGCAAAAGTTAACTGTGTGTGCTAGTTGGGGTAGTTCTAGTTAGAAGGAACAGCATGTGTAAAGACCCAGAGGTCAGAGGGAGGACTGAAAATGCAAAGAATGGAGAGCAGACTAGTGAGCTAGAGCCTGAAGGACAATGAGAGTGAGTAGCACAAGATAAAGCTATAGAGGACAGAGTCATGGCCAGGCAAACTTTGTGGTCCAGTTTAGAAATATGTTTTTCTTTTTATTCTCTTTCCTCATCTTCCTTCTCCTTTTACCCTTTGTTGAATAATGAAAATAACCTATAGACTTATTCAAAGAAAATCCAGTGACCCTCTCTGGCCCCCTCCCTGTCCCACTCCATAGAGATAACCACCATCGAGGTTTCTAGAACTGTTTCACAAACACAAAAACATATGTAAAAATATATAGCTTCTTCTTAAAAAAACTGATGTGTAGCAAGAAGGGAGATGGGGTTCTATACACAATGTTTTGAACCTTCACTTGCTTCATTTGACAATACACAAAGAGACTTTTCCACATCAACACAGTTAGATGTACACCAGTTTTTTCAAGATCTGCACGGTACTCCAATGGACAGATGTGCCATGATTTATTTACTCAGTCCCTGATTGATGGATATTTTAAGTTTCTTCTATTCTTTGTTGCTACAAACAATGTAGCAATGAACACTCTTGTAAAGACATATTTGAACACATGGAGGGGAACAACACACACTGGGGTCTGTCAGGGGGTGGGGGGCAAGGGGAGGGAGAGCATTAGGACAAATACCTAATGCATACGGGGCTTAAAACCTAGATGACGGGTTGATAGGTGCAGCAAAACCAGCATGGCACATGTATACCTATGTAACAAACCTGCACATTCTGCACATGTATCCCAGAACTTAAAGTAAAAAAATATATATATTTATATAATTTTTTAAATAAATAAGTATATAATATATATTTAAATATATAAAATATATAATATATATAAAATAAATAAAATATATATTTTAAAGACATATTTGGGTACATTTGTGAGTATATGTGTAGGATAAATTAGTTTTGGTGGAATTTCTTGGTGAAAAATGTATGCACATTTACAATTTTTATAGACATTGCATAATTGTCCCCCAGAGATGTTTGTCTAGCACGCTTTCATCATTAAAATGTTCTGTAGGCATAGCTTATCATCAGGGGCCTAGGAACAGGTTTGGGCACTGAAAAGCATATATTAGCTTCCTAACACAAAGGGAAACTGCAAATTTGAGATCAACATATATTTCATCAAATATCTCTACAATGTATTACTTGTAATGTTATTATTCCTAAAAAGTTCATTATATTTAAAAACAATTTGTAGGCTATATATTTTACTCATGTTGCAGGAATTCACAAGTATGTGAATTCTTGTTGATAAATGGCCTATCATAAATCAAATAGCCTATTATAAATTCAATAGCCCATTATAAGAATTACTTATAGCCAAGACATTTCAAAAGAAAAATTATTTTAAAAACCCTTTTGATATTTCAATATCAGCAAAAATTACACTTACTATGAATGCATGTGTAGTTTAATATATTTTGTATACTATAGGGTATGGCTTCCAAAAGTAAGACTGCCTGAGACCTGTGAAGTTTTTTTTTTTTCTTCTTCTTCTTGTATTGTTATTATTATTTTTTTTATTTATTTTTTTTATTGATCATTCTTAGGTGTTTCTCGCAGAGGGGGATTAGGCAGGGTCATAGGACAATAGTGGAGGGAAGGTCAGCAGATAAACAAGTGAACAAAGGTCTCTGGTTTTCCTAGGCAGAGGACCCTGGGGCCTTCCGCAGTGTTTGTGTCCCTGGGTACTTGAGATTAGGGAGTGGTGATGACTCTTAAGGAGCATGCTGCCTTCAAGCATCTGTTTAACAAAGCACATCTCGCACAGCCCTTAATCCATTTAACCCTGAGTGGACACAGCACATGTTTCAGAGAGCACCGGGTTGGGGGTAAGGTCATAGATCAACAGCATCCCAAGGCGGAAGAATTTTTCTTAGTACAGAACAAAATGGAGTCTCCTATGTCTACTTCTTTCTACACAGACACAGCAACAATCTGATTTCTCTATCTTTTCCCCACATTTCCCCCTTTTCTATTCGACACAACCGCCATCATCATCATGGCCCGTTCTCAATGAGCTGATGGGAACACCTCCCAGACGGGGTGGCGGCTGGGCAGAGGGGCTCCTCACTTCCCAGAAGGGGCGGCTGGGCAGAGGTGGCCCCCACCTCCCGGACGGGGCGGCGGCCGGGCGGAGGCTGACCCCCCACCTCCCTCCCTGACGGGGCAGCTGGCCGGGCGGGGGCTGACTCCCCGCCTCCCTCCCGGACGGGGCGGCTGGCCAGGCAGGGGCTGACTCCCCGCCTCCCTCCCGGACGTGTGAAGGTTTTTAAATAGCCTTAATTGTACAACTATGTAGGAACTTGCCTGTATCCTTATATTCTCATCAACTTGCATATTTTCAAAACTTTTTATTTATGCCAATATGATAAGCAACTCTTTTGCTTGTTTCTTAATTTCATATTTATTTAATTATGGCAGCTAAGAATCCTTTTGCATATTCATATGCCATTTTTCTCTTCTATTTTGGCTAAAGGAGAGCCAAGTTATTTTTTATTTGTTTGTTTGTTTGTTTTGGCAGGGGTCGGCTCTCAAGGAGGTGAAAATGTGGGTTTGATTTAGGTTATGCTGAGTTGCAATACCTCTGAGATACCTGGTGGAAAAGTAGAAGAACCACGGGAATACAGCAGAGAGGCAAGCTGTTTTGATAGGGTGTTTCCATTTGGATGAATCTTAGTTCCACATTGAGGGTCTAAGCTCAACAGACCCCTTCATGGTTTTGATTCATAATGTTTCACTCAGAGAGCTCAACTTGGATCCAGAGATTGGCACAGATTTAAGAAATTGCTGAATGATTTTCCTGCTGGGAGGAAGGGCCATTGGTTTAAACAGAAATACATACTCATTTTAACCATTAATTTCTGGCTCTAACTTTTTTCTTTTAATTTAAAAATAATATCAAACTTTCAGAAAAGTTGCAAAAACAGTACAAAGCATACCATTTTTATCAATCACCTAGTGCTAGTTATCGATTTCCGCATAAAAACCTACTCCAAAACTTGATGGCTTAAAACAAGCACCACTATAAGTATATATCATTATTTTCTGTGACAAGAATTTGGGCAGAGCTCAGTTTAGTGATTTACATTCAATGTGGTGTTCACAGAAGTCATAGAATAGTATCTGGCAAGTGGATGGATGGGTCTGGAGAATCCAAAAAAGCTTCTGGCACCTTGCTGAGGATGGCTGGAAGGCTGGGTCCAACGGGAACCATCAACAGGAACACCTACAGAAGACATCTTCAGTGCGGTGGTGTCAGGGAGTTGGATGTCTTATAGCAGTTCAAGGTTCCCAGACAGTGTTCCAAGAGGCCCAGATTGAAGGCATAAAGCTTCTCATGACAGTCCCGCAAGTTGCAAAGCATCAGTTCCCCCACACTCTGTTAGTCAAACAAATCACTAAAGCCAGCTCAGGCCAGGTGCGGTGGCTCACACCTGTAATCCCAGAACTTTGGGAGGCCCAGGCGGGCAGATCACATGAGGCCAGGAGTTCGAGACCAGCCTGACCAACATAGTGAAACCCCGTCTCTACTAAAAATACAAAAATTAGCCAGGTGTGGTGGCAGGTGCCTGTAGTCCCAGCTACTTGGGAGGCAGAGGCAGAAGAATCGCTTGAACCTGGGTGGCGGAGTTTGCACTGAACCAAGATCGTGCCACTGCACTCCAGCCTGGGCAACAGAGCGAGACACTGTCTCAAAAAAAAAAAAAAAGCCAGCTCAGATTTAAAGATGGGAAATTGGACTCCATCTTTCAATCAGAGGAGTAGCAAAAAACTAGTGACCACCTTTATTATACAACAACTGACCAAGTGTTAACATTTGCCACATTTGCTTTATCATTCTTCATCTGGACTCATTGAGAGTAGGTTGCATACATTATGCTCCTTTGCTTCTAGATACTTCCTTATATACATTCTAAAAATAATTCTTTTTTAATTTTATGTTCTTAATTGATAAATAACAATTGTACTTATTCATGGGGTACATAGTGGTGTTTTGGTACATATAATGTATAGTGATCAGATTGAGGTAATTAGCATTTGCACCATCTGAAATGTTTGTCATTTCTTAAAACAAAGACTTCTCTTACATATCCACAATATAGCAGGAATTTAACACTGATAACCACTGTTATCTAATCTATAGTGCATATTCCAATTTTACCAATCATCCAAATAATATCATTTATAGCAAATTTTTTTCTAGGCCAGGATCAAATCCAGCATCATGTATTGCATTTGATTGTCCAGTCTTTTTAGTATCCTTTAATCTGGAACAATTCCTCCTTCTTTTTCTTCTACAACCTTGATATTCTGAACAGTACAGTCAGGCCAATTGTTTTACAGAATGTCCCTCAATTTGGGCTTGTCGATACATCCACATTATTAGATTTAGATTATATACTTTTGGCCAGAATACCACAGAAGTGGTGTATTCTTGTCAGTGCATCGTACTAGAAAGCACATGATGCAGATGTGCTCCATGATGGTGATACTTTGATTCCTATGTTAAAGTGGTGCCTACCAAGTTTCTAGTTTTCCTTTTCAAATTAATGATTATGTTTGTGGAGAGCTTTGTTGGGACTGCAAATATCTTGATCCTCATCAAACTTTCACCCACATGTTTTAGCATTTCTTGATAATTATGGCCTGTATCTATTACTAGACTGGTAGCAAACTGGTGATTTCCTAATAGTGTTATTTGTTCTGCATTTATTAGTTGGCATTCTATAGTAAGGAAGAGCTGTTCTTTATGTATGTATGTATGCATTTGTACAAACATGAATTCTTACTATATTTAGTTGCTTATAATCTATTACTGCTTTATATTTGGATGCTTAATGCCTTCAGGTGTGTCTTGCGTACTTTTGATATGTTCCCATTATTTCTTACTCTCTGTTATAGCATCATGTTCCAGACTTATCTTACACTTTTCCTGCCCTAGTCCTTGAATCAACCATTTCTTCAAGAATTCCTGGTTCTCTTGAGCAGAAGAAAATGTTTTTCAGAAACCAAGAATTGAGTGTTAGAGCATGCTCATTGCCACTAGAATGTCAGCACTTTGGGCCTTTGTCTGGACAAAGCCAGAAATACTAATCATCTCTAATTCCAAGACCCCTCTGGAAGGTCATGCTTGCCTTGCTGGTTTTGTAGTTATATCTCCTTACTTCCACAGTAAGAACTCTGGTTACCAACAACATTAGCCTATTCGCTTATTTGTTCAGACCTGGAAATCATAGAAAATAGTTTCAGAATTCTTACACTTCTACAGGAAACCAGATCTATTAAGTTGAATATAAGATTTATTTATTTATCTATGCACTTCTTTTTGTTGATAAACTGAAGGTTTATAGTCAAAATACTGTGCTGAAAAATTACTTAAATTCATTTTTTTTTCCTCTTCACTGCGGATATTCTTTTGAGATACAGTTGGGCTCATTTATCTGTTTGTATTCCGTTTTAGTCTTCCCCCAGTTACTTTAGATTAGTTTGAATATGCAAAACGCTAGCACACTTCCAATATCCAAAACTATGCAAAAGATTAAACTCAGTGAAATGTTATTCCTTCTCCCCATCCTTTTCTCTTCCTTCCTGCCCACCTGTCTAAGCAACAGACTTCAGTGGTTTCTAGTTTTCATTCCTGTGTTGCATTTTTAAACAATGAACAGATACGTGTGTATTTTCTTATTTACTCTTTTTCTTACATGAAAGGTAGCATATTCTTTTGTACTTTGCTTTTTTCTCTTGACAGTATATCATGGAACTCCCCCATATAAGTTCATAAAGGTCTTTTTTGTTTGTTTGTTTGTTTAGAGATGATCTCGCTGTCATGTCACCCAGGCTGGAGGGGAGTTGTGTGATCACAGCTCACTGTAGTCTTGAACTCCTGGGCTCAAGCAATCTTCCTGCTTCAGCCTCCTGAGTAGCTGGGACTACAGGCACATGCCACCATCCCTGGCTAATTAAAAAATATTTTTTGTAGAGACAGGGTCTCACCATGTTGCCCAGGCTGGTCTCAAACTCCTGGCCTCAAGTGATCCTCCCACTTCAGCCTCCCAAAGTGCTGGGATTACAGACATAAGCTACCACACTCAGCCATGAATTCAAGATCTTCTGCATTTTTTCTTTACAGCTGCAGAATGCTCTATTGTGTGAATGCATCACAGTTTATTCAACCAATTTCTTTTTTTTTTTTTTTTTTTTTTTGGAGACAGAGTCTCACTCAGTCACCCAGGCTGGAGTGCAGTGGCACGATCTCGGCTCACTGCAAACTCCACCTCCCAGGTTCACGCCATTCTCCTGCCTCAGCCTCCCGAGCAGCTGGGACTACAGGAGCCCGCCACCAGGCCTGGCTAATTTTTTTTGTATTTTTAGTAGAGATGGGGTTTCACCATGTTAGCCAGGATGGTCTTGATCTCCTGACCTCGTGATCCGCCCGTCTCGGCCTCCCAAAGTGCTGGGATTACAGGCATGTCTTAGCATTTTGGTGGTGTCTCATAATGTATAATACAAAATAATGCTGCAATAAATAACCTCGTGCAGATGTATTTTCATATTATTTGAGGTATATCTTCAGGGTAAATTCTAAAAGAAGGATTATCTGGATCAAAGGGTAAATGCTTATGAAATTTTGTTAGATGTCAATTTCTCCTCATGTGGTAGTACTACTCTGCATTCCCACCAGCAGCAATGTATGAAACTAATGGTCCTAACTTTTCAACTCTCATTCTTATTTAAAATAATTTTGAAGCCAGGCACAGTGGCTCACGCCTGTAATCTCAGCACTTTGGGTGGCCGAGGCAGGTGGATCAACTGAGGTCAAGAGTTCAAGGCCAGTCTGGCCAACATGGTGAAACCCCGTCTTTACTAAAAATACAAAAAATTAGCCAAGCATGGTGGCAGGCACCTGTAATTCCAGCTACTTGGGAGGCTGAGGCAGGAGAATCACTTGAACCCGGGAGGCAGAGGTTGCAGAGACCCTGAGATCACACCACTGCACTCCAGCCTGGGCAACAAGAGTGAAACTCCATCTCCAAAACGAAACAAAAAATAAAATAATTTTGACAAGTTTTCTTTTTCTTTTTTATGTTTTGTAGAGACAGAGTCTTGCTCTGTCACCCAGGCTGGAGTACGGTGGTACAATCATAGCTCACTGTAGCCTCAAACTCCTGGGCTCAAGTGAGCCTCCTGCCTCAGCCTCCTACAGCACTGGGATTGCAGGTGTGAGCCACTGTGCCTGGCCAACAAGTTTTCTTTTTTTTTTTCCTTTTTTTCTTTCGAGACAGGATTTCTCCCTGTTGCCCAGGCTGGAGTGCAGTGGTGCACGAGCACAGCTTACTTCAGCCTCAACTTCCCAGGCTTAGGTGATTCTCCCACCCCAGCCTCCTGAGTAGTCGAGACTACATATGCACACCACCACACCTAATTTTTCTTTTATTGTTTTTTAGAATTTTAGTAGAGATGAGGTTTCGCCGTATTACCCAGGCAATCACGTTTTCTTTATAGCCAAATTCTGTTTGTATATAGGCAGGAAAACCTATTCACTTGGGATTCAACAGAACTGAGAAAAGGAGCTAATTCAGGGACTAGGAAACTCATTCATTCATGGAGGACCTTTATGTCAAGTCAAGAAGTCTGTATTTTATTCAATGGGAAGTCAGTCAAGGACTGTGCTGAAAAATTACTTAAGTTCATTCTTTTTTTCCCCTTCACTGCAGATATTCTTTTGAGATACAGTTGGCTTCATTTATCTGTTTGTATTTTGTTTAAGTCTTCCCCCAATTACAAGGCAGTACTATGGCTAGATTATGTATTAGCAAGATTATGATAATGATTAGGAATCATTTTGACTGCAAACAATGGACTACTGTCAATGGCTCAAGTAGAGAAAAGTGTGTAATTATCTATTTTATAACAAGAAGCTACAGTAACGAAAATACTTCTTCAATGGCCTCCTAATTTTGCTCCTGTCCTCGTCCCCCTATTTTCAATATCCCAGTGGAGGGAATAGTCATACTGGTCTCTTTGCTGCTCTTGAACACAATATGCAATTCCCTATTTAGGGCCTTTGCACTAGGTGCCTGGGAATTTCTTCCCTCGGCTACATGCATGGCTCACTCGCTTACCTCCTTGGGACTTTGCTCCAATCTCACCATTTCCATGAAGCCCCAGTACTTGCAATCACCTTCCCTTTTTTCTGTCCTTTTTTTTCCTATATATTCATCACCCTCTAATATATTATATATTTTCTATGTGTGCTGTTTATTGTCTGACTTCCACCTCTCCACCCCTAACCCCCATCTAAAAACCACAAGGTTAAAAGTCATTGCTGTTCTTTGATATATCTTTAATGCCAGAAACAGTGCTTGGCACACAGTAGTGCTTAATAAATGTTTGTTGAATATATGAATGTAGTCATGGGGTCGTGGTTCCCAGTTGGTTTAGTGACTCAACAACATTAGAACACTGGGCTGGCATCTCTATGATTCTCTTAATATTGTCTTCATGATTGAGAGGTGTCTACAGCTTCAAGCATCATTTTCTTACATGGTAATGTCTGAAGCTAGAAGGAAGAAACAAAAATAAGTGGAATTTTCTCCTCTGCTCAAGATGGACCTTCTATCAAGGGAGAAAAATCTTCCCCAGAGAGTCCCAGTAGACTTCCCCTTAAGTTTCATTAACCAGAATTAGTTCTCTTGCCTACTCCTAAATGAATCACTGGTAAAATAAAATGTGGTTGCCAGGAAGGACTGAAACCTATCAGGATTCATCTCCTCAGGCTGAATATATTGCTACTGGACCAAATTTAAAACTATTTTTCTGTTGATGTAAAAGGGATGGGGAAGGTTTTCGGCATGCAATCAATAGTGATTGCCACATCACCATGGGTGTTATTTTGAGAACATGGTGGGGAAAGGAGTGAGGCGAGGGAGAGGAGACTCAACTGCCAAAGTCCAGGGGAGAAATAATAAAAGCCAGAAATCAGATACAAGTTGATTTCATGTTGCCCATGAAATCAACTTTTCACAGGTCACTTTGGCTCTAGGAGAAAGGAAATGAGCCTGTCTATAATGCTGCTCAGAGAATTTTTCCAGATTTACTTCTAATCAATGATTTTGGCCAGTGGCATGCTTTTCTTTAATTGGCAATTACATATTTCTTTTAACTCTACAGGAAGCTCAGATCCTTTTAATAGATGGCATTGTAATTGCAGTTTTCCTCATAAATCACTTTATTTTTGGGGAGAATGAGCAACTATGTCAAGACATAAGATAATTCAATGAAAAAGATAAAATGCTTGACTACCACACAGGTAATAGCTAACGAGTCTCAAGTGGCAGTAGATTGGGCGGTGTGGAGTGGGTAACTTTCAGTCGTGTGGTGGAATATATTCCTGGTTATTAATTCCCCAGGAGCTTGAGGCCAGCCGTCCTCACTGATGGCTTGAACTGGTTTCCTCTCAATAGGGCTCATGCTTTTCATTCTAGTCGTGGGGTGTAACAGCAGCAATCAGGACTTTAGAGTCAGTTAGACCTGTATTTAAATTCCAGCTCTGTTATTTACTGCTGTGTGATGCTGAGCTGTTAAATGAGGGTAAGAAATCCTCTCCCCAAAAGATATTATGCGCCTTGGCTGAAATAATGAATGATGAAAGCCAGGCTAACGGGCACCCTGTAAACATGAGTTCCTTTCTCTCTCTCTGTGGCTTCCATGGCTTTAATTTTGTGCCCTGGCAAAGCCCTATTTGTCTGTCTTCTCAGCCCCAAAGTGGTCTCAGCCTAATACATCATCAACCAGCTATGAGGATTAGACCACCAGAGGAATGAGAGCCAAAAGGAATAATAATTTTTCCAACTCTATACCCAGTATTTCTTTCAAGATCCTAGGAGCACTGACCCACCTGCTTCCCTCTTTGTAAAGAAAAAATAAATAAATGTTTTTGAACAGCCACCCAGTGTCCTGACTCTGTATTGGATTTTTTTAGGTGATTCAAAGAAGTATATGATATGGCCCCTGCTTTCAAGGAGCTTAAAATGCTCTGAAGGAACCTAAATAAGCACAATGCAAAGTAGACAAAACTGGGTTTAAATCCAACCTCTGCCACTTACTAGCTCTGTGGCCTCCTACATCGTTAGGCTGTCATGAGGTTTAAAATTGCACTACATGTAAGGGACCTGGTGCAGAGTAGGCATTTGAAAAAAATCTGAATTCCATCATCCTCAAACCATATATTAGTTAAATAATAAAGCAGAAGATCTATTACAAGATAGCTTATAATTCATTACCAAGTGAAACGCCCTGAAATAAAGGCTCTTGGGGTCCAGTGAAGGCCAGGGCCATTCAGACTGAGGTAGGTGTGGCAAATTCCTGGAAAAAGAAGAAAAGTGACTGGCATTTCAGGATGGGCTCATTTTCTCAGATGAATCATGAGAGCCTTGGCCTTAAGCTCTTGCTCTGCACTATTGGTAAGAAATAAAGACTTGAGTACCCAACTGGTACACTGAAGACTGAGAAAGTAATTCAGGTATCCTCTCCGTGCTTAGACCACTGATACTGTTTGCCCTCAAACTGTGTTTTTACCATCCACCTGCCTCAATGGCCTTCTAGCCTATTATGAATGAAGCATCCCACCTCCTGCAGTATGAGTAACCAGAGTTCACCGGGCAATCAAAAACCAAGTGGAGGACAGAGATATGCCTGGGATAAAGGAGATGTGAATGGACAGAGATGCGTTCACCTCGAGACTCCTGAGAAAGTATTGCTTTTAACAAAAATATACAGGGAAATTTACCTGCAGAAGAGGCTTTTAGTAACAATGATCAGGCTGGGCACAAGGGCTCACACCTGTAATCCCAGCAATTTGGGAGGCCAAGGCAGGTGGATCACCTGAGGTCAGGAGTTCAAGACCAGCCTGGGCAACATGGCAAAATCCCATCTCTACAAAAAATACAAAAATTAGCCAGGTGTGGTGGTGCACACCTGTAATCCCAGCTACTCGGGAGGCTGGGGCAGGAGAATCACTTGAACCTGGGAGGCAGAGGTTTCAGTGAGCCAAGATTGTGACATTGTACTCCAGCCTAGGCAATAGAGTGAGACTCCATCTTAAAAAAAAAAAAAAAAATTAGCTGTGGTAAATTATATTGTTGTTCCCAATTATCAGGTCTCTCTTCTGTAAGAAATATTAAGTGCCTAATGTAAGTTTATTTGGCATCATCCTCTTGTCTCTACCATGAGAACAGCACATCTCAGATGATTCTACTATCAGCCTGGGTCTCAGAATGAGAAAGCTTGGTGCTCAAGGTGAGCCAAGCAGAGCTGAGCCACGACAGACAGAGTTAAGCAGACCAATAGACTGGCAGATCCAGGAGCTAGAAATGTTATTGCAAGCCACTGAGACGTGGAGGTTGTTTGTTGCCACAGCAAAAGCTGACTAATACAACAACACTAATTAAACACTTGCTCTGTGCTGGCATTGTCCTAAGCACTTAACATGTGTCCTCTCATTAATCCTCGCATTAATCATGTAATGTAGTGTTTCAGCCAGGGCTCTCCAGTGTAAATACCAGAAAACTACTCTGGCTGTGTGCAAAAAGACTTCTGTTTCCAGCCACATAGAACAACGAAATCCGGATGTGCTTTCCCATCTGAAAGAACTAAAAAGGCAGAAAAAAACATATGAAACAATGGTTCTCAAGATATTAGACAATAGGCAATATAGGAGACTGATTTCTGAGAGATGAGAAACAAACATAATGAACACTGCAATTGACCCAGCTTACTACCTGGATAGAGTTTCCAGGCCATGGTGCAAAACAGAAGAGGCCAGACAGAGCTTGGCAGTCTCCTTGATTTGGGAATATGGAGCTGAGAGAAGGGAGGCCAAGGGGACTAAGATTTGTGGGGCAGAATTCTAGAAAGGAAAAAGCTATATAGAGAGGAACATTGAGATTTACATAGAGTTCCCCCTTGAGGATTCAGCTGAGTACAGATCAGCACATGCATGAGAGGAAACTATTCAAGACCTGGAAAAAAACAACCAAAAAGAGGGAACAATTAGTAGAGCTCACACAGGACTCAGAATAGTGCCTAGTCTTACCAGGCAGAGTGGACTTTGGGTGGAATACTCAGAAGGAATTTTTTTTTTTTTTTTTTTGAGACAGAGTCTCATTCTGTTGCCCAGGCTGGAGTGCAGTGGCACGATTCTGGCTCGATCACTGCAGCCTCCACCTCCCAGGCTCAGGTAATCCTCCCACCTCAGCCACCCAAGTAACTGGAGCGACAGGCACACCATGCTTGGCTAAGTTTTTAATTTTTTGTGGAGATGGGGGTCTCACTATGTTGCCAGAATTGGTCTGGAACTCCTGGGCTCAAGCGATCCTTCCACCTCGACTTCCCACAGTGCTGAGATTAAAGGTGAGAGCCACTGAGTTCAGTCCCTCAGAGGGATCTTGCTCCATAGTGGGAAAAAACTAGCAGCCATACAAAGAAGCAGGTATATACAATCCTAAATTTGGAGAAAAATCCGTCACTTGAAACTGACCTAAAAATGACACGGATAATAGAATTAGTAGACAAAGACATTTTAAAAAGTATTATGACTCTATTTTATGTGTTCAAGAAGCTAGAGGAAAAACTAACCATGTTAAGTTAAAGGTATAGATGATATAATAAAGTCCCAAGTTGAATTTTTAGAGATACAACTACAAGGTCTGAGATAAAAAATATGCTGAAAGAGATTAATAGCAGATTCGACATTGCGGAAAGGAGTGGTGAACTTGAAGACGTAAAAATAGAAGCTACTGAAAATTAAGCACACAGAGAAAAAGGATGAAAAAATGTTTAGAATAACAGGACAACTTTAGGCAGCCTATGTATGTGTAATGGAGTCTTTGAAGAAAATGAAGGGGGAAGAAAAATATTTGAAAAAATAATCGCTAAAAATTTTCCCAATGTGATAAAAACTGTAAACCAACAGATCCAAAAGCTAAACGAAACCCAAGTACAAGAAACATAAGGAAGACTACAAGGAGACACATCGTAATTCCCTTTACTAAAACCACTGATGAAGAAAAAATGTTAAAAGTAGCCTGGAGGAAGGGAAGACATATTACAAAAAAACAAAGATGAGAATGGCCTTCGATTGTTCGTCAGAAACAATGTAAGCTAAAGGACAACGAAGCAACATCTTTAAAGTGCTGAAAGAAGAAAGAAAATTAATCAGTCCAAAATTCTTTACTAAGGGAAAATATCACTCAAAAATCAAGGCAAAATAAGACCTTTCCATACATGCAAAAGCTGAAAGAATTTATTACAATCAGACCTGCACAATAAGAAATGCTAAAAGGAAATCCTCTAGGCAGAAGGCAAATTATACCAGATGGCAATATGAATCTATACACTGGAATGAAAAGTATTTGAAATGGCAACTATGTGGGTAAACACAACAACTTTAAAATATTTAAATCTCTTTAAAAGATAACAATTTGGGGCAAAAATAACAGTATATTAAGGGGTTTATAACATATGTAGGAGTAAAATGTATGACAACTATACATAAAAGTCAAGGGTAAAAATGGAAATAAAATTTTTGTAAAGTTCTTATACTATACATGAAATGGTATATTACTTGAAGGTAGACAATGACAAGTTAATATGTATCCTGTTAATATAACCTCTAAAGCAACCACCAAAATAACACAGTAACTTATAGCCATGAACCAACAAAGGAAATAAAATGGATTTATAAAAAATAATCGAAAAGAAGGCAGAAAAAAAGAGAGGAAAAAGCAGCAAAGAACAAATGGAGAAAATACAAAACAAATAGCAAGATGTTAGATTTAAACCCAACCATATCAATAATCACATTAAATATAATAGTCTAAATATCGCAATCAAAAGGCAGAGATCACCCAATCAGATAACAAAATCAAATCACAACTATATGCTGTCTATAAGAAAACCTTTTGAAATATAATGACACATATGTGTTAAAAGCAAAAAGATGGGAAAAGATATATCATGTTAATGCTAATTTTTAAGAGTCTAGCATAGTTATATTAATATCAAACAGGGTAGATTTCAAAGTGGTATTAGCAAGCTTAAACAGGGTCATTTCATAAAGGGACATAACAAACCAAAAATGTATGCATGTAAAACAAAGCTTCAAATACCTGAAACAAAAATGGATAGAACTACAAGGAGTAGCAGACAATCCATAAGTACATTCATATATTTCAATATCCTTCTCTCAGTAATGGACAGAACAGGTAGACAGAAAGTCAGTAAGGATATAGAAGACTTGAATAACACAACCAACATGACTTCATTGCCATTTCCAAAGCACTCCTCCCACCAATGGCAGAATACACATTCATTCCAGAGCACCTGAAACATTTATAAAGATCATCTGTATTTTGAGCTGAAAATACATTTAAATAAATTTAAAGCTATTCAAATCATACAAAGAGGGTGCTCGGATCACAATAGAACCAAATTAGCAATCAATTCCAGAATGCTGTCTAAAAATATCCAAATGTTTGCAAAAAAAACACAATTCTAAGTAACTTATGAGTCAAAGAAGATTTTTTTAAAATTACATAGTATTCTGAATTTGAAGAAAATACAAACACAATATAGCAAAATATGTGAGAGGTATCTGAAACAGTACTTAGAAGGAAATGTATAGCCCTAAATGCCTATACTAGACAAGAAAAATGGTCTTAAATAAATGATCTCAGTTTTCACCTGAAGAAGATAGAAAAAGAAGAGCAGATGGATCCCATCATAGGCAGCATAAAGGAAATACTAAAGATCAGAGTGAAAAAAATCAATAAAATAGAAACCAGAAAAATACAGAGAAAATAAATAATACCAAAAGCTGTTTCTTTGAGAAGATCGGTAAGTTGCTAATGAGACTGAACAGACAAAAAAGAGTGAGAATGAGAGCTGGGTGTTTGGGGCAGATCCAGAGAGAGACACAAATTAACAATATCAGAAATGAGAGAGGTGACATCATTATAGATTCTGCAGGTATTTAAAAGATTATAAAGAAATAGTATGGACAACTTAATGTCAATATATCCTACAATTAGATGAAATGGACAGATTTCTTGAAAGGTGTTAAATACTACAATTTCCTAAAAAGGAGATTACCAGAAGAGCTCTGTATCTATTAAAGAAATTGAATTTCCACTTAAAAACCTCTCCACAAAGAAAACTCCAAGCCCATATTACCTCACTGGTAAATTTATTCTATGACACACTTAAGGAGTAAATAACTCCAATTCTATACAAATTGTTTCAGAAAATAGAAGAAAAACCAACGCACCTTAACTAATTCCTTAAGGTCAGTATTAGTTCGATGCCACAGCCAGACAAAGATGTCACAAGAAAAGTCAAATACAGACCAATATCCCTTATGAACATGGATTCAAATTGAATCCAACAATATATTGAAAAGACAAATATATTATGACTAAGTGAGATTTAGCTCAGGAATGCAAAGCTAGTTTCACATTCAAAATTCAATTAATGCAATTTTCTATATGAACAGACTCAAATCGAAAGGAAATTGGGAAACTCACAGCGTGGACTGGGAAGGATGGAAAGCCAGATCTAGAAAAAAAAAAAAAAAAAAAACAGACAAGAACAACAACAACAACAACAAATTCAAGGCAGCAGAACCATGGAGGAAATCTTGCCTCAAACCCAATCTCATGAGGACCACTACTGCCACTCCCAGCACTGATCACTGGATATAGAGGTGACCACCAAAGCTAACATTGCCCATGGGGTCTTCTGCCAACCCTGCCTCCAACAGAATAAATTCTCCATCCTTGCTTTTTTGAATGGCTGGTCCCAGCTTCAAAAACCTAAGAGGGAAGTTTTGATTGGCCAAAATGTCAGGAAGGCTGGAATAGTAAGGAACCAACAAGGGGTCTTTGTTGCTAACAATATAATTCACTTTAACTAGTACATTCAGATAGAGACTTAGTTTAAAAGATTGACTAGCTCACGGAATCATTGTGATTGTCAAGACGTAGGTTCTGAACTGAGTTTTCAGGAATATACCTGTCATTATGCTGCAGAACTGACGCGGTAAGGGAGCTTCTGCCATAGCCAAGAGTAGGAACCTGCTACTCCTACCACTGACCCCAAACAAGAGTTGCTTCTTCCTCACACCAGCCAGAATGGATGCTCTAGGCCTAGAGAGTTTCTTCAAGTAGTTCGCTTCTGAGTCAGATCAGTGTGTCCGTTTGCAGAATCCAGATGACATCTGCATCGGTTACTGGAAAGGAGTCCTGATCCAGACTCCAAAAGAGGGTTCTTGGATCTTGGGCAAGAAAGAATTTGGGGCAAGTCCATAAAGTATAGTGAAATCAAGTTTATTAGAGAAGTAAAGAAACAAAAGAATGACTACTTCATAGGCAGAGCAGCCCTGAGGGCTGCTGGTTGACTATTTTTATGGCTATTTCTTGATCATATGCTAAACAAGGAGTGGATTATTCATGAGTTTTTTGGGAAAGGGGTGGGGATTTCCTGGAACTGTGGGTTCCTCTCCTTCTTAGACCATATAGGGTAACTTCTGGACATTGTCATGGCATTTGTAAACTGTCGTAGCACTTATGGGAGTGACTTTTAGCATGCTAATGCATTATAATCAGTGTATAATGAGCAGCGAGGATGACCAGAGGTCACTTTCATCACCATCTTAGATTTGGTGGGTTTTGGCCAGCTTCTTTACTGCATCCTGTTTTATCAACTGGGTCTTTGTGACATGTATCTTGTGTCAACCTCCTATCTCATCCTGTGTCTAAACATGCCTAACCTCCTGGAAATGCAGCCCCACAGATCTCATTCTCATTTTACCCAGCCCCTATCTAAGATGGAGTTGCTCTGGTTCAAATGCCCCTGACACATCCAGTGGCAAGGGAGGCTAGGAAATGAAAGAGTTTTGTTTATCTGAATTTACCAAAAACAAATTGTGAAGAGGGTTTTCAAAAGATTTTGAGCATCATGTCATGACTGAATGCTGGGCTTTTTGGCCATTACTGCGAAGTGACTCTGCTTCCTACCTAGAGTAATACGGTGGGGAATTCCCCAGCTTAGGCAGGGGAATTCAGCTGCTCAAGGTCCAAAAGTAACAAATGCCAATAGAGGAAAGTACTCTTATTAGTTCCATTTTACAAATTGGAAACTGAAATTTCCTAGACATTTAGTAACTTGTGTAAGACCACAGCCCAAAGAACAAACATTTGCCAAGCCCTCATATACATAACCTCCTTTCATCTTTACAATTTTATGTGGTAAATGTTATTGCCCCCATTTCATATAAGAGAAAAATGAGGATTATAGAAATCAATTAAAAGCTAAAGATTCTGTGGTACGTGCAACCCTGCCATGATCTGCCATGCCCATCTTGAAGCTTCCTCCCAGGGTACCAAGTCATTTTATAGCAGAACTCTCCAGGCCTCCGTGCGTGTGTGTGTATGTCCTTAATATCTTGTCCTACACAAAATTCGATGACCACTGGATATATTTGGATATCTGTCACTGAGCCTCACCTGTCTTCTTTCCTACTGCAGACTAACTCAGGTCTTTTCCAGAGTCCTCCTGGGAGGCTGAGACTTCTGGGCCCCACTAGGTCTAATTATCTAAGAAGTAAAGGGGAATGGGGCAGGGAATGGAATGGCCTGGAATCTGAAGCCCTGTCAGTATGCAAATCACTTACTTGCATGCAAATCATTCCAAGGAAATGGAGCTGGGTATCCCTTGGTCAAACATTTTTGTCTCCTGTGAATGATGCAAATTACTTTTGGTACCTACAGCCCTCCCTGTTTTGTGGCTAGATTGAAAAATTTTTAGCCCTGCATTTGAATAGGCTGACCCATGCTAGACAGTGATGAAGAGGACAAGACACAATGATTCCACTCCTATGAAAAGACCCAAGAAAACATTAGCACAGATCCACCAGGGAACCTGTTCAGAAATGTTCATAGCAGCACTGTTTATAGTAGCTCCAAAATAAAACCAATCTGAACACCTATGGAAGGAGAATGGAAAAATTAATTGTGTATGTTCACCCAATGAACTATTATAGAGCCATGAAAATGAATGAGATACTGTTACATGCATCAACATGGATGAATCTTGTTAAGTCCAATGGCAATTCCTAGAAAATGATATATAGTATAGTACCTTTTAATAAAGTTCAAAAAGCAAGTAAAGCTAAATAAATTCATGTTACATGTATTTTTAAATCCAAGGAAATGATAAACCATAAAAATCAGGATAGTGGCCAGGCGCAGTGGCTCACGCCTGTAATCCCAGCACTTTGGGAGGCTGAGATGGGTGGATCACGAGGTCAGGAGTTCAAGACCAGCCTGGCCAAAATGGTGAAACTCCATCTCTACTAAAAACACAAAAAATTAGCCAGGCATGGTGGCAGGAGCCTGTAATTCCAGCTACTCGGGAGACTGAGGCAGAGAATTGCTTGAACCTGGGAGGTGGAGGTTGCAGTGAGCTGAGATGGTGCCACTGCACTCCAGCCTGGGTGACAGAGCAAGACTCCATCTAAAAAAAAAATCAGGATAGTGTTTTTGTGTGAAGGAGAGGCAAAAAGATGGGCTAGGAAAGGAGCACCCGGGAAGATGTAGGTGTTGGAAATGTTCTAGGTCTTGGGTTCAATAGTGGGTTCATGTGTGTTCATCATGTTATGAATAAATACATGAATTAATAAGTCCCATACTTGGGCTAATGTTGACAATGTGTCATGATCAAGGATTATGATTAATTCAATTCTGATCATTCAATACCTAAATGGAAGACAGAAATAGAGAGGGAGAGAGAGAAGCCAATGGAGCTGGCCTTTCTTCCTTTTTTCCTCCCTCCCTTCCTCCCTGCCTGCCTGTCTTTCTTTTCTTTTCCTTTACCTTTAATTATTCCACAAACATCTACTGTTTGTCGACTGTATACCATGCCCCAGGCTGAGAACTAGGAACACTGGGATGAATCAGACACAGTCCTGCCCTACAGAGTCACCATGTGATGCAAGAGTCTGACAATTCCCCAAATGTTTTCAAGGTGCTATGACAGATGTAAAGCAACAAGGTGTGGTAGGGCTTACAGAAGGGGCCCTTAATCCAGCCTGGGCTATTTGGGAAGACTGTGGAGCTTTCTGCTTTGAGAAATTAGCAAGAAGAAAATGTGGTTGGGGGTGTAACAGCTATAAAAATGAAAAAGACAGCCTTGCCCTTGAAGTGCTCATATCTTGGGGTGAGGGACAAGAAAGGAGGTCACAACAGTGGGACTTGGGGTTGTGAGAGAGGCAAGCACAGGCTTGAGATGCACATAGGAGGGCACCGTGCTGTGCCTGCAGTGTTGGGAAGGCTTCCTGGAGGAGATGACATGTATACAAGCAGAGAGACGAAGTATGAATTAGAGTTACCTGGAAAGTCTGTACCAGGAAGAAAGGTAAGCACCTACAATGGCCTGTGGCAGGGAGAAAGAGCATGGAGGAGCTCAGGGGGCCCCAGTGTGGCCTGGCCCAGAGCGCAAATGAGAGGAGGTGAAACTAGATGAGTAGGCAGGGAGCCAGATTCCATGAAAAAGCATGAAAATTATGCTGTGGACCATGGGGTACCTCTGAAGGGAGTGGCAAGGGTGATTTTTCCTTCATGAAGAGAGCCCAGCAGTAGAGGTGAGGGGGCCGCTATAACTGCTAGGGAAAGAGATGGTGATGCTTGGGCTGTAAAGAGGAACAGAATTTGAGAGCTGAGCACCTGATGGACAATGCTGCATGGCAGGCTGGGCTCAAACAGGGTTGCTCCTGAGGGGTGGGCAGAGGACATTCAAACCTCACACAACACAGTTCTGTCTTGCCACAGACCTCCTTGGAGCAAGCTGCAAGCTCCAAAATTTCTCAGAACTGAAAGTTTTTCCTCCAACTTCTGTAAAACCATGGTTAATACTTTTACAAGACAGAGAAGGAGTCCGAGATTTCAATAGCTAAAAACTGGGAAGTAGACCGAATACCATTCCTTGTGGGAGCAAAGGCAGGAGGAGTGAGGTTCAGAGCTTTGCTTTATCCAAGGGGTTCTGGACCCCTGACTGCAGCAGCTCCCTACTGGACCTTCTGCCCCAGGCATTACTTTGCCTTAGTCCAAGAATCCCACGAATGCTACAGATCTTGGTCTACTCCTGAGAAGTAGAAGGAAAAAGATTTATTGTGCACCGACTACACGACAAGCTACAACCCACAACTGTACTCTAGGGACATTCTTCTGTTCCTGTTTAGAAATGAGAAAGCTAGGACCCAAAGGCTTGGAATTGAGATTTAAGCCCAGAGCTGTCTGACTATGCCCATGCAATACTGTACATTCTTTAGAGCAATACTGTGGCTAGTTTTTCACGGTTGCATTTTTAGACTCACTCTTGGACAGTTAAGAACATCTTGCATTAGTTACCTACTGCTGAATAACAAATTACTCCAACATTTAGCTGATTAAAACAACAAACATTTATTATCTTACAGTTTCCATGCATCAGAAATCTAAGCACAGGTAGTTGGTTTCGGTGATTCACGATCTCTCATGAGGTTGCAGTCAAGGCATCACACAGGGCTGTATTGTCCTATGAAGGGCTCAGCTCGGCGGGGCAGAGATCTGCTCCCAAGTTCACTCATGTGGTTATCGGTAGGTCTCAGTCACTCACCATATGGGCCTCTCTCCACAGTGCCACTGCAGGATATAGCAGCTGGCTTCTCCAGAGAGGTGATCCCAAAAGAGAGCAAGAGTGTATGCTCAAAACAGAAGCCACAGTCTTCTTATAACCTAATATTGGAAGGAACATCCCATTACCTCTGCTGTATTCTGTTAGTGAGAAGCAAGTCAGTAAGTCTAGCCCACACTTTAAGGGAAAGGGTTTACACAAGGGAGTATATACCAGGAGTCAGGGATCACTGGGGGCCATTTAGAAGCTGCTGATCTCAATCTAAAGAATTTTAGTAGCCAGGCTATCCTGGCTTCTCCCCAAATGGCAAGTTGTTTCCCTTGTTATCCAGAGGCTGGAGGATTTGGGGGTCTACAGGGACACAAGGGGGCCCTGTTTTGGCCCACTCCTTTGTGCCTGGGGCATAATCTCATTGGGAAAGGCCAGTGTGGTGAACCTAACTGGAGCCCCCAAGGGAGGGGGGGAGTTGTTTTCTCAAATTGTGGCCACTGCTCCCTCCCTCCCTTATCCTTGAAGCTACTGTGATGCTTCCCAGCACCGAGTGGAAGCAACGGGCATCCTCCACACACACACCCAGCCTGTCAGCCAGATGGGTAGAGAAACCATCAGCATGAACGTCTGCTTTAAACTTTCCTTTGCTTCTGAGCTTCTTTCCACAAATTTTCTTTTCTTGCTCCCCAACCACATCCATAACCCCCACAGTAGCTCACAGTAGAGGTGCTCCAGGAGCTTGTCAATAGGAGGTAGGAAGGAAAGACACCAAGTGTGAATGTAGGTCAGCACTGCCACTTAGGGCAGTTCAAATCACATTCACTGTCCTCAGCATCTATCCTATGCTGGTGCAGGGCATCCAGAGATGTGTGAGGTACCTATACTTGCCCTCCAGGGGGGGCTCACAGTTTTAGGAGGGGCAGACATGCAAACAGACAGTGATGAAACGTTAGAATAAGTACAATAAATACGTGTCAATACACACTTTTGTCACCTCATCATGGTTATCTTGGTTCATAAAGCATCATCTTATGCTTAGACTATTACAGTAGCTGCCAACCTGGTTTCCTCCATCCATCCATCCAGTTGGCTGCTAAGAGGTCTTTCTGGAATGCAAATCCGACAAGGTCACTACCCTGGTTAAAGGCCTCCCAAAGTGATGGGGAAGGTCAAGCTCTTGATACAGTCTCCACCCAAGACCCTAGACACCGTCCATCCCTCCAGTTCCGTCATACCCCCTCTGCTCATAGCACAGGCTCTGTGCTGTGATAGGTAGCTCTCCAGGTGACCATGTTGTACCCCTGCCTCCAGGAGCTAATTCATGTAGACACATTTACTAGGAAACATTCCCAGTTGCCCTTTCCAGTCTGACAAATTCGCCCCAGAACCTCTCTCAAAACGTTTCCTTCATAGAGTTGGATTGTCTTTACTTGTTTTCCATGTCCTTGATGAAATGCGCACTCTGCATCTAGACTCTGTCTGCATCTAGACTCTGTCTGCATCTAGACTCTGCCTGGTACCTGGCACAGAGAGGGATTGGGTTAGCAAATGACTGCGTAATGGACCTAAAGTCAATTCTGGGAGCACAGACGAGGGCCACCAAACCAAGAACTTTCAATTTCCCCAAGGAAGCGCAGATACCAGAAGCACCCTCGAGGCTTCTGTTTTGGCCACGCCCTTTACCCCATCGCTCAGTTCAGGCTCCCAATGAGGCGGCCCACCATCAGCGCTGGTAGAGCAAAGAGACCGACTTCCTGCGCCTCGGGTGGGCGGGGAACGCTCCTTGAGCAGGTGCGGTATGAAATTGGACTTTAAGAGATGAGTTGGAGCCTGATCTCAAAAATAAAGTGTGGACGTGTGTGTCTGAGGAAGGGGGATAATAAACCACCCTTTTTTCCTCCTGGCTGCTATTTCCCACGTGCGTTGAGTAAAGGCACCAAAGCTGCCTAGTGACTGGGTGTCTCCTCCCCGTCAGGGGCACCCACCCTGGCGCTCCAGGAGCGCTTGAATGAATCCGGGAGGACCCGCGCGCAGGAATGAATGCGAGAGCTAGGGAGTGAGCGGGCGAGTGGGCGGGTGAGTGAATGGCGACCGCGCCGCCGCCTTGGCACAGGGGCGCGGGCGCGGGCTCCACTTCCCTCTCCCGCCAGCTGGTGGCCTCGAGAAGGTGGCGGCGCCGGCAGCGGCCCGAGCTGGGACGGCCGGGGCGCGGGATGGTGGGGGAAGGGGCGTTCCCGGCGACCGCGCCTTCCGCGGCTATTGGATTAGTGGCCTTCAGGGATGAGCTCAGCCAGATCGGCTTTCAGCTGCAGCCTCCGGGCCGGCCGGGAAGGCGGGGAGCGGGCGGCGGCGGCGGAGGAGGGGGAGGCGGCGGCGGCTGCAGCATCCAGAGCTGGCCGTGGCGGCCGGCGCGCCCCGCGCACAAAAGCACCCAGCCCCAGGGGAGGGCGATGAACACACCACATCCCGGGCCCGGGCCCCAGCTGCTGCTACCGCTGCGTGCGCTCAGGGCGCTGGGGAAGACGCCCGGCGCGCCGGGGGCCAGCGGCCGAGGCGCGGCCCGTGCGCCCTGAGCGCGGGACTCGTCGCCCTCCGGGTCAGGCGCCAAGCTTCCAAGCGGCTAGAGCGCGGGCCTTGGAGCGCCCCCAGGATCGCTTCAGTAAGGCGCTTCCCCACTCCAGGCCCGACCCCCGGCGCCTGAGCGCCAACTTCGCCAAGAACGCTCCTAACTCCAGGCCATCCTGCAGCGCAGAGGGGGCGCTGCTGCCGGGCATCAGCCGTGAGGACGCGCCCCTGGCCGTGCGGAGAGAGCCGGCATTTGCGGGTCACTCGGGCGCCCCTGAGTGGGCGGCGGCGGCAGCAGACCCCTCTCCAGGGAGTCCAGGACCTGCCAGCGCTGGGGATTCTTCCCGAACAGGCGCTTGCCCTCTCTTTTATGGTAAGTACTCTCCAGCTCCTGGTGAGGGGCGCGCGGGGGCCGGGAGCCGAGATCCGGCTGCACGGACTTTGTGCGGGCCAGCACTCGACACAGCTGGCGCTCCTGACGTCCCAGTCCCTGAGAATTCCTCTCTGCAGGTTGTGGCAGTTCGAGATGGTTGATTTGCGCGCAGCCCTGGGGCGTTTGGGGCCCGGCCTTTGGTATCATGGGTTCTAAGCCCTTTGCTTCTCTGCGTAGCGGACAACGCACAAAAAACTGCCATCCGATTCACCCGCTTTGGTTTGGATCCAGGATCCGTCACTCACTGGCTGAGTGACCTTGGACAGGGCGCCAAACCTGTTTCCTCATCCGTAGGATGGGAATGATAATTGTGCACATTTTATAGGGGTATTGGAAAGATCTATGGGATGGTGTTCGTAGGTAGACATGTGCTGGGCACACAGGAAACACTCAATCATATGTTAGCTAGTATTATTATTAGCTTTGCGAGCCCAAGCTTGTTATCCAACTTTCCGAAGCTGCAGCAGTTCCGTCGTCCGTGTAATGGGGACAATAATTCCTGGGGGTCTGTTCGTCCGGGGTATTCGGAGAGGTGGAAGTAAAGCACGGGTCACGCAATAGGCACCGGTGGCTGTTGTTACCGTTTATTCCTGACTCTGGGGCAGTGAGGCTGGTCGCCTGGCCCGAGAGCGACTCAGGGACCAGTCCTGGCCTTGCTTGAATACAAACTTGTCTATGCTCGGGAAGGGAGGGGGTTGGGAGCTCAGGAAACCCTAGGCGCAGGGCTCTGGGAAGGAGGGAGGGGGTCAGAGACTTGAGCGCGGCAAATGTGTCCGCCCTGGTCGCTCTGTACGCGCCAGGGGCTCCAAGCCAGAAGGGGACGCCGAGCCCCCGACCTCTGACTGGCGGGAGAACCGGGGGAGTGGCTGCTCCCGCCGGCCCATGGCCAAGCGCAGACGGCTGCCGGCAGGAAGGAGAGGAGGGCACTTTTCTGTACCGCTGTCGCGAGAAGGTGGAGAGTTCTCAGTTCTGGAGTCAGGCTTGGGTTCGAATCTGTCTCCACCACCAGCTCGCGGTGTGACCTTGGGCAAGTTCTCTAACCTCCCCCCGCTTGGTTTCCTCTTCTGCGCCCCACTCTCCTCCTTGGGGGGTTGGGGGATGAAGATAGGAGTTCCTTTCTCTCAGACTCTGAGCCCTCTATCCTCCCACCCCCTTTCTGGCCCCCTGCCCCCCACCCGCGCAATTTGATGAGCTTAAGTCTGGAAGACGTAAAATGTGTAAAAGCATGATATAAACATCCTTTACCCAAGGGCATATTCCTCTGAGACACATACCCTCTAATTTATTCCATTTTTAAAAATGGTAATGAAAAGAATTTAAGCCACCTTTGGCAAATCACAAACAAAATTCAACTTACTGGACCTTCTACCCAAATATCTCTCCAGTTTGTATTTCTCGTTTATTTTAAAGATATATTTAATGATATAAAAATAAAATCTGCAAGGAAAAGAAATCACCAGAAACAGTCAAAAGATATATGACAAACTGTCACATATGACATATACCACTCCTATCACAACAGGCTCATCTCTTTAAATATGTAAGAGATTCCTGAGGTCAACAAACAAAAGATCAAATGGGCAAAGACACGATTCATACATGCGAAATAAAATAGAAATGATACCAAAACATATGACAAGATACCTTACCTCAATACGAAAAATGCAAGTTAAAATTACAAGATTTTTTTTTAATGTATCAAATTAGCAAGTAGTCATAACCATTTATCAGAAGCATCTTTTAAAAATGTAGATCACATTTCTCCCTAGCTCAGGACCTCCTTAAGGCTGCCACAGAGTAAAATCTAGATGATCCCAGGGGTCCTCAGGTCTGGTACTGCCCTTCTCCACCTCTTCCTCACCATTTTCCTCTCCCCCACTACCCACCCTCCTAGCCTTCTTCCTTTTACTCCAACACTCCAAAGGCTCATTCACTTGCTGTTCCCCTGCCTAGAATACTTTTCCTCCTAGTTTTTCATACAACTGAAACTTCCTCATCATTTACGTAGAACTGTCCTTGGAAGGGCTTCATTTCTATCCCAGAAAGTGGCCAAGCCACAGTGGCCAGTGCAGAATTCCTTGCCCTTTTGGGGAAAGACCTAGTACAACTCACCATACAGGAGTTACTTAATTTCCCCTGAGCTGCCCGACCTGTTGTCACACATCCATGCTCTAGAAAGGTTTTTTCTCTGTTGATACAGGAGTGAAGGGTCTTGGGCATGAAAATCAGGGGAGTGGCAGGCCGTAGATGGAGGTCACCAGAAGTCTCTGCCTATATATGTACTATATAAGTACATAGTATGTACTCTTGATTTATGTGAACATGACCATCTGTGGTAAGAAAAGATCAACTATAAAAAATTTTTAAACCAGCAACACGTTTTTAATAAAACATGGTTCCTACATAAGCCAACTAATTTATTTGCTGCTGATCAGTTCAAGAAATAGGGATTTGTTTTGAGGCTATAGGAAAAACAGTTGTGGGTGGTGTGCCCTTTGGGAAAGAGGTGGTATACCTCAAACCAGTTATCATGAACTTTGTGTGGAACTTTAGAAGAACTTTCCTAAGCAGTGTTGATTGCATGTGATTTTTGCTTCACACATTGAGTTCAGAACTTACTCCATTTAAAATGTATACGTGTGGTGGTTCATGCCCGTAATCCCAGCACTTTGGGAGGCCGAGGCGGGGGGATCGCAAGGTCAGGAGATCGAGACTATCCTGGCTAACACAGTGAAACCCCGTCTCTACTAAAAATACAAAAAATTAGCCCGGCGTGGCGGCTTGCGCCTGTAGTCCCAGCTGCTGGGGAGGCTGAGGCAGGAGAATGGCATGAACCTGGGACGCAGAGCTTGCAGTGAGCCGAGATGGCACCACTGCACTCCAGCCTGGGCAACAGAGCGAGACTCCGTCTCAAAAAAAAAAAAAAAATGCAAACCATGCAGGAGGTATAGAGTGGCTAGTCCTTCTTCAGTCTGACAAGCACGTCTTAATGCAGCCAGAGGTAACAGGTACAAGGCTGTGTACGAGTATTGGAGATAAAGGCTGGTTGGGCACTGGCTCCATTAAGAAATGCAGATGTGGTGCAAGAGATAGCAGCAGGAATCAACAGCTAAGATGAAGACAAAGTGGGTTGGAGGGCAGAGGGTGCAGTGGGACGTAGGCAAGAGGACATAATGGGGCGGAGGGAAGAGGATGTAGTGGGCTGAGGGGCTGCCACGGAGGGGTGCCCAGTTCTGCTTCTGCTAGAAGGGGCAGGGGAGTGAGAGAATGTCAGCCAGGTCAGAGAAGATGGGAAGAGTCCCAGGATGTGCTGACGAGGAGAGTCTGGCATGACTGGTCTGAGGTGGGCCGTGATGACAGACAGTGTGGAAGAAATAAGAGCAGCCTGGAGGGCCCCTGGGTGCCAAGCAAAGAGGTGCAGCTTCTCTCTGGAGAAGCTGCCTGGAGGGTTGAATGAAGAGATTGGTGGGTGTCTTGGTCCAACTTACCTGTTGGCAGCATGGAGAGTGGGTTGGCGGGCAAACAGTGGAGTCAGGGAAGCCTGCTAAGAGACCAGTGGAGTAATCCAGGCAAGTTCTGAACTAGGGGAAAGCTGACGGGGTTGAGTGGTGGGGACCAAGAGACGGGATCCATGGCAGGAACAGTGACATGCAGAGGAACCTGGCATGTGAGAGAGGGAAGAGGCCAGGCTCAGCCTAGGACCTGCAGATTCCGAGGTGCACATGGACCACAGATGTCCCGCAGGGCTGAGAGTGTGGGTGTGCCCATGGTAGGAGGCTTATGATGGAAAGAGGTCAGCTGGCCTTACAAGGTCATTTGAAACAACACCCAGGCAGGGCTGACCAGGGGCTTCTAGTAGGTAGGTCTTGTGCTGAGGAGAGAAGGCAGCACTGGAGACCCGGCTTGAGAGTGTCTGCACGGGGCTGGAGATGCAGGTCATAAGAGAAGATGCATGGAGAGAGAGAGTGAAAAGCGGAAACTGAAGTTGAAGCAATGGACTTGGGGGTGCCCCATTGATGGGGTAGGCAGGAAGACATTGGAGCCAGGAGGAGGCAGGAAAGCTGCTGTGGTAAGCTCTACACTTCAATGTGCTGGTATGTGTGGTGGGAGACGCTGGAGCAGTGCCAAAGTCATCCATCTGACCTTTAATGTTGTGAAATGTCATGTATGGTGAACTGGAGCTCTGCTTTCTCCAGAAGTGAGTGGGCCTTGGCCCGGTTTACTGGCCACAGAGACATTCTACCTGTTATCTACCTTCAGGAGACATCTACCTGTTATCTGCATTCTATGAAATGTGCAAGTTGTACAGATTCCTGGGGCTGGAGCAGCTCCCTCCCCGATCCTGCTCCCTTTCTCCTCTCTTCCTCTCATCCTCTCTCCTTTCCTCCTTAGTATCTCAAAAATGCCCCCAGAGATACTGTAGGCTTAACAGAGGGATCTTCAGAAATCCCAGCAGGTCCCTATTATGACCTGGCTCAAGCCAGAGGCATGAATAGTTCTGCTTTTCTTTTAGGCATTCTGTTTCCAGACAACCAGTTATACCAAGTGGAGAAGGTTCATCTTGGGAGGTAAATGAGGGATTGGACGCAAACCTTATCATGTTTTCATCATCGTTTTCCCCAGAGGGCTTCATTAAATGGTACCCTTCCCATCTTCTCCCTTCATGCTTTGACCCAGCCCAGACATGCTGGGCCTCAGGGAATCCAGCTGCCCTGCAAACAACCTCCACATGTGCCTGGGGCAGGCCTCTGGGCTCAGGGGCAGCTGTGGTGACCGGGCTGGCCCGGACTGCACGTGGCCTTGCTGTCTCAGTGGTATGTCTCTTTCAAATGACCTTGCAGAGCTTGCTGCCCTGGTCACAGCCTAGCAAACCTCCTTCATCCCATTTGCTGCTCTCCTTGCTGGCTGACAGCCCAGCTTGCACCTTGGGGGCCCCTGGCTCAGTCACGCGTGGGAGGATTCCCATGGAAACCCCAGGAGGAGGAGAGGCTCAGGGAAGCCTCATTGATTCTCGCTCCAGGAAAACAGGCGTGAGATGATTCCACCTGGAACTGGACAGATGGCTCTCTTTGTGAGCTCTTGGGGAAGAAAGGGCTTGCCCAGCCAGTTGTAGCCTGAGCTCCATGTGTGTATAGCAGGGAAAAGCTAATGAATGCCTATGAACAAAACCTTGGGGGTTCTTTAGTTCATTCATTGTTGGTGGGTTCATTCTGAATGAGCATCTTTAATAAAACAGCCTCCCTACTTAATATTTGCACAAGAAAAATCTTAAAAACATTCCAGTTAAACTAAGGTCAGGCACCTATCATTGGTACCTTTGCACAGAGTCAAAAATTGAAAAATAAAGACATGAAATAAATAGTCTGAGCTCACAGTGCTCTGCATTCCCAGTTCATTCTTAAGTGTTGGTTCTTTCTAAGGCAGTGTATTGCTTTTCTTCATTTGTTCGTGCTCGTGCATTCCATAGACGTTCACCCACCACTTTCTCTAAGCCAGGTCCATGGGGACTCTGATGAGGGACACCCGGCCCCTGCTCCCAAGTTGCCCCAGTCCGATGGGAGGGAGGCAGCCAAAGAGACATCATGTCCCCTTGTGATAAGAGCTGTGGTGGGCACAAGTACAAGGGCTCTGAGAGCACAGGGGGCTGGGGAGCTCCCCAGAGGCACTAATATCTAATATCCTGAAAGCCTCAGAGAACCTGTCGAGGATTTTGAGCAGGAGCGTGATTAGATCAACTGTGTACTTTTACAAGTGCAGTAGTATATATTTGAAAGTAATATGCAGTCTATAAAGGAATTCCAGTGGTATCTAACTGGATTTCTTTTTACAGTCTTTGTCATTATTCAGATCTCTCGTGGAGTCTGACCCCTTTGGTGTAGGCTGTCTCCCTAAGGGAAAGTGGTTGAGTCTTATGCTTTTCAGCAGCCTGAGATCCCCAGGGCAGGCATCATTACTGCTGGCTAGATGAAAGAAGGAGACTTGCCCCCACCTCTGGCTCCAGCAAGTCCAAAGCCAGAGGCCACACAGAGAGAAGGGCATTTCACGCAGTCACTACCAATCCCCACAGCAGTCATGTCTTCTTGCAGACCCCGTGCCTATTGAGCTCAGCTAGACAGGCCTCTGTGGCTGTGATTTTGGGTCCCAGGCCTCTGAAGACTGTGCATCATATTTTTCAAACTAATGAGGTTCCTTAAACAGTGTGGCATTGCCACTTCATGTCTCCTCATTTCCCTGTCGGGTAGGAACATCTGCTAGGGTCCTGGGAAAGGCAATTAGCAAATTAGAGTTTTTGTTTTCTTGCTCAGCCATGATTGAAGCCCCAGAGCAGATCCTTCTGGATAATGTCATTAAGCATCCCCATCCAAGCATGACGTAGGAAATTAAGTTTGGTTTTGGGGAAAAGTGACGGAGGCATCCTTTGGCGTTCTTCAGGATGCTGGCTGCTTACTGGGTTGAGAGATGATGGTATTCCTGTCAGGAAGATGGATCCTGTTGTATGTCCCATGTGCCTGGCCCAGTGCTGCATGCTGTAGTGGAGATGAGGAGAGGAGAAATGTGCTAAGTGCCCACTCCCTCTGGCTGGAGAGAGAAGGCAGGGATGAGCCCGACTTGGCCACTGCTGTGTCCCTTGCTCTCAGCTGCACAGTGCCTGGCACTGTGTTCACTAAGCATTTTTTGAACGAATAAATGAGGGTTGGAAGCAGGGAAGGATGCAAAGCAGTAGCTAATAAAGGAGTAGACTGGATACAGCCAAGAGTCAGCTGCTCAGGAGTGAGAGTCCAACTATGATAGTGGCATTACTGGGCTTCATGTCCCCATATCCTGACTTTAGCCCTGGCCCTTTCTCTGCTTCATCCTCTGAAAAACAGCAGAGCATGAGCCCTCCCTGAAGCCCAGCACAACCTCTCCACAGTCCATATGTGTGTTCTGCCCCATGTTCAAAGTACCAGGCTTGTGTCTTGCATGGAGGGAGTAGTGCAGTGGCTGGGGGCACAGAAGTGCTGGTGAAAGTTTCCTGCCATCAGAGGAATGCCCTCAAGGTAGAAAAAAGCAGATCAGTAAGGCCTGAAAGATGTCCCCCTGGCTGGCTCAAGGGTGGACAGAGGTACAGGGCAGGCCCCAGGAGGCCTACTGGATCAGGGCAGGCTTCCTAGAGGAGGTGGAGCTCACCCTCATGGACTAATTATCTCTCAAAGGCTCCACCTCCAAATACTATCACACTGGGGCTTTGTGTTAGGCCATTTTTGCATTGCTATAAAGAAATACCTAAGACTGAGTAATTTATAATGAAAAGAAGTTTAGTTGGCTCACGGTTCTGCAGGCTTTACAGGAAGCACGGTGCTGGCATCTGCTTGGCTTCTAGAGAGGCCTCAGGAAGCTTACAGTCATGGCAGAAGGTGAAGGAGGAGAAGGCATGTCACATGGTGAAAACAAGAGCAAGAGGCGGGGGTGGGGAGGTGTCACACACTTTTAAATGAGCAGATATCTCTCCAGAACTCAGTCACTATCCCTAAGACAGCACCAAGCCATGACAGACTCACCCCCATGACCCAGACAGCTCCCACCAGGCCTCACCTCCAGCACTGAGGATTACAACTCAACATGAGATTTGAGCAGGGACAAATATCCAACCTATATTAGGCTTCAACATGTGAATTTGGGGAGGACACAATCAGTTCATAGCCAGGCACATTCAAGTGGTGAAATGGCAATGTTGGAACACATCCACAATTTAAAAGAGCACTCACCACTTACTGGAAGCCCTGTGATGTGCCAGACTTTACAGGTGTCTGCTCTGATACTTGCAAAAGCAGGTGAGGTTAGCACATAGTTAGCAGCACTTCCAACCAGTCTCAGAGAGATTAAGTTCTGGCCTAGGGTCCAACAGACAGGTGGGGATTCACATCTAGGTCTCCTGTCCTTCATTAGATTGCCCAGCTGCTAGTTTCCCTTAACGGCTTATCATTCATGGACATGAGCACTCTGCTGTGCGCCCTGTACTGGGGGAGCAGCAAAGGGGCTGTCTATTTACTTGCCCACCTTGTCACACCACAGTGTGAGCACTCTTCAGGATCTCTGCCTGCCTCTAGTAGGGACAGAGACTTTGAGACTATGATTGCAAAGGAGAGCACTGGGCCCTCAATGACCCAGTATGGGCCAAGCCAAGTACTAGTAAGAGGTCTTCCCTGGGGCTGCTGTTTGGCTGTTGCTTTCAAACATGTTTAAGTGTCTTTTCAGCAACAGCAACTCCACAGTTGGCATGGTTGTGTGCAAGGATAAAGCAGTTTCCCTTAGAAATTTTCTGTGTGGGCCACACAGAGCTGGTTACAGTCATTGCTGTGGAGAGGGCATTATTCTAAACAACATGGAGGAAGAAGTAAGAGCACAGGCTTGTCATATGGTAACTCTGGGGTTGATCCCAGTCCTGCCACTTCCTGGCTGTGTGACCCCAGGTTATGCAAGTTATGCAACCTCTCTGAGCCCGGGCTGCTATTGCAAAGAGTGCTGCGTATGTATGCAGTATGTATGCATGTGCTGTGTACATAGGTAGTTTTGTGCATTTGAGAACATATCTGAATAAATGCTGGAAGTAGAATTGCTAGGTCAAAGGGTCTGTATATTTGCAATTCTGAAAGATGGTGTTAATTTGCCATTTGCCGAGGCTAAACCAGTTTATATCCACTTTAGCAATGTATGAGTCTGTCTTCTGTTCCACACATTCTCCAAGCATGCGTTATCCATTTTTTTGACCTTTAATAAGCTGATAGACAAAAATGGCATTTCAATGGAGTTCTAACTCATTTCTTTTTCAGTATACATTGAGTATCTTTTCAAAGGAACCATTTGTTTTTGTGTAAACTGTTGATATCTTTTCATATTTTGTACTTGTATTCATTTGTAGGAGTTTGACATATATTTGTTGGTAATTTGTGTTGCAAATTTTTTCTTATGTTAAAACAAGTCTAACTTCTTTTACAAGTGCTTTCAGCTACACCGTTTTGTTATTTCCCATTTTCATTTCTTGTTTTACATATTTCTGTCTTCTCCCCCATTAAATGATTATATGGTTTATGTTTTATGTGTTTTTAAAAATTTAGTTACTTATGCATTTAAAGTATATTTAGTGATATGTGAAAATGCAAATTACATAATTTTTAGGTGAAATAATCTAAATAAAGGCCCATTATACCAATTTTTAAAAAGAAAATTCATTATAATTTATAGACCAAAAAAAAAGAGAGAATAAAGCAAAATTCCTCCAAAAGCTGACAATGTTTATATCTGGTTAATGAGATAGGAGAAAGAGGTGAATTCTAGTTTTTGTCCTTTTTTTGTATTCTCTAAAATTTAGACATTTATTTAACCTTTTCTAATTAATGAGCTTTATTTCTTCAGAATAGTTTTAGATTTAAAGAAAAACTAAACAGATAGTACAGAGAGGTCCCATATGCTCACTCCATTTATCACCCTAGTTTCCCCAATTATTAGCATCTTACATTAGTATGGCACATTTATCACAACTAATGAACCAGTATTGATACATTATTATTAACTTATTTTAATAATTAATATTAATAATTGTTATTAACATATTTTTTCAGATTTCCTTTTTTTCTCAGATTTCAGTTTTTACCTAATATCCTTTTTCTTCTCTTTCTTTCTTTTTCTTTCCTTTTCTTTCTTTCTTTTTTTTTTTTTTTGAGATGGAGTCTCCCTCTGTCACCCAAGCTGGAGTGCAGTGGCACGATCTTGGCTTACTGCAACCTCCACCTCCTGGGTTAAAGCAGTCCTCCCACCTCAGCCTCCAAAGTAGCTGGGACTACAGGCGTGTGCCGCCACACCTGGCTAATTTTATTTTTTTAGTAGAGACAGCATTTCACCATGTTGGCCAGGCTAGTCTTGAACTCTTGACCTCAAATGATCCACCTGCCTTGGCCTCCCAAAGTTCTGGGATTACAGGTGTGAGCCACCAAGCCCAGCCCCTAATATCCTTTTTCTGTTCCAGATCCCATCCAGGATACCACATTATGTGGAATTGTTAGGTCTCCTTAGGGCCCTCTTCACTATGATGGTTTCTCAGACTTTGGTTCCGATGACCTTGCCGGTTAGGTCAGGTATTTTGTGGGATGGCCTCCAGATGGAATTTGTCCTTTGTTTTTCTCATGATTAGAGTGAGGTTATGGGTTTTGGGGAAGACACCCAAAGGAAGATTTCATTATATCATATCAAGGGTACACACTATCAACATGATAGATTAATATAATAGTAATATAATAATATAACATAATATAATATGATACATTACATGATTAGCTTTAATAGTTTATATGTTTTATTGATTTTGTTTTGTTTTTGTGGTAGTTTTTCCCAAAGAACCATCTCTTTAGTTTTTGCTTAGTTCTATTATTTCCCTATTTTATTATGCTCCATTCATTTTTTAAAATTTAATAGCATAAATATATCAGCCATGATTTCCTCTGAGAACTGCTGTAGAGGCACCCCGCAGGTTCTAGTATGTGGAATGCTTTTTGTTATTGTTGTATTCCAGATATTCTGCAATTTCTATATGGATTTCTTTTTTGATCTGAGTTGGGGTCAAGTTGTTTAAAGAATTTTTTAAAATGCCTAAGTGATAGGATTTTGTGATCTATAATTTTGTGATTAATTTCTAGTTTTCCTTCTGTGTTATCAGATACTGTATTATTTTTGCTTTTTTTGAAGTTTTGTTTGTGACCTAATATACAGGAAAATTTTTTTGATCATTCCATGAACACTTGAAAAGAACATGCATTCTTTGTTTTCAAGGTATAGAATTTGATGAACACATTAGTTAGATCTGTCTTATTAATTATGTAATTTGGTTTTTCTATGTCTTTACTTAATTTTGGTCCACTGGTCCATCATGAGCTAGAAGAGGGAAATTAAAATTACATGCCTCTGATGTGTGTCTGTCTAAGGCCCCTCCTTATATTTCCTCTAGCTTTTGCTCTGAATTTTGGTGCTATTTGGTGAGTTCGGTCTTCAATTGTGGATCGCATTCTTTATTATTATTAAGTATTCTTGTCTCACTTAAAACCTTTTGTCCTGAAATCAACTTTACTTGCCTAATATTAAGATTACAGTGCCTGCTTAGTTTGAGTTCACACTTCCCTGTTATGTGTTTGCCCTTCCTTTATTTTCAAAATTGTTAAATCACTTTGCTTTGGGGAATGTCTCTTATATGTAGCATATGGTTGGGGGTTTTGTGTTTTTCCCCAGTCTTATAATCTTTTTTTAGCAGTTTACTATGGCCATTTAATGACATGGTCAATATTTCGGTCTTAGTTTTACTATCATATTTCATGCTTTTATGCCTTTTTGCCTCTCTTGCTTTCTAACAAAATCTTTCAGTATATGATCTGTTTTATTTTGTATTATGTTCAAGGTTTGTATCTGCAAGATGTGTATTTTTATTTTTAGTTCTGGAGGTTACCTTTATAACTAGCCAAAATGGATTTAATCTTTTGTTGAGACCATGCTAGGTGTCTCCCTTCTGAAATAATCAATCACAAAATTAGTTTACAAATTTGGTTCCCATTTTTATCTGCTTTGTGGCAGCTTTTTTCAGGTGAGTTTGCTTGGTTTGCCATGTTTTGTCCTGTTCGTTTATTCCTTTCTTTCTTCTATAGCATCTTTGACTATATCCTGTGCTGGTTCCTCTTTGAAAGAGGTAAACCTTCTTGGATCAGCATTTTGCAGGAGACACATGTGGAGGAGGTACCAAGAAGAGGGCAGGATTGCTCCCTGGTTCCCAGGAACTTTGTTCACAGGGTTGTTGTAGTGACTTCCTTTAGTCTTTGCTTCTACTCTGTCAGCAGAGTTCTGCAGCTGTGGGCTTCTCCCAATTCAGAGCCCTCCTCTCACTCTGCCTTGCCAACACACTGCTTCCTGTGAAGATGGCGGGTCTGTGGTTTCCTCTGTTGGCCCTGCCCTCCTCTTCCCCCAGGGTGTAGGAGGCAGCTCCCACTACCAGACCACATGCCCTGTTCCCATTTTTTCTGATAAGGGATCATTAGTTTTTTCCTTCAGGGAATGCCAGCTCCTGGCTGGCTCTGCCAGCTTTGTCTGAGATCTGCCACCACAGGTGTCTTCTCTAGGTGTTTTCTCACAGTATTTTTGATCTTCACTGCTTTTGGTAGCCCTTACCTGTTTTGGGCAGCCTTTCCTTATAAGCTGTGTTTCAGGTTATAAATGTGTTCTAGTTTGCTGAAGAAGGAGTTTGCATTTCTTTTTTTCTCCTGGATTTTGGGTGATTTCGGATATGAAAAGGAGTAACTTTATTCTGCTATCTTAAAACTGCCTAGTGTTGCAAATTGTTATGTGTTCTGGTATTCCCTCAGATTGAACATTAGCCAGAGCTCTCGGAATAGGGTCAACATCTGCTGAAGCTGGGATCTGACAATAGAGAGGGAAGAGTATGAGAGTTAAGAATAAAATGGAATGGTGAAAAACCCACAGGATACTTGTCTGTGCTGTGTGGCAGCAGAGTTCTTTTCGTCCCTACCTGGACTTTGGCTAGGGGTGTACCACTGTCTGGGTGGGAGGTTGAGGCTGGGGAGGGCAGGGCATGAAAAACACCCATCCATCTCCTCATCTGGCTCAGGAGAAGTTGTTCTAGGCCCAGCAGCTCTCAGGCCAGGGAGGGGAGGGCACACGCCTCTGCTCTGGACAGGGCTTGGCTCTCCATCTCTCTCCATACCCAGGGCCCGTCCAAGTAGTCCGAGCTCCTTGGGTTCTGTCTGGTTTCCTAGTGATGGTGGCCAATTCCTTCTCCATGAAAACCAGGATCCTGTCTCAGGGAAGGCAGTCTGGGGTCAGTGCTGTTAATGGTATTTACCTGATCGAACAAAGAGCTCACCCATCCAAAGGGAGGGGATCCACATGGGATGCCCAGAGAACAGAGCCAGAGAGGAAAACCTGTCGGCAGAGTTCCAGGACCCTTTATATTATGGTCTCTCAAGTTCCCCCATCACCAGAGGGAGGTGTTTTATCCTCATGTTTTTTACTGGCAAGAAATCTGGAGTATCCAAGAGGCTAGGAGGCTTTCCTGTGGACCCACAGTAGGAGATGGAGAGAGGGATTTGGACGCAGTTCTGTCTGGCTCCAGAGCCTGGACACCGGCTCCCTTATCCTTCCTCCTCACCTCTATTGACCTCCATTCACCTTCCCATGGAGCTCTCACCCCATCTTCCCACGCTGCCTGATGTCCATGTCCCTGGTGACCCTGCTGCACCTTGTTCTGTGTCTTGCCGCTCAAGCCTGGCTACATTTTAGGAGGTTATTTAGGCTCCCCAGGACTCCAGGGTTGGGAACCAATGGGCCACACCCTACAGCCCTGTGTCTTGAGCAGCTGTGTGCCCCCCAGCCTTGGCACAAGGCTTGTCCCCTGGGATCAAAAGCACCTGGGTTCTCATCCAGGCTCTGACCTTGAGCAAGTCACAACTGCTCTGGGCTCACGCCTTATTTCTAAAATCAGACTCCCTATGATTGTTCTAGGTCCGGAACACAGACCCTGAAGCCAGATGACCTTGGTTTGAATCTTGGCTCAGTCACTTATTTGCAGTGGGACTTCGGCTAATCGCTTATCCTCTCTCTGACTTCAGTGTTCTCATCTGTAAATTGTGAATAATAATGTATATCTCTTATAGGGAGATGTTAAGGATTAAACAAACTAATAAACATAAATAATTTAGAACACTGGCATATGGCAGGTGCTAGATTAGTGCCAGATATGAGTGTACGAATTATTACTATTATTGTGCATGCAAAGGGCTCAGCCAAGGCATGGACATAAATGAAGGGATTGGCAACTGGCTGCTGATGCTGCTGCTATAACCCGTGCCCTTTGCTTCCTTCCAGGAGCTTGGGCCCCTGCCGCAGCCCGGTAGAGGCTGTGGAGGTCTACCGTCCGGAAGCCTGGTTCCCAGCCCCGTGGCCCATTCCTGGCTACGGGGAGTGGAGGCTCCCACGAGGTAGCGGTGGCCTGCAGCGGCCTCCTCCCCGCAGTGAAGCATGGGCCAGAAGCTCTCGGGGAGCCTCAAGTCAGTGGAGGTGCGAGAGCCGGCGCTGCGGCCGGCCAAGCGGGAGCTGCGGGGTGCAGAGCCCGGGCGGCCGGCGCGGCTGGACCAGCTGTTGGACATGCCAGCGGCGGGGCTGGCTGTGCAGCTGCGGCACGCGTGGAACCCCGAGGACCGCTCGCTCAACGTCTTCGTCAAGGACGACGACCGGCTCACCTTCCACCGGCACCCCGTGGCCCAGAGCACCGACGGCATCCGCGGCAAGGTGGGCCACGCCCGCGGCCTGCACGCCTGGCAGATCAACTGGCCGGCTCGGCAGCGCGGCACCCACGCTGTAGTTGGTGTGGCCACGGCCCGTGCTCCCCTGCACTCCGTGGGCTACACGGCGCTGGTAGGCAGTGACGCCGAGTCGTGGGGCTGGGACCTGGGCCGCAGCCGCCTCTACCACGACGGCAAGAACCAGCCCGGCGTGGCCTACCCGGCCTTTCTGGGGCCCGACGAGGCCTTTGCGCTGCCCGACTCGCTGCTCGTGGTGCTGGACATGGATGAGGGCACACTCAGCTTCATCGTGGATGGCCAGTACCTGGGCGTGGCCTTCCGAGGTCTCAAGGGCAAGAAGCTGTACCCGGTGGTGAGTGCCGTGTGGGGCCACTGTGAAGTCACCATGCGCTACATCAACGGCCTTGACCGTAAGTTGTGCTGGGCTGGGGGGCAGGGCTTTCAGAGGCTGCCAGGCCCTAGGGAAGCTGGGCAGGCCACACCTCCATCGCCACTTGGGAGGATCCTGCAATGTGGAGGAATGGTCAGGACCTGGGTTTCAATCCTGACTCTCTGCTGGCTTGGTGATTTGGGGCTGTGCCTTAGTTCTCCCATCGGCAAAAGCATCACGATGATAGTAATCTAGCTCACAGTTGTAACGATCAAATAAAGTAATAGTAATCTAGCTCACAGTTGTGAAGATCTAGATAACATGTGTGAAGTGCTCAGAACAGTGACTGGCACCCAACAGGGGCTTTGAGTGTTGATGCCAATTACCAATCTTCCAGTCTGTACAAAGGTTGTACCAAATGACCCAAGCTAGTCACAATGGGAAGACAGTGACAAGTCCCCAGTCCCTGCACTTAAATGCCATGTACTCAAGTTATTGATAAGTAATAAGTACTGATAACCGTCCTTTATTGGCCATCTACTGTATTTGAGAGGCTGAACACCCCAATTCCAGCGCTTATGGGCCAACTATTAAAGGGGACAGCTGCCTCTTATCTCCAGCCGACTGTCATCTCACGGGAATGAAAACCCTGGGTTGTGGAATCTTGTGACTTTTTCCAAGAGAGCCCAGAAATCTAGCTTGTGTGAACTGTTCCAATTTTTAAAGTTGACAGCTGCTGAAAAGTCTATATGGGCAAACAAAATACCCTTGCAGGCTACAAACCAGCCCACAAGCTGCTGGGGTTGACCCCTGACAACTCTATGGCTTCCTCTCATTTAATATACACAACCATCCGGCAAGATAAAAAGTGTAGGAACAAAGACGGTTATTGGTTTTGGGAGGGAGTCACTCAGGGAGACAGGGTGGCCTCTGGACAGAGGCACACGTGGCTGCCTGTCCTGAGTTGAATCCCAGCTGAGGGGCCAGGAGCCAGGCACTTGTGGGCTTGCACACTCCCCAACATCAGCCCACTAGCACCAATCCAGACTTCCTGCCACACCCCAATGAAGCTCTCAGAGGTGGCGCTGAAAGCTAGAATTTCCAGTTTATTCATTCTAAATAAGAGATGTAATTACCAGCCCCTGAGGCAGATCCTCCTTTTAGAAATAAGAAAACTTAAGAGCAGAGCTACAGAGAGCCAGAATCAGGGTTCCCCCCAGTTCTGATGGCCCTGAAGTCCACTCGTTTCCTATGTTCTCCCCTTTAGATGAGGGACTGAGAGTAACACTCCAGAAAAGAGTAACACTTCTCCAGAAAAGAAGTCAAGGACAAGATTTTACTCAAGCAAAATTTACATTTACTGGAGCACAGGAAGGGGACATTTGATGGTTTCCAAGGGTGGCAGGCTAATGGAAAAGTGGCTGCTGGTATGCTCAGCACTCTGGCATAATTGTCGACATTCTTGCTCATATTTTATTTCCGTGGTTGTTGCCTACAATTGCCATTGAATGGCAAAATGTTGTTCCATTTTCTCTGTTTAATGGGTTAAATCTAGGAACTGATGATTATGTCCCTGAGAAGGGCTAATTTAGTCATCACAGTGCCTTGTGGAAAGTGTCTGGAGCCTTCTGAGACATAGTGACCAGGCAAATCCCAGTGGTGAGAAAACCAACAGAAACAACAAACAATCTTTATTTAATGGAATTGGAAAATTTATTTGCTGGAATTAATCACTGGACTAGAAGAGTGGCCTTGGTGTACCAAGGCTCTGGAGTCTGATGTGACTTATTTCCAAGTGCTCAGTGGTTTTGTGTCTTTGGTGAGTCACTCTTACTCCTTAAGACTCACTTTATTCATCTGCAAAATGGGATAGTATCAGGTCCCCTTTTTGCTGCTGTAAGCTCTTGTGTGGTAGCACCAATAATATGGTAGCTGAGATTTAAGGCCTGACGTTGACACCCAGTGGGAGCTACCAGAGCCAAGAGTTACACTCCTGTTGTAGGCTTCCTCTTGGCTATTAATTCACTTGGGCTTTATTGGTTGCCTGGTTTTCAGGTGCAAAGCCAAGATGCTAACAGGGTTGCAGCCTGTGGGGCCATGCATATTGGAATCAGGAGCAGGGACCTACCTCATGGAGATTGGGTGAGGAAAGGCAGTTATGTTTGGGGTATTTTAAGCTTGTGGGTCCTTCAGGTGGTTGAACAAGTTTGGTGGAACTAAAATGTGAAGTGTTCTAACCTCCTCCTTACTGGCAGTGATTTTTCAGGTTGGCTGAATCTGGAATACTGAATCTAGGAGGCAAGAGAGGCCAGATGTCATGGGATGCAGGCCTGGGGCATCTTCCATTCAGTGATAGGGTTGGCTTATCTGCTATAGCACTAGCCTGTTCTCTAGGTAGGGGTAATGTTCTGTATCTCAGACAGGGGTGTGACTGCAGAAAAGGGAAGCTCAGCTTCTCTGGGCTTGAAAGGCCTATTCATGGCCAGCCTGGGACAATCTCTGACTCCAGAGTGGGCCATAGGAGAAGCTGCAGTGGAGTCTCGCAGGGATAGTTGGGAAGGGACTGTGTGATGCCTATAGCCTGTGTCCTGGGCTGAAGTCCACCATGAATCCCTGGGTTTGGGACTAGTTTGGCTCTAGGGAGTCTCTGAGCAGGGAAGGTGACCCAAGGTGGATTCTGTGCATGGAAAGGATTCTGAGTTAATGTCGGTTGTGGACATGGTGGCAGGTCCCCAAACTCAGACTTGATTGGTGTGTGAGGGACCAGAGTCAAAGACATCCTTGGAAGCAAAAGGCAGGCCAACTCTCTGGGGTTACTTCCCCACAGGATCATAGGAGGAGAGAACTCTGCCCGGGGCACCTCACAGAGCCGGGTCAGACCCTGGCCCCAGCACTCAACAAATGGCTGTTGGCGATTGCCTCCTCTTTCTGAACTTCAGTGTTCTCCTTTGAAAAAGGATGAGGATGATAAAGCTCACCGGCACAGAGCAGACACATAGCAATTGGTGCCCCTGTGTTGATTAACTAGGTGAACTGAGGCAAATTCTGGGGTTCACCTGTGGCTTAAAGCAAAATGGCCTTAATAGAGGCTTTTCCTCTAACATGATGAAAGTAAGGTAATGGATATCACTTTCTCAATTTTTGAATTTTTATTACGGTAAAAGCAAGACTTAGAAAGGGCTCACTACGTTTAACTCTGGAAGCATGTATTCACTGAGGGCACGAACTCCTGGAGGTGTGATTTCCTATTGCAAATGCATAACATTGTCAAACCTTCTGCAAGTGGAATTGTTTTGCTACACTGTGGAGTGAAATGGCTCAGCATCTCAAAGCTAACTACAAAGAGCTGCAGGACGCACAGGGGCCCTGCCATCTAAGTGAACTGAGAAGTATGGAGCCAAGGCCAGGCAAATGGAGAAGCTGTCCCAGGGGTTGTCCAGGGCACAAATAATAATAATAATAATAGCAACAATAGCAACAACTAATACTTATGTAGTGTTTAGTCTGAGTGGGTGAGGGGGGTGGTATTCTAAACACTTTACAATTTCTTTTTGTTGTTGTTGTTGTTTTTTGTTTGTTCATTTGTTTTCTAGAGACAGAATCTCACCCTGTCACCCAGGCTGGAGTGCGGTTGTGCAATCATTGCTCACTGTAACCTCTCACTCCTGGGCTCAAATGATCCTCCCCTCAGCCTCCTGAGTAGCTGGGGCTACAAGGATATGCCACCACTCCTGGCATATATATAAATATGAATGAAACTGGCTCAGGAGGTAATGGCTAATTTAAAAAAAAATTTTTTTTGTAGAGACAATGTCTCACTATGTTACCCAGGCTGGTCTTGAATTCCTGGCCTCAAGCAATCCTTCCACCTCTGCCTCCCAAAGCACTGGGATTACAGGCGTGAGACACGTCACCCGGCCATTTTGCAAATTTTAATTAATTTAATTTTTGTAATGACTCTTTGCACTAGTGCTATCTATATTATCATCTTCAGTGTATGATGAAGAAATTGAGGCACAGAGAGCTTGAGTAAGTTGCTGAAGGCGACACTACGAGTAACTGAGGGAGCCTGGATTCAAATGGAGGCAGACACGGGCACCTTGTGGAGACGTTTACCCTCAAGGCAGGGAGAGAATGCGCAGGAGCATCTGCTCCATCTGGCTGGTGACCGTGCAGCCCAGGGCCAGGTCCTTGCCTTCAGCAGTGAGTCTGGGCGAGTCTCTGAGATGCTGTCCCTGTCATTTTTCCTCCTCTGGCTGGCTTTACCTCCAGCCCTCAAAGCTCTTGGCTCAGCATGGAACTCTGCAGGGTGTTCTGAAATGCTAAGTTGTATAAAGGCATCCCCAGCAGTGGCCATGGATCAGGCATGCTTGATCACTAACAGGGGAATGTCACTGCAAATGTCTCGACTGCTGTGAGGTGTGGGCCCCTGCGGTGGGCCAGGCCTTTGGAATCTGCTCTGGGCTGCTTTCTGGAATTGCTCCGTGGCTCCCCAGCTCCTCTCTCCACATGCAGGCGGCAGGAGGGCTGACAGAACGGCTTTGTCTCACATCTCGGAGTTCTTGGGTGGTGAGTGGTATGTGAGTGACACAGGAATAAGAGGGGAGTATCAGACAGAGACAAGAGGCCTTGGGGTCCCTGGCAGCTTTGATTTGGGGGCATTGATGACACTTTTGTTGGCTCCCATCCATGTTCTGTGCCCTGGGCTTAGGATTTTACTCATTTTTTTTTTCTTTTCGTCGCAATAAGTCATGAGGCAATGTGGCTGTTATTATCCCCATTTTATAGATGAGGAAACTGTCTTGGGAAGGTAACGAATTTGCCCAAGGCCACACAGCTAGCAAATGACACAGCTGTGCTTATACCCAGCTCTGCCTCCTATGCCTGGGCCAACCTGCCCAAGCCTGCCCACCACTGAGCATGGCCTGACCCCACAGAACGGGCGCCAGTGTCAGGGCTGACTTTCACAGGGTGGAGCGTGGAAATACAGGTATCTTGGGCCTAACTGGCTGAGAGGGCTTTCCCCCTGCACGGAGCCGAGGAAGCTGTATTTCCAGACGTCTTTCCTAGATGGTTTAATTGATCTGCCAACAAGTATTTATTGGCTCAATGGCTGAGCAGAGGAGGCTGGCAGCTAGCCAAGGCTTCTGGTATTGATGAAGGCCAGAGAGAGTTTGCTCTCACGATGACTACAAGGACACTGTCTCCTTGCCAGAGCTGCACTCAAGACCTTCTCGCTAGACCCCCGTGCATCTCCCGGGGTAGTGAGGTCCTCCCAGCCTCCAGGACATCTGGACTTGGCCCCTCTGGGCCTGGTCGCCCCTTTGCCCCCATCCCTTATCAATCTGTCCTGACCCCAGCTCACCTCCAGGCCTCAGCCGAGGACTCTGGCTCTGCATGGGGAGTTTAGCACTGAGTTCTTCTGCATCTGCAGGGTTCACTCATTTTTCCACCCATAGGCCTTCTTTCCCCAAGTGGTTATGAAGTTCCTCAGGGCAGGGATGGAAACCCAGGAGGTATGCATGGTGAACTGGGAAGATTAGGGACATCATATGTGCCTATTTACTTGATATCGCTTGGATATTTGTTTCCTACAAATCTCGTGTTGAAATGAGATCCCCCAAGTTGGAGGTGGGGGTTGGTGGGAGGTGATTGGGCCGTGGCAGATACATCATGAATGGCTTGGTGCCCTCCTCGTGGTAATGAGTGAGTTCTCACTATTAGTTCATGTGGGAGCTGGTTGTTTAAAAGAGCCTGGCATCTCTCTTACTGTCTCTCTTACCATGTGACACACCTACTTTCCCTTTGCCTTTCGTCATGAGTAAAAGCTTCCTGAGGCCCTCAGCAGAAGCCGTGCCATGTTTGTACAGCCTGCAGAGCCCTGAGCCAAATAAACCTTGTTTCTTTATAAATTACCCAGCCTCAGATATTTCTTTATAGCGACACAAAACAGACTAAAACATTACTCTTGAAAGGAAAGCTGTGCATGTGGCAACAGATTTAAATACTACCAAAGGGCGTATGGTGAAATAACCCCTCCTGTGTATCTCGGCCCCCCATCCGCTCCTGCTGGCAGCCACTATTAGCAGTTTCTTGTCTTTCCAGAGACATTTGTGACAGATAATTTTTAGATCATACTGAAAACATTCCCCTGTATCTTGTTTTCTCCCTTCAATGGACCTTGGCAGTTATCTACTATCAGTTAATGTAGAGCTGCTTCATTCTTTCTTAGCAGTCGCATGGGTCCATGATATGGTTGTGTTATAATCTAATTACTTAGATCCCCATATTTGGACATTTAGGCAGTTTCCAATCTTTGAGCATACATTTTGATCCCAATTGAAATTTCCTTTCTGCCCCCTCTAGCTAATTAACATCCCCAAGCCTCAGTTTTCCCATCTGTGCAGTGGGAATAATTATATGTACCTTTCAGAGTTGCTGTGAGTATTAGAAGTGATGCAGAAATGAAGCACTGCCCAGCATGAGGCTCACAGTAGGTTAATATTGATATGCGTTCCCTGAATTTCTGATTGCGGTGCTGAGCTCATCTTGCGCACCTGATGAAGGCTCGTGAATGACTTTGTTTCCAGTTTAAAATACAGTAGAATCACGTTAATTTTTTCTCTTTTTAAAATTTATTAATTTGATATTAAGGAGGCTTCAGACACATTGTTGGATTAATATTATTTGAGGTGTCTAATTCAGCCAGTCCTTACATAGTGTGTAGTCAACATAAGACACCTAGCCCTTTACTTCACAGAATAAGCCCATAATGTGTGTGTTTTGCTTTTCTGTTATTGCTGCTGCTGCTAATGGTGAAAGTGGTGGCTCTTTGCTGTGGCAACTGCATCTTGGCCTTTTCAACCACCCTATAGCAGCCCTTGCAACAGAGTACATAGTCGGTGCTCAGTAAATGCATATTAATGTCCTGGCCTCCCACCAACTGAATAAGCTTTTCTTTCCTCTGCCACAGGGGGACTTGAGTCACAGTTGGCTGGAGCAGAGGGGCTGGCTATGAGCTGCCCCTGAGTGACCCTTTTTCCATCTCTCATTGTGTCCTGTGTACAGCACATCTGTCCCTGCACACAGGCCAAGCAGAGGCTGCTTGATGGGTCAGGCATGTCAATGCAGGATCCTGACATTCAGAAACTGCCCCCTACCCTTTGTTTGAAAGGAACAGTCTCTCAGTTGAGAAAAGGCCTCGATCAGATGCTGTGGCCCTTCTTTGAAGGAGGTTTTCATATTAACATAGTCATAATTCGGTTCATGGAAGTCTGGCTTGCAGAAAGGTGGCTTTGAAATGCAGGTGACAGCATTTGAAATCAGGCTTAATCAGGACAAGCATCACCGTGGGCCACAGCATGGTCTTGTGGGAAGAGCAGGGTTCAGGGGTCTTCCAGCACTGGCTTGGCTTCAGTCCTGACTTGGTTTCTAATTAGCTGTGACCCTGAACAAGTCATTTCATGCCCAAGCCTTCATTTTCTCATCTGAAAAACAAACTTACTTTGCTACGAGGTGTCAGGATCATGGATTAATATATAGAAAGTGACTGATCTAGTGCCTAGAACGTAGCTACTGAAAAAGCGGTAGGTTTAAAAATGGCTAATTATGACTATTACTGCTCTCATAAATTGGTAAAATTACAGTTATTAAATATAGAAATAATTATGGTTATTAAATTTTGGTCCACACTGTGAAACTGAAGGATTTCACACGAGGGAATCTGTGGTGGTTTGGATGGTCTTGGACTCGTTTCTCTCTAAGATACATGATGGAAATGCCACCTGAGGTTCACAGGCCATTGTGAGTTTGTTGCAAATGAGCTGGGAGTGTTTAGCCTTCCCTGTGAGCGGTTTCCGGCTGCATGTCTTATTCAAGTGTTTCTCTAAAAGGCCGCAGCTCCCCGTGGTGACTTGCCTGGTGGACATGCATTCACAAGGATACCCAAATGAGCAGCACCTTCACCAGCTGTGTGCAGGCAGACATTCAGCAGGGATGAGCTGCCGAGGTGGCGGCCCTGAGGGCCGGCGTCCACCTCTGCGAAAATAGTGACTTGGTCTAGTTGTGGGCTGGCCATTATTGGACCTTTGGGAAAAAGGGAAGGGGAAGAGGTAAAGGGTCTCACCTTTTCAGGCCCTGGCAGAAGGGTGAAGGCAAAGGCCCCAGACACAGGGATAGAAGAGATGGTATCTGGCAGCCAATGCAAGACCCACCTTTTACAGATGGGAGCTGACTGGACCAGAGAGCTGGGAGGCTTTGCCCAAGGTTACCTGCCAGGTAGTGGCAGAACCTGAACTAAAACCCAGGCCTCCAATCCCCCTTGAAAATGTTCCCCATCAGAAACAAGGGAGTGAGAATTCAATGCAGTTTCTGAGTCCGTATTGAAAAACACAGCTGTGGGAGGATGTAGGAGCTTAGGAGGAGAGTGATTAGGGCCAGGGGTGATGCTGATGGGTTGGAGGGACTTTCTGAGGGGAGGCCTTGGAGCTTGGGCAGAGTTTAGACCAGTGTCTCCCCACAACACACACAGATGAAGACCCTCCATGGCTTCTCAGTGCCTCCTGCATGTCAGAGACCCTGTCCTGGCCGCCGCTCAGACCATACAACCAGGGGGTTAGCACAGTCACAGATACCCAGGTAAGAACTGGTCTTCCTGTTTAGTACCTGCGTGACCTGGGCATAAGTTTCCTAACTTTGCAGTTCCTCGGTATCCTCACCTGTAAAGTGGGCATAGTGATGGCACTTACCCCGTAGAGTTGTCAGCAACACTTCTCAAACCTCAGTGTGCATTCAAGCCACCTGGTGACCTTCTTAAAATGCTGATTCTGACTTAGTAGGACTGGGTCGGGCCCAAGATTCTGCATTTCTAACAAGCTCCTGGATGATGCTGATGAAGATGTAACACAGATCAAGGGCCCCCAATCACAGCTTATCCCCACGCCCCACCATCCACCCATCTACCCGCCATGCTGAATGATCCCGCAGCCAAGCTAAAATGCATATTCCAGCCGGGCTTTGTGGCTCACGCTTGTAATCCCAGCACTTTGGGAGGCCGAGGCAGGCGGATCACTTGAGGTCAGGAGTTCGAGACCACCCTGTCCAACACGACGAAACCCTGTCTCTACTAAAAATACAAAAAAAAAAAAAAAAAAAAAAGCCAGGTATAGTACACATGCCTGTAATCCCAGCTACTCAGGAGGCTGAGGCACAAGAATGATTTGAACCCGAAGGTGGAGGTTGCAGTGAGCTGAGATCGAGCCACTGCACTCCACCCTGGGCAACAGAGTGAAACTGTGTCTCAAAAAAGTAAAAAATAAATAAGATAAAATAAAATGCGTATTCCTCTGTGCCTTGGTCTGTGTTGCCCTCTTTGTTGGAAATGGCCCACTTCCCTGATTCCAGCTCAGCCTGGGGTTACCGAGCCTGGCTCTGCCCTCGTCCTTGCCACCTGGCTGACGCCAGGCCAGTCTCAGGCCTTGCTTGGCCCTGCTCCCGACAAGGCAGCTATGCCTTCTGCATTTCCTCCTTTTCACGTCCGGCCCCACTTCCCTTCCCAGCTACCAAGTGACTCCATGTATGTGCCCTGGAACCCAAATTCTTATAGTTGCCAATGCAGTGTACACGAGTAAATCCACACTCTTATCCATGAATGTTCCTGTGAGGATGACTTTGTTTGGCAAGGGATTACTGCAAATGGAAACAGCTCTTTGTTAAACAGTCATTGATTGAGCACTCACAAAAGGCCAGACACTGCCCAGCTCCACCGCCCTGCACAAAGGCTTGTCAGCACCCTATGCAGCATAGCTCATTTAATCTCCACGGGTGAGGAGAAGTGCTGGTATCACAGTCTGCACATGTGGAGATTAGGCCTGAGGGACATGAAGAGCCAGCAGTTGCTTGGGGGGTGTCTGTCCCGAACTTGAGTCCAGGCCTACTCCAGCACCCACACCTGTAACCTCTGTGCTACTCAGGGTCACGTTGAGTCTTCAGTGGTTTTGCAGGTGGTCCCAGGCCTTGGATTGACTGTGCTTAACAAGAGTTTACTGAAGCCAGCATTGGCAGGCCCCAGTACCACAGCACTTAGATACCCTTAAATACAGTACAGCAAACTGCATTCACTCTGAACTCTTCTGACTTGCTGATGATTCTGAGTGGGTGGTGCTGGGAAAGCATTGAATAGAGGAAGCAAATTTGCCGGGGCGGGGGATGGGGTTTAAGTGAGCGGGGAGAGCCAATGCCCTGCCAGGCTGGCGGCAGCCTTTATTTACAGGGTCGGGAGCCAGCTGATTTGCTTTGGTTAAAGCAAGGGGGCGGTTAGCGTGAGTTACGGCCTCGCCCAGACACTAATAAGGCTGCTTGTCTGAGGCATTCCATAATTCAAGCAAAGGCTGTGCCGCTTAATGGCCCTTCTTCGTCAGATCTTCCAGGACTCGGTGCCTCCTTAATGAGTTATTTGCTTGGGATGAAATTAAGCCGAGACAGCGTGAGCTTGGAAAATACTGCCGTGCAGGCTCTCCCCGGTTCTTCATCCTTCTCAGCGGCTGCTTTCTATAAATAGAGCCGTGAGTTCTGCTTCGTGACCCGCCTGCTGGGAGCCCCAGTGGGCGCCTGGTGTCTCCCATCCCTCTTGTCTCCCACGCCCATGATCTCACTGGTGAGCAGCAGGGGGCTGGAACTGCCAGCAAAGACCTTGTCATCATCCCAGCTTTGAAGTCATTTAAGTAGATGCTTCTGAGTCGATCCAGGGAGCCACAGCTGACTTCCAGATCTTGTCCTCTTTGTTGATGTTTCTCCCTCAAAATGCAATTCATGAGGAGGTCCCAGGGTGAGAGCGTGTTTGCTTCTGGCGTGTTCTGGGGTAGAGGACAGCTCTCTGCCTGATGTTTGAGCCTCACGAGGAAGAGCATGGGAGATACCGTTCATCTCCTAAGGGTGAGGGGTCACCCTTCTGGAGTGAGGGGCCACGGGTCACAACTGAGGGCCACTCACAGTGCTTATGCAGAGGCCAGGCCAGGTGCCAACAGTGGGAGTGGGCTGTTTAGTGAGGGCTCCTTTGGAAGCCCAGAACTCACAAGTTGCCTCAAGGAAGTGGTGAGCATAAGGCTGCATGTGGATTGTGGGAGGCGGCAGGTGGTCCAGGAATGAGAAACCGCTCAGGCACCCCATCACTGCATCAACTGCACGTCTGCCATGGTCTCCCCCCATCTCCTCTATCTTTTCTGTTCCCTCATAATTTGAGGTGCCCCTTGGCTTTGGCTCACTGTGGCCTTGGCAACTTTATAATGTGCAAGCTGGCATGCTGTGTTCCCAGATCTTGGTTTAAAATCCTGTGAGTGTCTGATGGGCCCAGGGCTTCTCCTCAGGTGCAGGCAGAGGCTCCCACTAGCCCTCTGGTTGGGATGGGCCTAGCTGCTTATTCCTCAGCTGTGGAAGAGCTTGGCCCTTAGCATACTTGCCTGGACCTCAGTATCCTTCAGGGCATGTGGAAGACACAGATCTCTGCTGTCTCTCACCTGCCGAATCAGAAACCCTTGCAGTGGGGCTTGGAACGTGTGTGTCACAAGCTTCCCAGTTGACTTGTGCCATCAGTCCCTGCACTGGCCAGAAGTCAGCTGCCTGGAATGCCTGGCTGGAAGGAGGGTGTGGGGAGTGCAAGGTCCTTAGGGGCAGGGTATGCTGGAGGGAGCCACAATGCTCCAGATTCCCAGGAACCGGTTGGGGAGCTCAGTCTAGGGCAGAAGCAAGGATCAGGCTCCCAGTATTGGCTGGAACAAGCTTGGGGGACCTGAAGATCCTTTCCATCAACTCTGCCACAAAGGAAAGGTGTGTTTAGCAGAATTCAGGGGCTTTCCTCTCCAAAGGGACAATGTGTCCATGCAACCTAAGTACCAGTGGTAGATGCTCTAATTTGAAAAAGCAGCTTCATTTCACTGTTTCTTCCTGGTACCTCCTGAGGGGCCTCTGGGTTAAGCGCCAAGCACTCTGCCAAAAGCCAGGCCCTCCGCTGCAGTTCCAGGAGGTACGGTGCTCTTGTGTGCACCACTTCTGCACCCTCAAGATTGTGTAGTACAGCCTCAAGTCCTCCCAGTCACTGCCCTTTTCCCGACAGCAGGGGCTGGGCTGTTCTATTTGTCCTGGCATGTAGTGGATTCTGTGTGTGTTTGTTGAATGAGCTGCTGCATCACTCAGAGGCCACACGGTAGGATGAAAAGCACATTTGGGGCCGGGCACGGTGGCTCATGCCTGTAATCCCAGCACTTTGGGAGGCCGAGGTGGGCGGATCACAAGGTCAGGAGATTGAGACCATCCTGGCTAACATGGTGAAACCCCGTCTCTACTAAAAATACACAAAAATAGCCGGGTGTGGTGGCAGGCACCTGTAGTCCCAGCTACTTGGGAGGCTGAGGCAGGAGGATGGCGTGAACCCGGCAGGTGGAGGTTGTAGTGAGCTGAGATCACACCACTGCACTCCAGCCTGAGCTCCAGACAGAGCAAGACTCCATCTCAAAAAAAAAAAAAAGAAAAGCACATTTGGTTGGCAGCAGAGGCCCAGGGAAAGAGTGCCCATTTCCCACAGCATCCCACAAAACAGAAAGAGTATAGACAAGCTTCTTACTGAAATTTTGGAGAAGGGAATCCTGAGAAATTTCCAGTTAGCTACCAATAGTAAATTGAAATTCATTGCACCCTGCCCGTAGCTACTTAATTTGATATGAGTGTAAAGAAGCCATTCCACTTTCCTCAATCACATGCAATCCTGCTAGGTCAATCGGCCAAGCAGCGTGGGGAGGGCAGTGACACCCAGGCATCTATCCCTGCACCAGTGTTTATGAAGGGCCTGTGGTGTGCTGACCCTTAGCCGGAAGCTGGGCAGCAGTGGTGGGCAAGGCAGGTCCAGTTTCCACTCTCATGGAGGAAACAGAGTAAACCAAGAATACATGCTTATGAAAATTCATAAATGCTTATGAAAATCCAGATATAGAACAAAGTTGGAGAATATGATAAGGGAGGGAGGTCAGCTGCTGCAGTGGTCCCCTTTGGGGGAGGGGCATTTAAGTGAGACCTAAATGATGAGGCAGAGGGAGCCATGTGAAGATCTAGGGGAAGAGCGAGTCAGTGGGGACCAACAGGCAAGCCCATGGCTGGCAGGGCTGGGGATCATGGAGGGCAGAGTGGGGGTGGTGAGGCTCAGGGGTCAGCAGCAGGGAGACACCAACATGTCTTTCCATCTTTTAGACTTCAGTCATTCCACTATTTTTTTTAAAAGTTATACACAATCTCATTTTAAAAAAGTAATTCTTACTACCAGTCTCTTTTCCACTGGGACAGGTCTCCCCGCTGCTAAAAAATGGCATGTTGTTGGAACTTTGGTCAGGGTGGCCTTTGGTTGAGGTGGATATGGCCATTTGCATTTTACAGACAAGTTAATTGAGGCCCAGAAAGGTTGAGAGACTCGCCCAGGGTTGCACCATGAGTGGTAGAGCTGATTTGAACCTCCATCTTGTGCTTTTCCGTCTTGCCATTGCTCCAGAAAACTGAATTCCAGGCTTTTTAAGAAAGCATAGAGTTCCCTGGGTCTACTAAGAACCATCTGGCAGTCCAGCCAAGAAAAGGGGCCTCTGTAAAGCAGTGAACTCAGCGTGAGCTTTGGTAAGTCTCAACTCTGTCCTGTTCTTGGGCAGGGCATTTGTGTTTCAGTCTTCCCTACCTGGGGCAAGTGAGTGACCCAGGGCTTGGAGCCCACCCCGACCTCTGTAGCTGTGACATATGTCCCCCGCCTTGTCCATCATGCTGCAGCCTCTCCACATTCTTGGCTGGACCCTGGGAAGGGCAGCACCAGGGCAGGGCTCTGCTTGGGTAAGCTCTGGCTTCCCCTTTTGTCACCTGGGGTGGTGGAGCTCAAGCTGGCCTGGGCCCTTGTCACCACCATGCTGCGCAAGCCACCCAGGAGAGAAGTGGTGAATTGTGGGCTTGTATTTCCTTTTTGGCTGACACAGGCAACCTCCCTTGGATATTTAAGGTGTTCTGCCACAGTGGACTGTTCAGATATGTGAAAGTTAAAAAAGCATACTCAACCTGAACTGAGTTGTACCCAGAGTCTGGTGTGGGATTATAAAAGGCAGGAGGCGGACAGGTCCTGGAAAGAGCACTTGTCTGGGAGCCAGGAAACCTGGCCCAGTGGGCTCCAGCTTGCCCACTTGCTCTGTGACCTCGGGGAAGTCAGCTCCTCTCTTTGTGCCTCAGTTTCTCCACTGCAAGGAGGGGATTGGATAAGATGACCTCAAGTGGTCTCCATCATTCTGCAGTCTCTGAGATGGAGGGACTGGGCATCTGGATTTTTTGGATGACAAACACTTTACACTGTGGTGCTACATCAGCTCCACATCTGCCCTATCCAATGTGGGAGCCACTAGCCCTAACCATATGTGGTCGTTTAATTAAAATCAAATAAAGTTAAATGTTCAGTTACTTGGTTGTGCTAGCCGCATCCAAATGCTCCACAGACACGGCTCGTGGCTGCCCTATTGGATGAGCCCATGTAAACCATTCCGACCGCGGCTCAAAGTTCTACTGGATGGGGCTGCTTTAGAGCCACTGGAGAGGGCTGAGGAGCCCCAGAGAGAGAGCACAGGCCTCTGTTTCTGCCATGGGACTTCTTCTGGGCCAGTGGTCAGCAGAGTGGCTCCAGGGCCCAGGGAGTGAGTTCAAGTGGGGGTGGGGGTAGGAGAAAGATTTAGCCCAGATACCAGCCAATGAGTGTCAGGCTGCAGGACCAGAAAACCTTAGGCGAATGTCAAAGGTCTTTGGTGGTGGGGGGTAGCCACTGACAGGAGGTATGCCAGGAATGCTGAGGAGGGCCTGGGGGACAGCAGGGGCCAGGAGCTCTGCGGGGGGAGGGGCAGCTGTGCAGAACACAGTGGCAGTTCTGCAGCAGGCCTCTTGCTAGCTCTGTGTCCTTGGGGACGTCCCTGAGCCTGCTGAGCCTCCATTTCTTTGTGGGTGAAATGGGAAAAATAAGAAAGAGGGCTGTTATGGAGATGAAATAAAGCAAAACCTGTGAAAGCCCCTTGTAAATCGCAAAGGCCTGGACGGCGTTAGGGGCTACTTCATATGGCACTATTATTTATCTCAGCTTGTAATCCTAGACTGTCCTCAGTTATGATTTTAAGGTTCTGGGGTGTCCATCCTGTCTTTCTGATGGGGCTGTAGACCATTTAGAGAAGGAGACCAGCCATGTCCCTCCTGTATCCCCAACAGCCATGAACAGTGCTGGTGGCTGCCGCATGGGGAGCACACGTCTTTCTCTTTTCCTCCTGACCTGGTGGCCTTTCACCAGGCCATATTCCTGCCCCAAGAGTTGTTGAACACATTCCTTGTCCCTGACACATGTGTGCATCTGGCTGGGTCTGGTTGTCATTTGCTGAACCCATGGCCCATCGTGAGCCCCACCACATGAAAACAATTCGGGGGCAGAGGTCAAAAGCCAGAGCTGGGCTTTGCCAGGTCTCCCAGGGAGTGCGCCTGGCAGGAGGTAGCCCAGTGCCAGGCTGCATCAGGCGGCCCCTCCCCAGGCTGGGCCAGGCTCTCATCTGCATCCATGGTTGGGAGGTGGCATTTCTGGCTGACTTATTGATGATGGATTGTCTGCTACACTCTAGCCCTGGGTGGGTTCATTGCTTAGGTCTGGCTTTGGCTTTTCGTGAGGTCCACACCACAGACATGCAGAACACAGAGAGGAGTTTGAGCCCTGCCAGATAAACTTTTTCTGTCACAGAACTGCTGTGCTTTCCAGCAATATAGGCGGTGAAGAAAAGCCAAAGTAACCATTTGATGATTATCTCCTTGCCCCAACCCAGGTGCTATCTATCTATCTATCTATCTATCTATCTATCTATCTATCTATCTTTCCATTAAATCCTTTTAGCCCCATGTGTGAAGTGTTAATAATATCCCCATTTCACAGATGGGGAAACTGAGGCTGTGAACGGCTGAAAGGTTTCAGGGCCAGAACTAGAATTTGGACTCTAGTCTGCCTGATTTCAGGCTCAAAGCGTCCCTTTCAGAATGTCCTGAGGGCTCTTTTCTTCCCCTGCTGTCTTCACTCTGACCATGATGAGCTGCACCAGGCTTTCTAAATATCTGAAACGCTCTACGCCATCCCTGCTTTCTTTGTTTGGCCTCAGCGTGGTGATCTGGGCTTCCTCAGATTTGGGTTTAAGGCCAGGTTTTGCTGAGCTGTGTGACCTGTGTCCACCATGGACCTCCCCAGACCATGATGAGCTGCACCAGGCTTTCTAAGTATCTGAAATGCTCTAGGCCATCTCTGCTTTCTTTCTTTGGCCTCAACGTGGTGATCTGGGCTTCCTTAGATTTGGGTTTAAGGCCAGGTTTTGCTGAGCTGTGTGACCTGTGTCCACCACAGGTCCCCCCAGGTGCCCTCACTAGAGTGGGGGTGCCTGGCCAGCTTATTTGATGGAGGAGATAGAGGGCTAGAGTGCCACGTGCATGGCTTCCCCGGCTGGTTTGGAGGGCCCATGGGGACTGTGTACTGTGACTTTTCCAAGGAGACAATCACTGTTGTCTCCACACTGCCACCCCCCCACCCTCTGTAGAGCCCTGGATGGTGCCCCTTATGGTCCCAGGGCGTGTCCAGCAGAAGATATGAGAAAGGCCCCTGCCCCACTTGGGGCTTAGCTCTGCCCCTTTCTCTGGGCAGGGCCAGGGAGGTGACCCTTTTGTGTGGCACCCAGCACCAGAACCTGCTTCTCCACCTCCCCCAGCAGAGGAGTGCGACCTCCCAGCCCTCAGTGCAGCCTCCACATCCCCCGGCGGGCAAGTCTCTGCCTCCATGCTTCTGCTTGTGCTGTGCTCCCTGCCTGATGCTGGCCCACTTCTCCACCTGTCTAAAGCTATCCTTTCTGGAGGCTCCGAGCAATGCCACCTTGGTTTCTAAAGTCCTCTTTAATGACCTTAGTCCATATTGCCCATTCTGTTCTGTGCTGCTGGAGCACATTTGCGGTGGTGAAGGGGGTCTGTGGGGTCTTTATAAGGCATGGCCCCTTCTTAGTGAGCAATCCTCACAGGCCTTTTTCTGAGACTCCTCGTTTGACTCTGGCCCCTGCTTACCTCCCTCCCCTCTGAACTCCAGAACCCTCTGGAGGCCCTGCAGGGTAGAGGGGAAAGACTCTGAAGTTGGGCAGAAAGCCTGGGCTTGCCTCACAGCTCTGCCACTGCAGGCTGTGGGACTCTGCTCTTTGGCGTCATCATCTGTAGAATGCGGCTAATAATGGCAGAGCGAGGTGGATGAGGCCGCAGTGTGGGAAGCCCGGCGTCGCTGGGTAGAGCTCATGTGGATTTACTTCCTCTCCCAGAGAGTAACAGCATCTGATGCAGACCCAGGGAGACAGTAGGCACACGATAAATACTTCTTGACTTTTTTAATGCTTTCTTTTGTGATGTTTCTTTTAAAAGCAACCTAAGGCACTCTATGGCCTGGAGCAGAAGCATAGGGCTTGCTCAGCCTCTGAAGGGGCCTCTAACCGTCCCTTCCCTCCACCTCCCCCACACCCCTCTCCTGGCCTCTCCTTGCCCTCACCCTCATGCCGCCTGGGTGGCTGCACTGGCCTATAAATCAAACGGGTCCCTGGAGACCTTTGACCCAAACCAGATGGCTGTACTATGCCAGCACAGAGTAAGCTTAGCTTCCAACAATGCTTGGCCCCCCTCCCCCTGCCTGCCCTGGGGCTTGGAACATTTTTAGGCAGCTGCCCTGTCAATCACAAACACTTGGTGATCCCAGCCCGGGCAGCAGCTGGAGGCTGTGACCTCTCCAAGACTTCAGGGACCATCTTGGAGATATTCCATTAAGCCATATAAAGATCTCTGGAGGGTCTGTGGTGTCTACTTGTTATGGCACAGGCATTAACCTGGACCAATAGACCAAGCTGGCATTCCCTGTGCTGCTATCTCTCCCTCCTCCTCCTCCAAGAAGCTTTTCTGCACTACGGCAGCTGCTGGAGCTTCTATAGCTCAGAATGTCTGACCCCTCCAGATGCTCATTCATACCTTGTTCATTCTTTCTGCAAACATTTACTGTGCTTCATCTGCCTGGGCCCATGGGGAAGATCAGACACTGCCCTTGTGCCAGTAAGTCCGAAAGACAGCTATGGATACAGAATTGTAGGAATTGGTGATAGGGGTTGTAATTGAGCAGGAAGGCCAGGGCACTGTGGGAACTCAAGATGGATGCACTGCAGTGTCAGAATCCAGGACAGCTTTCCAGAGAGGAGTGCTTGAGCCGAGTCTTGGAGGATGGGTTGGCATTTGCCAAATAGATAGGGTGGCAGAAGGGTGCTTCAGATAGAAGGAATAGCATGTGGAAGGAAGGTACAGGCACAGGATGGGAACCAGCTTGATGGATTCAGGGACCTGCAAGTTGGACAGCATGCTGGAAGTACACCTAGGGGAGAAAATGAGGAGTTGGAACTGTATCAGTGAGAATTAGATCTGCTTGTTTGCAACCAAAAATGCCTAATACTATGGGCTTAAACAAGAATTTCTCTCTCATGGAAGAGAAGTCTGGAAGCAGGCAGTGCAAGGATGTTGTGGGGCTCCATGATCACTGCCCCAGGCTCCTTCTGCCTGCTGCTCCACCTTCCTACCTTGTGGCTTCCATTCCCATAGGTACCTCATTGTCTGGAATGGCTGCTAGAGCTTCAGCCATTGCACCCACATTCCAGGCAGCAGAATGGAAGAGCTAAAGGAGGGCACGTGACTCATCTTTTAAAAGATTTTTCTGAAATGCCTTACTATGCTTCTGTGCATAGCCCAATGGCCAGAACACTATCACATGACCACTTCTAGTGCAAGGAAGCTGAGAGATACAGTTCTGATCAGTAGGTGCTGCCTAGAGCACTGTTCTGCAAAGGATTCTGCAGCCCAATCTTACGTCTGTGGGAAAGAACACTGTGATCAATTAATGATGCCTCCCTTTGGTGTGGGTGTGGAGCCAATAGCATGTGTCTTGCTGGTCTTCTGCCAGAAGGTCCCCTCCCTAGGGATTCCCAAGGTTTGGTGCAGCTCCTGCAAACAGAGCTGGCACATGGCCAGCCATCCCCCAAAGCCCCAAAGCAGAGCGGAATTTAGGTGAAGGGTTTCTTGGTGCTCTGCAGTCTGATTTTATTTCTGATCTGCAGCCTCCTTAAGGCATCCATTGCCCTTCAGCAGGGCTTGAGTCTGCAGAATGGTCTGTGTGGTTGGAGCATGAATTAGGAGGAAAGAAGGAAATACAATGTCACTAATGTAGCTGCAGCCTCATCCCCTGGTGAGAGGTTTTCCAAAATGCAGTAATACAGAAAGAATTTAAGGGAAGTTCTGAGCCATTTTATTTTCACACCTGGAAATGCATTGTCTTTTGGTTTAATTTCACTCCTGCTGTGTGTCACAGCCCAGGGTTTCCTTAGCTGTGAAAGGGGGTAATACTACCTTCCTTGAAGGGTTTTTGAGAGGATCACATGAAATAAAAGAGGGCAAAGCAGGTGGGAGACACAGAGGGTAGCAATTAGGTGCAGAGTTTATGTTCAAACTGCCTGGGTTCCAGTCTTAGCTTTCCTGCTTGCTTGCTGTGTGATCCTGCATCTGTTAATTAACCTCTCTGTGCTTCAGTTTCCTTGCCTGTAAAATGGAGATGATGATAATAGTGCCCACCTTATGGGGCTGTTTTGAGGCCTGTACATATGACATATACATAAACATCTTAAGACCTGGCACACAGTGTGGACGTGTAAGTGGTAATGGCTCTTTGGCCATGGTACAGTATTTGGATCCAACAGGTCTGGGATAAGATCCAGGGTAAATTACTCTTCTAAGCCCCAGTTTCTTTATTTGAAACAAGGATAATGTGACTTGCCTTGCAGAGTGAGGATTACTGACAGAATAACTGTAAAGTCCTGACACATAGGACATACGCAATAAGTTAGAACTATGGTGAAGATTATAAAATGATACCGTGTCCCAGGCTCTGTTATCAGCACTTTATATGTGTCACCTCTTTTATCTCATAAGAACACTATAGAGGCAGGTGGTGTTAACATTCCTCTTGGGGAAACTGAGGCATAGAGGCTTGCCCAAGGTCACGTAGCTGGTAAGAAAGGAAGCTGAGAGTTGATCTCCTGGGTCAGCTGATCCAGAGCCTGTGCTATCCTGCTTGGGAACACTGATTCTGCAGAGGAGCAGGCCCTGCGTTTAAGAGCAGAGGGAAGGGGATAAAGGTGGCCCAGAGCTTCAGGGCCAGCTGCCTGGAAGATGACACGCGCACAGCACAGAGGACTAGGGCTTCTGAGCCTTCACAGCCAGATTTGCATGCAGGACCCCGACCCTTATTCAGGAGGATGAGCTCTCTGAGCCTATCTTGAAGGGGGCTGTCCTTCTGGGGCTGGCGTAGCAGGCAGTGTGCACAGTAGTATGGCTGCAGTAGGTTGACTGGCCGGAAGGAGACCTCTAGGAGGCCTGGAGCATGAGGCTGCAGAATTTAGACTTCCTGTAGGCAGTGGGAGCTGTGTGACAGTCTGACGGAGCATGATGAAAGCCAGGTGTTAGGAGGATTCTCCTTTAGTGAAGTGGTAGGAAGCACCAGGGGGCCTTGGACAGACAAAATTGAAGAAGGTGGAGGGAGGCAGGCCACATAGGGAGGTAACCCAGGAAGAGGGTCCCAGTATGGGGTAAAATGTCCAGCATGTGCTGGGGGAGCCCCCAGTTGTAGGGTCCCAGTGACGTCAGGCACTGTGGCAGCTGCTTTACATCCATGATCTCATTTGATCCTTAAATAGTCCTGGGAAGTGTGTGTGATGTACCCATTTTCCAGATGAGCAAACAGCCTCGGAAGGTCAAGTGGTGGCTTGAGGTTGCAAGGCCAGGGAGTGGCAGAGCTGGACCAGGGCCCAGGGCTGCATACCAAGCCACAGAGTCCTGCATTCCCCACGTGCCCACCAAGGCAAATGCGGGCAGGGCAGAGGAGGAATGGGAGGGGATGATGGCAATTGTCTCTAGTCGCCTGTGAGGAGTTGCTGCCGGATGCGTTCTGGCCTTGTCTGTGGTAGGGGTGGGGAGTGGTGAGATGCTTCTGTACTTTACAACCTTAAATGATAGACTTTTCTTTAGGAAACAAAAGTTTGGTTGGGCTCAGTGAGCAGGAAAATGGAAGTGACCCTTGAGCGGAGATTTAAAGCCCTGTTGGCCATTTAGGCAGCACTGTGTTTAACAGCTGAGACACAGCATCAGGGTGATAACTCCGCAGTGTGCTGTGGGGTGGGGAATGGCCCAAGGGGGTCTCTCTGCTCTCTGAGTTCCATCTGGTCCTGAAACTCCGTCCCCCAGGGCTCTCTTGGAAATGGACCCAGGAGCTACCCACACCTTCCCCTGGACTGCAGAAGCTGTTAGTGCTGGCTTCAAGGGAAGTTGTTGCCAGCGGTACACAGGGACACAGAAAAGGGCGCACAGTTAAATGTACTGCGTACATCCATGCTACAAAGAATAATGCTGGAAGGTATATTCCAAACAGGCTATTGACGATTACTTCTAGGTGGCAGGATAAGACGTGAATTTTCCTGCGTCTTTGCGCTTTTATGTACTTCCAAATCAACACATACAAAAGGATATAACTGTGAAAATTCTAAAGTGCCTCTATCCCCACTTCCTAGCAGACTCTTGGGGTGCCCCCACCACATCCTCTCAGCTCAACTGGTTAGGTACTGCTGTGGGCATCAGTCAGTTTTGCTTTCTCCTAAGCTGCAGGTAGCCACTCAGCCGGATGCAGGCAGCACCGGGATGTGCAGGGGAGTTAACACCCTTGGGGATACCCCTCAATGACTCGGAGACAGGAGTCCATGGTTAAGTGCCCCCAGCTCCCCAGCCTCCAGGGAGACAGTTCTGAGGTCCATCCTACATAGATGCTCAGAGCATCCTAGTGAATGAGCCCAGGATGCCCACAGCAGTATGCAGCTCATTCACACATTCTCTCTACTCTTCCTCCCTTCCCTGTCTCACTTTCTCCGTCTCTCATTTTCATCTCCTGAGATCCTCCCACAAAGCTATCTGCACCCACATCTTTGTCTCAGGAACCCAAACCAAGGCCCAATCTGACCAATTTCTCATAGAGCTCCACAGATATATTCTAGGCATATATAAGCACATCTGTGTCCATATCCAAACACTGATATATACACTTTCTTTTTCACAGAGTACAAACGGGGCCACACTGAACTTACCAGTGTGCAACTCGCTTCCTTCATGATTGAATGAAACATTGCAGGAGGAATTTCAGGCCAAGGAGCCCTTCCTGGCAGCGTCAATCCTGCTTAGGGGGTCATCCCCATCCTCCAAGTTTGGGACCAACCCAAGCCAGAGGCTACTGGTCCTTAAGGAAGGGGTGTGTGTGACAAGTTTTTGCTCTCTTCAGGTGGACGAGGGTCCAAACACTGGCTGACCTTTCCCCATCTGCACCGGGAGGCCAGACCAGGATGGGGATTTGCAGCCACAAAGATTGGCCAAAACGGTTCCAGCCCATACGTCCAGCAGGAGTAGAACAGTGCAGTAAGGACCCCAGGTGCCCACAGACCTCAGAAAGGATACACAGGACACAGAGGAGTCAGGGAGTGAAAGGAGGGCTGTGCAGAGGAGGTAACACTCTGAGTCCTGAAATCTGGGTATTTGCCTAGTGGAGTAGAGCCTGGAGGAGAAGGAGGGGCCTAGCAGGAAGGCAAGGCAGGCCAGAGGCCAGCTTGAACAAAGGTGGAGGGAGGAGATGAGTGTGGGGCAGGTAAGACAGTGAGCAGAGGTGGTGTTTTCAACGTCTTGGCCTGTAGTTTTCCTGAATGGCAATGAAGCATTTTATCAGATTTTCGCAGCCAGGCCTGTGCCAGCAGCCTCAGGGTTGGGAACCAGATGAGATGATGGACACATTTGGACAGAACCTCTTACCTTATTCTTTGGGGAAATTTGTCAAAAGCCAGTTATCTTTGCAAAACCAATTTTCAGGGATTTCACAGAAATCATTTCACAATTTTTGGGTGTTGACAGCTCTGCCATTAATCAGCTAGGGTGACCTTGGGAAAGTCACTCTAGGTCCTGCTTTAGAATTGCTTTTTTTGTTGTTTTGAAAGCAGCTGATAAAATCTTGCAGTGGGGTGGGGAGATCTAGGAACACTTGTCTTGGTTGGTGTTGGCCACTCCCTCCCTCCCCCGTCCCTTGTGTTTTTGCTCCTGCCTCCCTTACAGACCACTTATAAATGAGGGGAAATGCTAAGCAGAACAATTCTTTCTCATCCCCTCTTCTCTCCCTCTCTTCTCCTGCTTCCCAGTTTGGGAATGTATTAATATGTTGGTGTTAGCCCAGAATTTAAACTCCCAATTCTACCACCATGTGTCCATGAGAAAGTCCATTTTTAAATTAACTGAATCTGCACATATTAATTGAGTACCTACTACATGCCAAGCACTATTCCAGGCACTGAGGACACAAAACAGCAGGGACAAAACGGACAAAAGTCTCTGTCCTCATGAAGCTTATATTTTAGTAGGTGGAGACAGAAAATCAGTCAGTAAATGAACAGTAAAGTGTTAGCTAATGATAAGTACGGTGGAGAAAAATAAAATAGGAAAGGAGCTGGAGTGTGTTGGAGGAGGCTGGGGCTTGCAATTTTAAATAAGATGGTTGAGAAACTCGTGGAGAAAGTGATATTTAAGCAAAAAAAACTTGAAAGAGGGGAGGGAGTGAGCTATGTGGGTATCTCTGGGGAGGGTTATCCAGGCAGCAGAAACAGCATGTACAAAGGCTCTGTGGTACATGTGTTAGAACCCAAGAGCAAGGGAGAGAGGAGCAGGGCCTGAGACCAGAGCGAAACCGGGCACAGAGGTTAGCCGATCAAGGATGATGTTTGGCTTTTTCTCTGAGTGAGACGGGGAGTCACTACAGACTTTTGAGAAGAAGGGTGGCATGATTTGCCTAGGTTTTAAAAGGATCACTTTAACTGCAATCTTGAAAATAGACCGTAGAGGGGCCAGGGCAGAAGTAAGGAGGCCAGCTAGGAAGGAGGCTATTTCAATTAAGGTAAGAGATGCTGGTGGCTTGGCTCGGGATGGCAGCAGTGAAGATGGTGAGAAGTAGTTGGATGCTGGATTTATTTTGAAAGTGAAGCCAACATAATTTGCTGTAAAGGATAAGAAAAGAGTCAAGGATAACTCCATGGTTTTGGGCCCAAGTGACTGGAAGGATGGAGGGGCCATTCACCAAGATGGGCAAGACTGTGGGTTGGGGAGTGGCCAGCAGGGGCTCAGATTTGGACATGCTATGGTTGAGATGCCCATCGGACATCCATGAGGAGGTTCTGTGTGGACAGAGGTCAAGCATACAGATTTTTAAAATAGCCATGATGTAGCATGAAATCCCCTGGCGAAGGAGGGTGGCTACTGAAGAGAAGAGGTCCCAGCACCAAGCCCTTGGGCACTGTAATGCTTAGAAACCAAGGCTCAGTTTCTGCTTCTGTAAAGTAGGGATAAAAGCCATAACCACCTCGTGAGCATTGTCATGGAGATTAGTGAGACAGTCCATGTAATAAAGTGCATACAGTAAGAGTACCAAAAACATGAGTTTCTATTAATGACAGAAATTATTGTTTCAACAAGCATGATGCTGTCTACTTATAAGTGCTTTTCAACTTTTGAATCTGTTTTCTATTATTTTTGACCGTCAAAACTGTCCTGAGCAATAAGGCAGGACATAATCCTTCCCATCTGACAAGTGAGAACCCTGAGTTCAGAGAGTGTAAGGGAAGTGCCCAGATCTCCACCACATGTTGGTGACAGAGCCAGGGCTGTCATGGAAACCCCAGACTCCTGCTCCTCTGATCTCTCTGCCACAGCCTGTAAATGCTGACAAATGACTTAATTAAAGTAGTGCAGGTGCTGTTTGCCAGCAGTAATGTGGACGCTGACTTCGCTCAGGATAGCCCAATGGCACTGCCCACTACAGGTGGTACCAGGGGCCCGGGTTCATGCTAAAAATGGCCAGGGAACACAGGCTGCAACCTACAGAGGTGGTGACAGGGCAGAGAGACTTCCTTTTGTCAGACAGTTTCCTTTTGGAAGGCAGATGAGCAGGTAGAGCTCATTCCCTACCAGCTCCCTTCAGCAAAGCCTGTGTCTCTGGAGCCTGCTCAGCCCAGATGCTGCTTTTCTCAGTAGTCAGTGTAACATGGAACACAGCAGGGAGCAAACTCTGGAGGAAGCTATGAACCCAGAGCTGGCAGCATGGGGACAGGCAAGGTCTGGATTTGTGGGAAGCAGAATGTCAGTTTTGAATCAGACGGAGCTAGGTTCAAATCTCAGCTTCCTTTATCCCGAGCTGGGAGACCTGGTGCAAGTCATTTCACCCCTCTGAGCTTTGGCTTTCTCTTCTGCAAGATGGGAGGGTAATCCTTGCTTCTCAGCATTGTTTAAGGATTAGACATAACAATGTAGAGTGAGGGCACAAACAAGGCCTGCTAAATAGTAGATATTATTATTAGCATTAGCATTAGCATATTAGCAAAAGACTTCCAGGGTGAAATCAAACTACATTCAACCAAAGCCCTTCTCCTTCACTAACCATATCTACCATTCTCGACTATCAACAAATGATCAGTCAAGAAGCATTCATTAGAGCCGACTACACATAAGGCTTTGTTGTTGATACAACTAATACCTCCATGTGCCCCTGTGCACCAGGAGTGGGCCTTGAGGCTGGGATGGAACTGGACTCTGCCAGAATAACTCTGGGCAGCTGGGGCCTGCTCAGGCAGCTACCACCTTTGCCCAGACACCCCTTCCTGTACTGCCCTACCAGCTGGCCCTTTAGAGGCTTGACTGGCATGGGGGCTCAGGCTCTTGCTGTGGGGTTTACTGCTGCTGAGGCCGGGTGAGCAGCCTGGGCACTGTCCCAAGGCAGGGAACGAGGAGGCAACATTCCCTGCACGGGAAGGGAACCTTCCTATATGGCAGTGCACGCTCACTGTCTTGTCAACTTCCTCACACCTGTGCTGCTGCAAGGAGGGACTGCTCTCCCATTTTACGAGGCTCAGAGGGGTGAAGTGACATGCCCAAGACCACGCAGCTGTTTCCAGGCTAGTCTGATGCTTGGGCTCTGCTCTTTTTCTTCTGCCTGCTTTCTCCCTCCCCAGGCCTTGCTCAGAGGAGGCTGTAGTCACACCATGGTTGCTGGCCTGCAGTACAGGCTTCAGGGTGGCTCTGGGAAGGGGGTGGCAGTGGGGCTGAGACCGCATGACAGGAAAAGGTGTCAGGAGCCCTATACCTGGATGGGATGGGAAGAGGTGGTGGAAGATGGGGCAGCTGCAGGGATGTGGGAACATTTGCAGAGGGAGTGCAGGGAGACGAAATGGTTCTCTTTCATAAGAGAGTCTGTAGAGAAAAAAATCAAAGCTTCTTGGAACTTAAACCTAAAAATGCCAGCTGAATATGATGACAACAACAATAATAAAATATCTAGTAATGCCATACATTGCAGTAAGCACTTTTCATATTGTCAATCTTCCCAGGAAATCTGCAGAGTAGACCTTAGTTTCTTTTGCACTTGATGGCTCAGAGGGGTCACATAACTTTCCCAAGGTCACCCAACTAATAAGTGACAGAGCCAGGATCCAAACCTGGGTCTGTCTCATTCCAAAACCTTACTCATTCTGCCATACCGAGGTGTAATGCATCACAGTGTTTGAGCTTAGGTGACATAGAGGAGGCCCAGAGAGGTTAAGCTGGGCTTGAGACCCATGGTGGATTAGTCACAGCCAGTGAAGCTTCCGGTTCTCCAGAGCCACCTTCCCACCCTGCGGCGCTGCAGAAGGGCCATGCCGGCTGCCAAGGCTCAGCTGTGCTTCTCTCCCATCATCCCACATGCATATTAATCACACACATAGACTCTAATGAGCAGTTCAACCTCTGCAGCAGGCTCAGACCAGAAGCCAGGGGTCCTCACCAGCTGGGCATGAAGAGCCCTGTGCCCACTCCTCCAGCCCTCCAGAGCCTGAGCCGTGCCTTGCTGAACTCCAGCCTGAGCCATGCCTTGGCCCCCTCTTCTAATACCACACAGGTCTCCCATGTGACCTTGTTCTGGTCACTGCTGTGTTCTGAGCCTCTGTTTCCACCTCTGGGAAGTGGAGGCTAGCAGCACCAGCCCCATGAGATGTCTGTAAAAAAAAAGCCAGGCAGGTCCCGGCAGGCAAATTCCCAGCTGGCCTGGCCAGGTTCCCTGTAGTTGTTGGCAGCCAGGCGTGCTTGCTGTATCTCTACAGCAAGCGGTTTGCAGCAGCCTTGCTGCCTGAGGTCGGCTGGGGCTCAGTGGTCTGCCCTGAGGCTGACACTGCGTATGTCCACCTTCTCTTCCTCCTCCAGCTCCCACAGCTCCCAGTCTCCTCCCGCCATGGCCCTTCTCATCTGACTGTGAGCCTGGTTGGTCTGTGTACCTCTGGCCTCCAGCACTGGGCCGGCTCAGAGCAGGTGCATGGGAACTTGGTGAATGAATGAGTCATTGCATTTGTGCCTGGCTGTTTCCAGATTTGCACTGGCTGCCATGGGACATCCAGGGGAGAGTCTCTGCTCCTGCCCTCTCCAGGTGACCACGGGGAGATGAGGCAGTTCCTTATCTCTGTCAGTTGCCTCGGAGGGAGCTGAGCTAGACAGCTGTTGCATGCACTCTTGTGCCCTGAACTCGGAGAATGGCTGGTGAGAGACTCAGGGAAGGCCTCTTAGAGGAGGCAATTTTTTAATGACGACCTGAAGAGAACATGGGTTGGATATTGTGTTTACTCCTGGGCCTTTTTTTAACCACCCCCAAAAGTCGTGTAACAAAATGCTCTCAAGTGGAAACCACGTTATTGCACCCTGAGGAGGAAGCTGATTGCCTGCTAGACTGAGATGCTGGCTTATTTCTTGGCCTGAAGGTTCTCCCTTGTGCCCTGCCCGCCCCCCGCCCCCCGCCCCTTTGCCCCCCTGGGAGCAGCCCTCAATCACTGTCTGGAGGGTTGGTGTACACATTCTCCAGCCCCCTCACCCTATCCCTTGTGTTGGCTCACCCTGTAGCTGGCTGAGGACAAGCCTCTCCTGCCTGTGCTTCCCTTGTCTCCGAGACCTCATCCATTTTCTCAGTGGCTGCACTGCTCCTCCCAGAGAACATGGGAGATTTAGAAGTACCTCAGAGACCACTAGGGATGCATTGTATCATATGAGAGAAAAGGCTCCACTGGCTGGCGGTGTATTCTGCTGCCAAACGGGGCGTGTCTCGTCGGTCCCTATTTGAGTTAGAGGTGGGGAAGAGGCCGAGGCAGGCCAGGGGTAGGGGTGAAGACCGCTTCAGCCACCGTGCAGAAAGGTGCCTGCGTCCTAGGTGTGCGGGTGATGCCGCAGCCCTCCGCAGTCCCCGGAGAGTTGCTGTGCTGCCGAGACTGCGGAGAGCATGTTCAGGAAGGGATTTCCGGGCTACTGCGAGGCGGAAAATTTGAGACTATAAGCTCCTCAACAGCTGTGTCCTCTGTATTGTTTGGGTCGCTGCCTGGAGCACCATGGCTACGGAATGAATACAAATGCATAATGGAAGAGGCTGTCCTGGGGCGCAGAACAGACTTATTCATTCCCCACTCACCCACCTGCTCCCTTCCCGGCTCCCCTGAGACTTTGCTGGGACTTGGTGTTGTCAAAAGTCATATAAATCCTAATGTCATCTGGCTCTGTTGTCCCCCACTGCCCCAGACATCAGGCAGAAGAAGGGAGTTTTTACTTTTCTCTGTGAGAAGGATGGATGAGGAGGGCCTGTGCCCACCCAAACTTCCTGGGAAGCTGCCAGGACCTGGACCCCTTGTGTCCTGTCCCCTCGGAACATTCTGGAAAATCTATCCCAGTGCTTTCTGCTTATGAAGCTGGGCCTGAGGCTAACCAGGGTGGAGCTGGCACTGTGGGCAGAGGTACTGTCCCAGGATGAGGGAGGCCCAGGGAGGAGATGTGGCAGAGATTATTGGAGATCTTGGATCCAGACTCAATGGAGAGCCAGGAGACTCCTGAGAGCAAGTCTGGATTGGGGCCCAAGGCCTAGATTTGGGCAAGAAGAGCACAGGTCTTCCTCATCCATCCTTCTTACAGCTAAAAGTAAAAACTCCCTTCTTCTGCCTGATGTCTGGGGCCATGGGGGACAACAGAGCCAGATGATATTAGGGTTTATATGACTTTTGACAACACCAAGTCCCAGAAAACTCTCAGGGAAGCCAGGAAGGGACCAGTTGGGTGAGTGGGGAAGAGCAGAGGTAGGAATAACGCCTGAGACAGAAGAACCAGAGGTACCTTCTGCCTCAGTCAGAAGCCTTTTATATGCTTCCTTGTAGAAGAGGAGCCAAACCTAGAATGCGACAACCACCCAGGGCCCCAGGGGGAAACAGCTAAATAGTTGAATAAGATGGCACATGAGTTTAGTGACCAAAGGAGGTACATGACTTGTTAGACACTTGGGACCTCCTAAAACACAGGTTGTAGTAGGACCCTCACCTCCCATCATCTGGACCTTATACTTCTTTTGATGCAGCCTCTGTTAGTCTTAGCTAATTGAACAGCCAGCTCATATTGACCAGTCTCAGAGAACTTGTGACTTTCTTTCATGGAACATATTGCCAGGACAGCTCTCCCTGTCCTGCCAGCTGGATTGATTTCCAAGGCCTAAAAACAGGACTTTACAGGAATCCCTAATGGGTTCCATCTAACTGCACTATGCCAGATTTCCTAGAGTATGGAGACCATTTGGGTTTCTAATTCCATACTCTTTGTGCTGTCTCTCTTTTTCCAGCATGTGCTGCTCACGCATTTGGTAACATCATAGTAAACATATTACAGTATATAGCATCCTACATTAAACATAATGGACATGTAACTGTGATCCAAGTTGCACGTGACTTCTTGACATAATGCTTTTTTTTGGTAGATGTTTAATTAAAACATATTAATTTTAACTTTATGATTTTCTTTCAGTAGTTTTTGAACCAATAAATTCACCATATGTCTCAAACATTTTTTAAGGCCCTTGAAAAACACATAGTCCAGAGCCCTGTGCCTGGAATGAGTGCCCCATGGTTGAAATGGGCCCATTGCCTTCTCCCTGGCATCCTGGTCAGCTGAATGAGCATCCCAGCCAAACTTCCTGTCTCTGATTTCCTTGTCCTCAATCTATTGTCTTTGTGCATGGCTTCTAAATTCATCACCCTGAAATACCCGTTCTTTCCATTTTCACCCTTTCTTGACAGTCTGTGATGGTGACTAGAATCAGGCCATGCCACTCAGCCTGCATGGGGACTCTCCATCAGCAGCTCCCAGCCGCCATGTGACCCAATGTCCCTCTGCCCTTACATAGGCCATTGCTGTAGTCTGGCCAGGGCCTTTGTTGGCCCTTGGACCCGCCATGTTGATTCCTTCATTTCCCCCATTGTTCCTGCTCTTACCTAGACTGAGAATGGGAAGAGCTTCACTAGACCCAGGGATGGTATTTCAACCAAGGCTTTCAAACTACAGAAACTGTTTCTGAGACTGCCCATGTTTTTCTCCAGATTCACACATTTCCCATATTCTGTTTTTGTTTGTTTGTTTGTTTTTTGGTTTTTTTTGAGACAGGGTTTACCCAAGTTGGCCAAGCTGGTCTTGAACTCCTGACCTCAGGTGATCCACCCGCCTCAGCCTCCTGAAGTGCTGGGATTACAGGCATGAGCCACCGTGCTTAGCCACACATTTCCCATATTCTTGATCCTCTCTGAGAACTATCTCCTAATACCTCTTCACTTTGACTTTCTGCTTGTCTCTCACAGAGGAGAGAGACTGGCCTCCCTCCTGTTCAGTGAGGAGGAATGGTCTCTGGGATCTGCAGGTAGCTATATTTGGGAGGCAGGACCTGACAGGGAACTGAGATGTGGCTGGTCCCACAGAGCAAAAGGTCAGTGAGCCTCTGATTGGCTGGCAGATTGATAATATTTAATAATAGAAATAATTTTAAAAGAAAGTGTAATTACCAATAATAAGAAAATTACTGATAATAATAGTGACCCTTTAATGAATAGCCATTGTATTGGAGTTCCTAGTCTGAGCAGTTTACATACATTACCTTACTTAATTCCCGCAGTATTTACATGAAACAAAAACAGGCTCAGAGCAAATGCCAGAGACATCTAAGGTCACATGGGCTGGGAGGACAGCTCAGGCCTGTCTGGTTCTCAAATCCATGCCCTTTCTTCTTCACCAAACCATTTTTTTACTAACCAGCAACTATTTGCCAGTTTGTAGAGAAATGCAGTGTTCCACTGATCCATCTAGTCCTTCACCGGTACCAAGTGGTTTTAATTACTGCAATGCTATGGTTAAAAATCTGTTTTAATAGCTGATAGGACCACTCCCACCTTACTCCTCTTTGTTTTAGATGTTTCTGTTTCGTCTTTTGTGTTTGTTTTTTTGAAGAATTTTAGTTAATTATTTTAGTATGGTCCCCACAAATCCTGTTGGTATTTTGATTGAGATTATATGGCATTTATAGATTATTTTAATGGATAAATGATATTTTTAAATTGTTGGGTATGCCAATCCAAACATAAATGTCTTTCCATTTATTCAGCTTTTGTTATATCTTTTAGTATATTTAATTTTTTTCTTACAAGTCTTACATAATTCTTGTCACGTTTATCCCTAAGTATTTAGGGATATAAAATTGTTTTTATTATGAAAGAAGCCTATCTTTCATTGTATTTCCTAACTTGCTATTTGTCTAGAAGGAAGCTGATGATTTTTTGTTACCAATTTTGTAATTATCTGCCTCACTGAATTCTAAGTTCCTCTAGTAGATTCTCTTTTGATTCTCTAGGGTATTCTAGGTATACCATCAAATCTTCTGCAGATAATGACAATTTTGCCTTCTTTTTCTATATAATTATTTGGCTAATACATCTAGAACAGTGAAAGGTAATAGTGGTGTTGGTGGGTGTCTTAGTTCATTTTCTGCTGCTAGAATAGAATTCCAAAGACTGGGTAATTTATAAAGACAGAAGTTTATTTGTCTCACAGTTCTGGAGGTTGGGAAGTCCAAGAGCATGGCATTGGCATCCGGCGAGGGTCATCCCATGGTAGAAGGTGGAAGCGAGCACATGAAAAAGAGACCAGATGGGGCCAGACATCCTTTTATCAGGAGGCCCCTCCCAAGATACTAACCCACTCCTATAGTAACAGCATTAACATATTTCTGAGCATGGACCCCTCAGGACTTCTTACCTCTTAAAGGTCCCATCTCTTAATACTGTTACAATGGCAATTAAATATCGACATGAGTTTTAGTGGGACATTTAAACCATAGTAATGGGATAATATGACTTTTTTTTTTTTTTTTTGAGACGGAGTTTCGCTCTGTCGCCCAGGCTGGAGTGCAGTGGCGCGATCTCGACTCACTGCAAGCTCTGCCTCCTGGGTTCACGCCATTCTCCTGCCTCAGCCTCCCGTGTAGCTGGGACTACAGGCGCATGCCACCATGCCCGGCTAATTTTTGTGATAATATGACTTTTAATGACTAAATAATATGTCACCATTTTGTTATACCATAATCCAATTAATGTCCTTTATTTTGTATGTATAGATTGCTTATAAGTAATATTGCAAGGAATGCTCTTATTTATACATTTACCACCCATGTTATTTATATCCATGTGGTAGATTGTTAGGAGTAAAAATGATGAGTCAAGGAATAAAACTGTTTTTGACATTGCTGATGCTGAATGCCATCTGATTTCTCAGAAAAGATTTCTTTGTTAACCAAAGTGTATACTTCAAAGCTTCAGATGTTGGTTAGTGCCTTGCAGAATCTTAGGATAGTGAGGGGATTTCCTTAGAAGGGAATTTTTGTGGTGTGAGCTTGTACGTTAGTCTTGTTGGGAAGGTGTTTTATTGTGAGCTTAGATTTAGATAAGAACAAGACATCGTGGCACCAGAATGTGCTGGTACTGAGGCCATCCCCCCTAACCTGAGGTCAGTCAAACAGAGCCTCTGTTTACTTCTTTCTGAGAATCCCCTTCCATTAGGGACTGTTATAAACCATGCAACCATCAGACACATGCCCTAGTATGGTCTTGACTGGTCTTGTCCAAGCCCAAAAAGCCACAGTTTTGTGATAGTGGCTGTCATCAGCCATACAGCAGCCATGTGGCCTCTTCCTCTGGCTCCCCATGGCTCTGCCCTCTGTGCTGACTTTGCACAAGTGTCTCACTCTCACTCATTCTCTCTCATTGTTCTCTGGTGGTCAACCCAACTGCCCTGTAGTGAGCTGCTGGGCTGTGCCCTATTCTTCCCTGGCAGCTCTTATCTTCTCTTGCAGAAAATAGACAGAAGTGTTATGAGTTGATTGTGTCCCCCACAAATTCATATGTTGATGTCCTAACCCCAGCACCTCAGAAAGTGACCTCATTGGGAAATGAGGTCATTGCAGATGTAATAAGTTAAGATGAGGTCATCAGGGTGGGCCTGAATCTGCTGTGACTGGTATCCTTATGGAAAGGGGAAATTTGGACATAGACATGCACACAAGAAGAACGCCCTGTGAGCATGAATGCAGAGACCAGGGAGATACATCTATAAGCCAAGGAAAGTCAAAGATTGCCGGTAAACCACCGGAAGCTAGGGGAGAAGCATGCATGGAACAGATTCTCTCTCACACTCCTCAGAAGAAACCAACCCTGTAGACACCTTGATCTTGGGCTTCCAGCCTCCAGAACTGTGAGGCAATAAATTTCTGTGAAGTTACACAGTCCATGGCACTTTGTTACGGCAGCCCCAGGAAACTGATACACAGGGTTAGGGTGCATCTTCTCAGCCAGTGTGAAGCAAAGGTTCTTCACTGCTGAGGAATGACTTGTCATGGTGGCTTGAACAGGTGAGGCCAAGGGTGGAGAGGCGGCAGGAGGGGAGAGGAGAGAGAGCCTGTGGAGTGGGTACCCTGAGTCCTGGGGTGTGGTAGCCCTCGGTATGGGCAGGGGCCTAGGGAGAGAAGGGAGGGTGCCCTGGTACCCACATTGTAGCCCTCTGGTGAATGCTTGTTTTATAAACTCAACAAAGGGTCCCTGTGAAGTGGTTGGAGGCCCCTTTTCCAGTGCCCAAGACAGATAGCTGCCCCTCTGGTAGCGGGGATGCATGATGGCCAAGAAGGGAATGGAAACTCCCAGACAGCAGAGGGCTGGGTCCCCCTGACACCTGCAGCTCTGTGAGTATGGAAGGATGTGGTACGAGTTGTCATGGGTGAATGGCACTGGCCCAAAAAATGCCACCTGGACCTTCTGAGGCTGGCAGTGAAGGAGCCCCCCGAGGAGAATGGTGGGTGGAGCTTAGAGCCCAACTCTTGTCCCCTTGGACACTGCCACAGCTCTCACCAGGTTGACACTGCCATGCTTTAGTGACCTGGCCAGAGTGATCTGAGGGCCCACGCTTTGCACCTCCCCTCAGCATCGCACTAAGGCTGGGAGGTCAGGAGAGACAGACCTGGCAGGACCAGGGGCTGGGAACCTTCTTTCCATGATAGCACTTTTGTCTTCAGCCTGGGGACACCTGCCAGGTGGCCCCTGCCCACCTCCTCGCTCTGCAGCTGGGGCAGAGACTTAGGAGTCCAGCTACCAGGGGGAGAGCCCAGCTCTGCCCCAAGCTAGTTCTGGAACCATGACTGAGTTACTCAACCTCTTCAAGCCTCTGTCTTCCCATCTGTAAAATGGAGACAATAATCCCCGCCTCGCAAAGTTCTCCTAAGGATTAAATAATAGAATGGGTATAAACTGCCCAGGACGGTGCTGGCACACAGTGGTGATCACCATCAGATGGCTCTTATTATTACCTGTGTAATATTCCCCAAATCATGGACACCTAAATTCTTTCCCACGTATTAATGTTTTTACCTTCCCTTAAGCTAAACAACTGACAGCACACTAAATAGAAGATGCACCGATAACGTGTTGCACATCTTAAACTAGTCATAATAGGTTCTGCACTATTCGTTTCCACGCACCAGCCCTTGCTCACTGGAGACTTGTAGGTTTCCCTGAAGCATTTAGAGAGATGCTTGTAAAGTCATCATGCTTCCCTGAAGGCAGTACTCCTTCTCAAGGGCCCTTTCCTCCAGGAATGCTCCTCTAGCCCCACATTTCGTGCCTTTCCAGTTGTGCAGTGGATTCTCACATAAATCACCAAAAGTTCTAATAGTTTGTTTATTCATGCTTTCATTGATTCATTCATTCCTTCATCTAAGACTAGGAATTACTCAAGCAATAAAGGTGTATCCAGGCAGAAAGAGCAAGAAATCGGAGTTATGAGAGGGCTCGGGGTCTGGGGCAGCTCAGTGTGGATAGAGCTGGAGTGAAGGGTGTAGTCACTTAGTAACTGAGTAATATATACAGAGCAGGTACTGTGGCCAGGCCCTGTGCTAGGTACTGAAGATAAGGCAGCGAACAGGCAGCCAGGGATCCTACCCCATGGAACGTACAACTTAGCAAGGAAAACATACAACCGATTACAGAAATTAGCCTGTGGTTACTAGTGTGCAGGGTGGCATGTCGGGAAGGTAGATGGTCCTGGGAGAGTGTATGAGTGGGGCCTGGTCTGTCTTGAGAGCCAGAGAAGGCCAATCTAAGGAACCTCTAAGCTTAGAGGAGGAATTAACAAGTGAGGTGCCTGTTTGGGGGTGAGGGATGAAGAAAAAGGTATTCTAGGCAGCAGCAGCAGCATGTGCAAAGGCCCTGTGGCAAGAGGGAGGCTGGCACAATTTAAGAACTCAGGTGGCAGGTGACATGCAGGGAGCATGGCAGGAAAAAAAGCTGGAGAGGCAGGCAGGGTCTCACAGAGGATAAAGGAACCAAGCAGGAACAGAAACTTTGTATATATGAAAATTTTCAGTAAGGATAAGTTGGGGTGTGGGCAAAATTGCAGACTTACTAACAGGTAAGTGGCCCCTTTGAGATGCCTGGAGGTCAATGCGGTTGCTCAAAGAAAGCATGGCCAAGAGAACACTGCCTGGCAGAACTCCTCAAGCCCTAGGGCAGCCAAGCCTGCCCATGAGGAAGAGGCCACATCTCTGCCTCTACCTCACACTTGGACTCCAGGACTCCCCTCTATTCCCAGACCCTAAAAGAGGATTTCCTGCAGCCCAAACCAGATACGGTCACTTACAAAAAAAGGAATGGCTCCCAAGTGGCCGCGCCTGTCCTGGGTGCTGCATAAAGCTGTTTGATGTCTCTGTTTTCCCAATACCTGATTGTTAACAACAGGGCTTTAGGAATCCCAGTGGCAAAGGGGCAGCCTCTGAAGACAGCAGCCTACACTGGCCTGGAGCCATGTCCCCCTCTGAGCTGGCTCCATTTGCAGACCTAGCATGCCCTTTCAAGGCACAATTAATTCTAAAGCAGGAGCTGATAACAGTGAACCCTGGGGTAGGCCACATCCCCCAAGGCAAGTCAACTAGGACTTGTTACTGAGCTACTCCAGGTCAGGCACAGTGTGGACACAGAGGGGCCCCACGACAGGGAGCAAAGAGCTTCCCATCCAGCTCACTCATCAACCCAAGGAAATGGCAGCATCGGAACAGCACACACTTTTGGTGCCCTCAGCTGTACACAATCCTGACCCTGAAAATGAATGGAAAAGACTCAGTTGGTGCCTGGGAAGGAATCAGCTTCTGTCCTGAAGTATATTAAAGAAAGGTCTTCTCAGGTGCTACTTGCTTGCAGTTCATTTATACCTCCCTGGTTACCTGCCTCCCATTCCCTCCGCACAACAAACCACAAATGAGAATGTAGGGTAGGTAAGGCCAGAGACAGGCACACCAGCCGCAACCCTCCAACAGCGAACTGCCTACCCACATGAGGGACACAGAACAGCCACAGCAAACAAGAACTCTTAAAGTGCAGCTGTCCGGAGCCATTCAGCAAAGGGGCATGAGGCCCAGCCCTCAGGAGCCAGGCAGAGCAAGGTTGTAGTACCAAAAATGACCTTTTTTTTTTTTTTCCTTCTAATTCTGAATCCTCCAGAATGGATTCAGTTATGTTTAGGGTGATTAGTTCAAGATCAGGGAATAATGAGTCTTAGAAAAATTCCCACCCAAAGAGATCATGCTCAAAGTAGGTTCGTCACTTAAAAGGACCATTGATCCGACAAATTCACTCATGTTGAGAAAGCTTTCCCCAACAGTTTCCAATAAATGAGGTGTCAGTGAAATGATCTCAGCAGTGAAATAAATAATACCAGCATTAAACTATAAAGCAGCCCCTAGAAGGGTGTGATTATCTAGTGAGGGGTACAGACAAGGAGTGCCTGCAGGTCCCTGCGGGTGCAGAATGACAGAGGGACTGGGCCGAGAGGAGGACCTTGTGCAGCATTGAAATGGGGCAGGAATGGGCTGGAGGGAGAGGGCAGGGGAAAAGCACTCCAGGCAGTGGGAGTGGCAGGAGCAAAGGCAAGGGGCTGGAATGTGCTTCATTTCTTGGGGAAGGGGAAGAAAGTACATGAGACTGGCAAGAGGGAAGTTTGTGGGTAGATTCCTTGAGGAGAGCCTGCTGGGGCCAGACTGTGACCTGGACACGCTGCAGACACCTCCCAGGTGGCTGCCACTGACCAGCCACAGAAGCTTCTTTGAGGGCCTCCCAGACACACCCCCAAGGATCTCCTCTGCATGGCAGATGGCTGGGGTTGTTTTTGGCAGCTTAGATTCTGGAAGTCTGTGGGAGGAGATGGCCAGGCGGGAATGAAAGGCTGCCAGACCTCGTGACCTGCACACAGGTGGCCGGTGTCAGGCAGGCAGTGGTGTCTGCAGACTTTGCTGCCCAGACCTGGGCAGGGCCTGCCAGGGCGTCCTGGGAGCCAGCACAGGCTGCGCGGCCGGCCCATCACAAGTGAGCCTTTGTGGCCCCGGTTTACGAAACCAGCCAAATATTTTCCTTGTCACTTTATGAGGTGCTAGGTCTACCCATTCAAGCTGGGAAAAATAAAGCGTCACAGAATTTGCGCCGTTAGAGTTGAGGAGGTTTGAAGTGAACCAATGCTCCTTTTAAAAGAATTCTGTGCCCCTGGGAAGGCCTGTCAGCCTGAGGGGTAGGAGTACACCCAAGATCCCACCTCTGGAAGGGATGGGTACCATCCAAGCCGCCTGCAGGTTTTACAGACGTAGAGAATGAGGCCCTGAGTCTGGAAAGTCTTCAGCCCACAAGGCGGATGGAGTCAGATGAATGAGGAGACTGAGTTCCTTAAATATCTTTAGCACCATACATTCAGGAACCATTTTAGCCTCTTTTTCACAGGTGAGGCCAGAAAGGCTCACAGAAAAGGGTGGATGGGAATTCTCCTTCAGAACTTCACTGCAAGGCAGAAAGGATTCCAGAAGGGCTTTGAGGCTGAGGTGCGTGGTGAAACGGGATGTTACACACTGAAGTTGAAAAGCATCCGCCTTGTGCAGTAAGCCAGTGGGCAGTCACCATTGCGCTGATTCCTGGCCTCCCACTGAGTTCCCACATCCCCTACAAAGCCCCATTTCTTACTGCCCATGGCCTATAATTTCATTGGTAGATCTGCTTCCCTTTTGCCTCTAGTAATAAGTTTCATTTATTGGGTACTTGCTATATTATGCCAAGCATTCCACTAGGTACCTCATTCATTCATTTAACTGAGATTTATCAAACACCTACTATATGCTGCCCCCCGAGGATGCAGCAGCCCTGTCTGGCGTAGTATTGAATCCATTGTTACAGATGGATCATTTGAGCTCAAAGAGAAGTGACTTGCCGAAGACATACAGCTAATACACGGCAGAGTTGAATTTCAAAGCCAGGCGGGTCTGACTTCAAGGTATGGCTTCTCTCCACTCCCTCATTGACAGGGTTAGGAAGAGGCAAGTAATTAATAAAGAAGACACAATGTAAGTAATCATAATTCTTTTCTTTGCCTTCAAAGTTATAATAAAATAGATTAAAGTTTTAAATGCTTACTACGTTTTTTAAAAAAATTTCTTTTCCATCTCCCTTTCCTGGTAAACTGCTTATTATCTTTTAGATGAAATAAAGATACACTTTCATAAAAGAGAATCCGTGATGGCCACTTAAAATTCCACACTACATGTGGTAACTACATCGCCACCTGGTGGTACAGATTTTGCATAACGGGATGTAAATCAAGAGCAAAGACAACAGCTATGGGCCATTGGAAGGGACTACAATTTGGAAGTGAGAATTCAGAGGTTCTAGTCTGTGCTCTGCCCTAGACTGGCCGTGGTGGCACTGAGTCAGCCACTCCAGCCCTCTAGGTGGCAGATCCTTTTTTTGCAGCTCCTGTGTGGGCTGGTGTCCCTGGAGACTCCGTTTTAACTTGGACATTCCCTCTTTATTGTCCTCCTATGTTGCACTGAACTCAAAGAAAAATGCTCAGGTGGGTTTTGAGGTACCAGTTGGGGAGATAGTGTGGGGCAAGGCTTTCTGGAGCCCTCGGGCCACTCCATGAAGGCAGCACCTCCTCCTCTAAGTGTGCACCTTGGCCTGGCCTCAGGTATCCCATTATGGCTTTTCACCCTCCCTGGGATCTGCTCTGACTGCAGTCCTCTTAAGGGCAGTTCTCACCCCATGCCTTTCTCACCAGACCAGAGACCCTCTACCACACCCTAGGGTATCCATCAGGAATTACCTCCGATCAGAGTTCAAGAAACCAAGTTCAGGGTCTAGGATGGGCTTAGCACAGCAGAAGTAGTTTGTTAGTTGTATTCTTTTATAAGGAACAGAAGACCTGACCCCAAACTGCCTTAAGTTAATAAAAGGAATATATGTGCTTTTGTCACTGAGTAATTGTAGTTGCTTTAGCCTCACCTGTAATCCCAGGTTCAAACACCATTGGCAGGGTCTGACGTCTCTCTCTCCATTTCTCAGCTCTTCTTCCTTCGTGTCTAGTGGCACCTTAGGGGTGTCTTATGGGGCTTTAGGCCCCACACCCTCAACCTACCTGAAATAACAGGATCTAAGCAGACAGTGTTTCCTAGATCTCCCATCTCACAGACCACCACTCCTGAGCCCCTCCTACATACACATTCTAGAGGCCTCTGTATGGGGTCATCTTTCTCAGGTCCCCAAATGACTTCAAGGAGGCCCTGGGTCCACCTGTTGCTCCTTCTTATTGCAGGCCATGCCCAGCACAAGTCCTGGAATCCACTCTCATGGGCCCCACTGGGATCTCAGGCTCACCCCTGAACCAGTCAGTCACAGTGGCCACTGGACTGGAATGTGCTGATTGGCTCAGCCTGGTCAGAGGCTCCACGCCTGGGGTTGGGATGGGGCAAAGCCTCAGGAAAAACACACTCCCCAAGGGATCTGAAATGTTTTACCTAAAGGGCAGGTGACGGATGCTGGAGGCAAAACCATCAGAAATCCATTAGTAATTAACATAAAAGTTAGTAGAATGGAAGTTCATACATTATTTATCTTTTGAGTAAATCAGAGTGATAAGACTATCTTAATGGTAATGTCGCTTCATTCACTGGAAAGGTGTGTTCATAGGAATGCAAAAGGCTTAGGAAAAAAATAAATAAGACGAGAAGAGTCTGTTCAGCGACAGAGAAAACAGAGTTGGGCCTGGCCTCTGTCCTGTCCCCACTATGTGTCCATCCAGGGCAAGGACAGTATTGGTGAAGACATGTTTCAACAATGCCTTCAACTCAGCCCTGAAGAAGAAAGGTAGTCCCTTAGGTTTCTGAGTTTCCTTCTGGGAGTCTGTCTTGCATGTGAATATCATCCTGTAACTATTGGGACAGCCTTACATCCCCTCTGCTAGTCTCTAAAATTGACTTGAAGATTTTTATTTGTGCCCAGGCACAGTGGCTCAGGCCTGTAATCCCAGCACTTTGGGAGGCCAAGACAGGTGGATCACCTGAGGTTAGGAGTTCAAGACCAGCCTGGGCAACATGGTGAACTTTTCTCTACTAAAAGTACAAAAATTAGCCAGGCATGGTGGCTCAAGCCTGTAATCCCAGCTACTTGGGAGGCTGAGGCACGAACATCACTTGAACGCAGGAGGTGGAGGTTGCAGTGAACCGAGATCACACCACTGCACTCCAGCCTGGGCAACAGAGCGAGACTCTGTCTTAAAAAAAAAAATAAAATAAAAGATTTTTATTTGTCTGCGGTGGCCTCTTTCGCTGTTCTGTCCTGCTTGGGCTAATGTTTAAAATTCCAGATAGAGTGTCCAAGTGGGCAGGGCCTTAGGGACTCTGGTGCAAGCCCCTTCTGCTGTGAATGGGGGCCAGCGAGGGTCAGAGTCTTACTGAATTCACAGAGCTAGTTAAATCACCGAGCTCAGGAGCCTCTGCCTGGCAACCCCTTCTCGTGGGAGTCTCGTTACCACAGGGTTCCCAAGCAGGCAGACAGAGAGGCAGCCAAGGTGAAGGCCCCGATGACACCTTTGCTATGAATAACCCACAAAATCAATTACTGCAGTGGGCAGAGCAGCAGCCAGGCCCTTCACTGTGTGCTGCTGGGCGCATGTACTGAGATCACTTCTTGCTGCAGGGCTTCCCTTCCTAATTGTATTTTGCTCAAACTAATGTTAAAAATTAACTTTCCCAGCATTCAGATGAGGCCAAAGCAGGAGGTGGAATAAGAGAAAAGACTTAATTTTTAGTGGATAGACCACCAGGGAGCCACCTGGGATAGATGTTCTGTGTGTGTTTGATCTCTCAGAGATGGAGAACATTTACTGAGCAGCATTCTGTGCTAGGTCCTGGGGTACTCCCTAGGATCAGACCGAGGCCATGCCTCAAAGAGCCCCTAGTTTATCGGGTAGCCACACAAGTAACAATAGTGATAGTTCAGTGAGATGAGCATTAATAAAGGGCTCTGGGTAGTGCAGGAGGCGTGGAGGAGAGAGAGAATATCAGGTGTTTGGGTCAGCTGTGGCATCGAGGAAGTGCAGACAGAGGAGGAATATTTGAGTTGAGATTTAAAGACTCAAGTATCCCTTTCCCTAGATGGAGAAGACCGAAAGCAGCATTTCAGGGGAGGGCACAGCATGTGTGAAGGCACAGCGGCTTTAAATTGCACAGCAGCACTCAGGAGGTTGTGAGAAGTCCAAGGTGCATACGAGGAAGAGAGCAGTCAGCAAAGAGACCAGATCATGGAGGGTGACCCCACCGCTCTAACTGGTATTTATTCATTCATCAAAACCTGGGCCTTTTGGAGTCCAGTTTTTTAAATTTAGATTTTACTTATTTTGAATACATTTATAAGGTTTTATTAAAACATGACAGTGATCAGTCTTCTTCCCACCCCTGTTTTCAGCCACCCTCCCCAGAGGCAACCGATGCTGTCAGATTCTTGTGTATTCTAAGGTGTTTCCCACAAATACACAAACAGCAGCAGTCCACTCACACCTTGCCATGCACCTTGCTTCCATCACTTCATATATCTTGGAGGTGATTCAGCACATGGAGCTTCCGCCTTCTCCTTGACAATGGTGGGAGCTCAGTTGTTAGTCCTAGCTTAGAGACCTTCTCATTCCACCCCTCATCTTACAGTGGAAAGGCCCAGAGAAGGTGGGGAGCAGCTCCAGCTCACCTGCTGTTCAGGGACTGAGCCAGGCCTGAAACTCACTCCTCTGCCTCCCATACCCACCCTGGGCCAGCCAGATCCACTTCCTTGCCAGCGGTCCTCATTTGCTAGCCCATCAGCTGGGTGAGGCTGCCATTTTTCATAGCCATTACAGGCAGAGAAGCTGGTGTTTCCATCGGCCTCGTGATGTGGATTTTAGACTTCCACAGTAATCTTTATCATTGTTTTCTCACTTTCCCTTTCTCTCCCCTCTTCCTCCTCCTCTTCCTCCCCATCTTACATCTCAGCAGCCTTGTATCAAGCCTCTGCCCCACCCTGGTCCCAGCAACTGGTCACCATGGCAACAAGGGCCTTCCATCAAAAAGCGGCCTTCCAGGTATTTTATTTTGAGCCCCAATTAAGCAGGGCAGGTCACAGGCTGGGAGCAGTGCAGAGAAGAGTGTTTTACGGCCTGTGAGAGAGCCCAGGTGCTATTTATAGCTCCTTAATCGGTGTTGCTAAATGGGTCTTAACTCACGTCCTGTGGCAACTGCACATTTTCATCGCAGAGAATCTCCGCCCCACAGCCTCACTCCCTCCATCTGTTGGCCTGAGGGAGAAATGGTGCCTCCTCTGTGCTCAGCAGCTGTCAGGCCACTTGACCCTTCTGACCTCCTCCTGACACTCTCTGGCCCTTTGCAGCCCTGCCTTTGGGGATATTTGGTCCACAGCGGATGCTTCTTTCAGGAACCCAGAGGCCTCAGCCCTGTCCCAGGGCTGGAGTTCTGTCCCCAACCTCCCACCACCTCTTCTCAGCCTCCCCATCAAAGCCAGAGTGGTAAGAGGGACATGTAAGACAATATATCCAGGTTTTTGTGGATACTCCAAAAATTCTTTCCATTAACATCTCATAGGTTAACTAGCATTTTCAATCATTAAAACAGAGCAAGTTAACAGCTTCTTACAGTTGGGGAAATAGAGGCTGAGAATGGGAGAGGGAATTAACAGATACCCATTGCCACATACTGCCTTGGAGCTTTATATGTACCATCTCATTCAATCTTCACACAACTTGTTTTATAGAGAAGGAAACTATACCAGTCAGGATAGCCCAGGTTTTGCTGCTGTAACAGACAATCCCCAAACCTCACTGACTTCAAACAACAAAGGTTTGTTTTTGCCCATATTGTGTGCTCATTGCTGTTCAGCAGGAGGCTTTATTCCACAAAGTGTGTCCTCACTTTGGGTCCAGGGCAGAAGGAACAGCCCCTAATGGTGACTAATGGAAAAGTGAAGGCAGCAAAATTCACACTGGCTCCTAAAGTTTCCAAGCAAAAGTAACACACATCACTTCTGCTGCCATTTCCTTAGCAAGTCTTATGGCCACACCTAACTTCAAGTGAGTAGGGAAGGATAAGCTGATCATTGCTCAGAGGGCAAGAGCCAGAATATTTGAGAACAACCACATTGACCTCCACAGAAGCTGAGAGTCCCAGAGGTGAAGTGATTTGCCCAGATCCCACGGCTCCAAAGTGGCAGAGCAGGGATTTGAACTGTCAGCTGTTTCCCCCAGAAACCTGTGCATGTAACAAAGTGGTTATAGACTTGGGCTCTAACGTCATACTTCTGGCTTGAACTCTATCTCCAGTATTCACCAGCTATGTTATCCTAATTAGGCAAGTCATTTAACCTCTCAGAGCCTCATTTATTTGTTAAATGAAGACACTAGTGCAGGACTATGTTCTGAAAACCAAAACTTTTTTCATAAGTTTGGGGCAAACTCATTTGGCAGCCAGACTCAACTTGAACTGGGTGAGACTATTTATATCACTCCTTATTTCACTTGGCGTGAATATTCATAGGTTTCACTGTAGAAATATTAAAGTGTTTGGTTGCAGTCCGCTGGGGATGTTATACCATACATAGCATATGCAACCTAATTACTAAACCCTGGAACTTGCTTTTTTTTTTTTTTTTTTTTTTTTTTGGTAAGGGACAATGGTCCTGTAGTACTTCCCTCATGGGGTCATCATAAGGATTAAGGGAAATGATTTGTCAAAAATTCTGAGCACAGGGCCCAGCACATAGTGAGCGCTCCATGCTTGGTGGTTATTTTTGGTCCCTAGATTGAACTGTTGAGGCAGGAAGAGGCCTGGGCTGCGAGAAACTGCCATGCAAGCTGAAACCACAGCAAGAAAAGAGTGGGAACACTCCAGTTTGCACAGAACCCACATCAGCGGGTCTCTCAGTTTCCTGAGTGTTCCGTCCTAGGAAACAGGTTCTTTAGGGCCCCATTAATCCTCTAGGGTGTTTTTGGAATGATTCACTCTGAGAGCAAATGGAGTGTTTGGGTCCTCGGAAAAAGACAAAGTGCTTTGTAAGTATACGGTATTGTTTTCACACTTATTAAATGTGATGTGCCCCTTCCATCGGGCAAGAGTCTAGGGCTTTGCCATATTCATTTCTCAGGATCGTGGAACCCAAAACCTGTTCCTCAGAAGACCTCAAAGCCCTGCCTTATGGTTAGAACCTGAGACCCCACCCTCCACTCTGAGCAGCTTCCCGTCTCTCCGCTAAATAGACTGGAGTTCTGCATAAATTTCATTTGGCAAAGGGTTCTGCTGTTTGGAGAAAACCCGCCCTTCTCCTCCCAGCTGGAGAACTGCAGCCCAGGGAGGCACCATGCGTGTCAGTCAGAACCTGGGCTAGGACTGTGGTGGGATCCCCACTGATCACTCACTGGCTCCAAGATGCCCTTAGGCAGGTGGTGACCCCCCTGTGATCCACTTTCCTCATCTGTAAATGAAGATGCCAAGGGTTGTTATGAGGATTAAATGAGCTAATTTATGGAAAGTTCTTAGAACAGTGCCTGGTACAGTAGACACACTAGTGATGCTGGCTATTAATATTTTCTCACAGCAAGTTTGTGGTAGAGCCAGTACCTGGGCCTTCTATCAAAAGACAGAAGGAGGCCGGGCGCGGTGGCTCACGCCTGTAATCCCAGCACTTTGGGAGGCCGAGGCGGGCGGATCACGAGGTCAGGAGATCGAGACCATCCCGGCTAAAACGGTGAAACCCCGTCTCTACTAAAAATACAAAAAATTAGCCGGGCGTAGTGGCGGGCGCCTGTAGTCCCAGCTACTTGGGAGGCTGAGGCAGGAGAATGGCGTGAACCCGGGAGGCGGAGCTTGCAGTGAGCCGAGATCCCGCCACTGCACTCCAGCCTGGGCGACAGAGCGAGACTCCGTCTCAAAAAAAAAAAAAAAAAAAAAAAAAGACAGAAGGAATCTTGTTCAACTAAATTCATGGATTTTCCCTCTGCCTGCTGACTGGGCTGTCCCATCATAACCCTAGATGGGTTATTGGGTGCCAGACCTTGCTCCTCTCAGTCCTCGGAGTGGCCAGGCAAGGCATGGGGCAGCAGAGCCCATGGACGGACCACTTCTGGCCTCAAGGAGCTTTCCAGGGCCTCTCAGCAAGTGGCCCAAGTAGAGGGGTTCTGACAGGGGCCTCTGAGGCCCCTTTAGGTAGCTAGGACAATGGGCAAATGAATTGTTTGACCATGTCTTGGACAGATGCCTGGACAGAGCCCCTCCAGGTTACCCCAGCTGTTCTCCCATCTTCTTTGTATCTCATGCTGAGCAAAAGGTCAGGAAGCAGTGCTTTAAATTCAGCACAAGGATCCAAACCACAGTGAGATGCCACTTCATACCCACTAGGATGGTTATAATTAAAAAGCAAACAAGCAGAACAGAAAATAACAAATGGGGAAGATTTGGAGGAATTCCTGGTGAGAATGTAAAACGATGCAGCTGCTGTGGAAAACAGTTTGGCAGTTCCTCAAAAAGTTAAACATAGAATCACCATATGACCCAGCAATTCCATTCTTAGGTATATACAGAAGAGGAATGAAAACAGGTAGGTATTCAAACAAATACTTATGCATGAATATAGCAGCACCATTCACAACAGCCAAAAGGTGCAAACAGCCCAAAATGTCCACCAGTGGATGAATGGGCAAATAAAATGTGGCATATTGATATAATGGAATATTATTTAGCCATAAAAAGGAATGACATTCGGATACATGCTACAACATCAATGAACTTTGAAAACATTGTGCTAAGTGAAAGAAACCTGATACAAAAGGTCTCATTATATGATTCCATACAATCATATAATATTCCATATTCATATTCTGGGCATGGAATATCCAGAATAGGTAAATTCATAGAGACAGAGGGTAGATTAGTGGTTTCCAGGGTCTGGGGAATGGAGGATGGGACATGACTGCTTAATGGGCACAGGGTTTCCTTTGGAAGTGATAAAAATGGTTTGGAACTTGACAGAAGTGACTGTTGAATAACACTGTGAATGTATTAAATGCCACTGAATTGTATACTTTAAAATGGTTAATTTTGGCCGAGCGTGGTGGCTCACGACTGTAATCTCAGCATTTTGGGAGGCCAAGGCGGGCAGATCGCTTGAGTCCAGGAGTTTGAGACCAGCCTGGTCAACATGGGGAAACCCCATCTCTACAAAAAATTAGCCAGACATGGTGGCGCATGCCTGTGGTCCTGGCTACTTGAGAGGCTGAGGTGGGAGGATTCCTTGGGCTCAGAAATTTGAGGTTACAGTGAGTTAAGATCACACCACTGCACTCTAGCCTGAGTGACAGAGTAAGACTCTGTCTCAAAAACATAAAATAAATGATTAATTTCATGTTATGTAAACTTCACCTCAATTTAAAAATTATAAATAAATTCAGTGCAAGAAGTTGCCACCAGAATTCAGTCAACAGGTCAGCTGTGTTCATGTGGAAAATACCAGGGGTGAATTCAGTCAATCGCCCTGAGCATGGCCCTGGGGGAGCACCCTTCATTCCCCATGACCCCAGGAAAGTGTGCTCTCCTCCAGCTGAGGGTATCTCACTCATTTCCAGCTCCCCTGCAGCTGACCTGGCACGTGACAAATCCTTAAGAGCTTTGGAACTAACTCCTATGGGTAATTGACGAAACACGGTGAATGCGCAGGTGCCTGTCCTCTACTCACCGGCTCTGCAATATTGTGCTAGAAGCTTAATCTCAGCACTTGGTTTTCCTCACTGTGAAGTAACATGGGAAAATGAGGCCGAGTCTAGACCCACTGTGCTGGCCCAGCAAGCAACCAGATGCATCTAAACCACCGTGGCCAGCCTGGGCACACTGGCAGGGCTCTGCAGAGGGCAGCTGCGCTGGTCTTAGGTGATTATCATTGTTATCCACGGTCAAGGGCATCTCAGTCTGTGGTCTTTTGAGAAACTGCTTTTGCCACTATCTGAACTAAGGTATTTTTCTGCCTTTTCCCAATTCAAAAAAAGTTCATTTTCTCTATCATTTTTCTCTACCAATATGTTTTTGTCCATAAACCTCTAATGTCTGCTACCCCTTGTCTACGGTAAAATAAGAAAGGAAGTGTCTGTTTTTATGGAAAAAGTAGACATTGTAGGCATTGTACATTAAATATGTGAATGTTCTGGGCGTTGACCAGTGTCTTGTGGGGAACGCAAGAGTCTTGTGAGCCCAGCAGCCCTGCCAATGTTGCCTGCATGACCTTGGAAATCACGTGACCTCTCTGTGCCTGAGTTCCTTCATAGGGTGTGAGGAGGACTGAGTAAGCTACTGTAGGTCAAGTGCTCAGCCGGCATCAGCGCAAAGTGAACTTCCCAATCTGGACACTCAGACACTAAATGGGGTTTAAAAGCAGTTCTGGTTTTTTACGTAGTTACGGACATCATAGCTAGAGTTGGTTGAGGTATGGAAGAACAATGATCAGATTCCTGGATCCAACTGCGTTTGGGCCTCTGTGGTTGGATCCGATCTCTGGCAGCTTACTGAGGGACCAGCTGTCCCCAGTGGCGTTGGCAGGTACTGACATCCCTAACGGTGGTGGATGAGCTTTATTCTGCGATAGAAGTGACACTGTCAGCTCAGTGCTGGATCTGGGCCTAGAAATATTTTGTTTGGCCATACTAAATTAAAACAACACAGAAATGTCACATAAAAACCTGAATTTTGGAGTTTTCTGGAAAAAGCAGGAAATGCCCCCTGCCCATAGCTTACACCTGCTCCCCACTATTCAGTTAGGTTACCTGCCTGGCACCATGGATGCCGGAGTTTGCAGCCTTTGATCTAAATTGCAAATGTATTTGTGGTACTTGAGATAGTTTTCATTAATGCACTGATCATTAGCTTTTTAAAAATTTATCTAAAACAAAAAATCATTTGCCTTGAAACTAGAAGCGGAAGTAAAGTAGCTGTTTTTAAATTTGCCAACTATTATTTTGTATCATGGCTGTTTATAAACTGAAAACATTTATTTCAGACTTCATCATTTACCACTTCTTCTTAGACACAATTTTCCTCTTCTGGAGTATCTCATAAATACTGGGTTCCTCTTGGGCCTAATTGGATCATTTGACTAAAGGAGGAGGGGAGCTTGAGTGAGAAAACTGGGCAGACTCCATCCAAGAATTCAGTTTACTCATCAGTTTTACTTAACTTAAGAAAAACAAGCTTCCACCATCCTCCTCTGGGCCTGTTTCTGAGCTCACACTTGGAAAGGTCAAATAAACACAATAAATCCATTAGAAGGCCTTCATATTAAGCCCCTGGGGTTTATACTATTTAGCAAGAGGCTAAGAGATGACGTTTCCCAAGTAGAGGAAGTTTGCTCAAGCATAGCTGTTTGCTAGAAAACAGGAGTCAACTGTGCCAGTTAGTCTCAGTGGTTGTGAGGAGCACAGCCCCAGGCTGCTTCAGGAAGGGGGCTTGATGGTGGTCGTTCTGGTGGCTGGGTCTGGAGGGGAGAAGACCCCCTTGTGGAGTCCATGTCAGCTCCCTTTCCCTTTCCAAATTCTTCAGGCCAAATCCCAGTTGGAATTAGGTGGATTGAACCCGTTAGTTGCTGCCCCCCACTAGGCAGGGTCCCTCACTCTGGCTGAGCTTGGAAAACCAGCTGGCACCACCACATGGAGCAGGGCTGAGGGTCAGGGCCATGGGGCCCTTGGGACTCAGGAACAGAACTGATAGGGTTGGTGAAGAGGTTTCCTTTGCAGTGACCATCATCCCACTTCTTCATGGGAGTTGGCAGCAGAGAGTGCATCCCAGACCATGTTGCCCCAGTTCCAATCCCATACTCACCACTTAACTGTGACCTTGAGCAAGTGCCTATCCTCTCAACTGCCTCCATTTCCTCCAGTCTGTAGCTGGCCATTCATAATAGTAACTACCTCATTGGGTTGTTATGAGGATTAAATACAGTAAGACAAAGAAAGTGCTTAGAATGTCTCATGACATAGGAAGTACTATGTAAGCTACAACTTACTACAACTATAATGTTACTATTATTATTGCCAAAAAAATCAGTTGAAGAGTCCAGTAAGAGCACTCAGATGGGCTTTGAAAATATGTCAACACTCATGAGTTCCCAAGGCCTCTGCTTCTGATGAGAAGATTGGAAAGAGGATCCTGAAGAGTGGAGCAGGCTGATGGGTGTGGCAGAAGCCACAGGTCACACAGAGCTGGCTCTGAGCCCCAGATCTGAGCCCCAGCTCACAGATGCATTAGATGCTGTGTCCTGAGCAGGACTCTGTGTGGAATTATCTGTGGTTATTGATGTAGAAGCATCCTACCTGGATGTCCAGTCCTCAGCTCCCTACACCAGCCGCCTATTTTTCACCTTGTCCCGAAGAACACTAACTTCTCTGAAATATTAATAATAGCTGTCATTGATTGATTGCCCACAAAGGACAGGGCCTATGCTGGGTACCTGGACTCTGTCCCTTTTCTAATCCTCCCAGCACTCCCCACGAGGCAGGTGATGTTCCCATTTTACAGAGGAAGCAGCCTGCCCTGTAAAGCCAGAACCTGACTCTAGGTCTTCTAAGTCCAGGCCTGGGCTGCTGTTTCCTTCCAGCTCTGCCTTTGCCCAACCACGCTAAGTTCCAAGCAGGCAAGAGTGACTCCATTATTACTCCTTAGCTAGAATTTATAATTCATCTTCTGGCCAAGCTCTTTGAGTTTGGTTGGGGCCACCTAGTAACTTTCTCATTCAATTTTGTTCTCTTTCTCTGTTTTTATTTTTATTTTTAAGTTCTAGGGCACATGTGTACAATGTGCAGGTTTGTTACATAGGTATATATGTGCCATGTTGGTTTGCTGCACCCATCAACTCATCATCTACATTAGGTATTTCTCCTAATGCTATCCCTCCTATAGCCCCCATCCCCCGCCCAACAGGCCCTGGTGTGTGATGTTCCCTGCCCTGTGTCCATGTGTTCTCATTGTTCAACTCCCACTTATGAGTGAGAACATACAGTGTTTGGTTTTCTGTCCTTGTGATAGTTTGCTGAGAATGATAGTTTCCCACTTCATCCATGTCCCTGCAAAGGACATTAACTCATCCTTTTTTATGGCTGCATAGTATTCCATGGTGTATATGTGCCATATGTTCTTAATCCAGTCTATCATTGTTGAACATTTGGATTGGTTCCAAGTCTTTGCTATTGTGGATAGTGCTGCAATAAACATACGTGTGCATGTGTCTTTATTGTAGCATGATTTATAACCCTTTGGGTATATACCCAGTAATGGGATTGCTGGGTCAAATGGTATTTCTGGTTCTAGATCCTTGAGGAATCGCCACACTGCCTTCCACAATGGTTGAACTAATTTACACTCCCACCAATGGTACAAAAGCATTCCTATTTCTCCACATCCTCTCCAGCACCTGTCTTTTTAATGATTGCCATTCTAACTGGCATGAGATGGTATCTCATTGTGGTTTTGATTTGCATTTCTCTGATCACCAGTGATGATGAGCATTTTTTCATATGTCTGTTGGCTGCATAAATGTCTTCTTTGGAGAAGTGTCTCTTTATAGCCTTTGCCTAATTTTTGATGGGGTTGTTTTTTTCATGTAAATTTGTTTAAGTTCTTTGTAGATTCTGGATATTAGCCCTTTGTTAGATGAGTAGATTGCAAACATTTTCTCCCATTCTGTAGGTTGCCTGTTCACTCTGATGATAGGTTCTTTTGCTGTGCAGAAGCTCTTTAGTTTAATTAGACGCCATTTGTCTATTTTGGCTTTTGTTGCCATTGCTTTTGGTGTTTTAGTCATGAAGTCTTTGCTCATGCCTATGTCCTGAATGGTATTGCCTAGGTTTTCTTCTAGGGTTTTTATGGTTTTAGTTCTTACATTTAGGTCTTTAATCCATCTTGAGTTAATTTTTGTATAAAGTGTAAGGAAGGGATCCAGTTTCAGCTTTCTACATATGGCTAGCCAGTTTTTCCAGCACTACTTATTATATAGGGAATCCTTTCCTCATTGCTTGTTTTTGTCAGGTTTGTCAAAGATCAGATGGTTGTAGATGTGTAGTGTTATTTCTGAGTCCTCTGTTCTGTTCCATTGATCTATATATCTGTTTTGGTACCAGTACCATGCTGTTTTGGTTATGTAGCCTTGTAGTATAGTTTGAAGTCAGGTAGCTTGATGCCTTCAGCTTTGTTCTTTTTGCTTAGGATTGTCTTGGCTATATGGGCTCTTTTTTGGTTCCATATGAACTTTAAAGTAGCTTTTTCCAATTATGTGAAGAAAGTCATTGGCAGCTTGATGGGGATGGCATTGAATCTATAAATTACCTTGGGCAGTATGACTGTTTTCACAATATTGACTCTTCCTATCCATGAGTATGGAATGTTCTTCCATTTGTTTGTGTCCTCTTTTATTTCATTGAGCAGTGGTTTGTAGTTCTCCTTGAAGAGGTCCTTCACATCCCTTGTAAGTTGGATTCCTAGGTATTTTATTCTCTTTGTAGTAATTGTGAATGGGAGTTCACTCATGATTTGGCTCTCTGTTTGTCTGTTGTTGGTGTATGGGAATGCTTCTGATTTTTGCACATTGATTTTGTATCCTGAGACTTTGCTGAAGTTTCTTATCAGCTTAAGGAGATTTTGGGCTGAAACAATGGGGTTTTCCACATGTACAATCATGTCTTCTGCAAACACAGACAATTTGATTTCCTCTTTTCCTAATTGAATACCCTTTATTTCTTTCTCTTGCCTGATTGCCCTGGCCAGAACTTCCAACAATATGTTGAATAGGAGTGATGAGAGAGGGCATCCCTGTCTTGTGCCGGTTTTCAAAGGGAATGCTTCCAGTTTTTGCCCATTCAGTATGATATTAGCTGTGGGTTTGTCATAAATAGCTCTTATTATTTATCCAGGAATTTATCCATTTCTTCTAGATTTTCTAGTTTATTTGTGTAGAGGTGTTTATAGTATTCTCTGATGTATTATTGTATTTCTGTGGGATCAGTGGTGATATCCCCTTTATCATTTTTTATTGCATCTATTTGATTCTTCTCTCATTTCTTCTTTATTAGTTTTGCTAGCAGTCTATGTATTTTGTTGATTTTTTCAAAAAACCAGCTCCTGGATTCATTGATTTTTTTTGAAGTGTTTTTTTGTGTCTCTATCTCCTTCAGTTCTGCTCTGATCTTAGTTATTTCTTGCCTTCTGCTAGCTTTTGAATTTGGTTGCTCTTGCCTCTCTAGTTCTTTTCATTGTGATGTTAGGGTGTCGATTTTAGGTCTTTCCTGCTTCCTCTTGTGGGCATTTAGTGCTATAAATTTTCCTCTACACACTGCTTTAAATGTGTCCCAGAGATTCTGGTACATTCTGTCTTTGTTCTCATTGGTTTCAAAGAACTTATTTATTTCTGCCTTCATTTCATTTATTTACCTATTAGTCATTCAGGAGCAGGTTGTTCAGTTTCCATGTAGTTTTGGGGTTTTGAGTGAGTTTCTTAATCCTGAGTTCAAATTTGATTGCACTGTGGTCTGAGAGACAGTTTGTTGTGATTTCTGTTCTTTTGCATTTGCTGAGGAGTGTTTTACTTCCAAGTATGTGGTCAATTTTAGAATAAGTGTGATGTGGTGCTGAGAAGAATGTTTATTCTGTTGATTTGGGGTGAAGAGTTCTATAGATGTCTATTAGGTCCACTTGGTCCAGAGTTCAAGTCCTGGATATCCTTGTTAACCTTCTGTCTTGCTGATCTGTCTAATATTGACAGTGGGGTGTTAAAGTCTCCCATTATTATTGTGTGGGAGTCTAAGTCTCTTTGTAGATCTCTAAGGACTTCCTTTATGAATCTGTGTGCTCCTGTATTGGGTGCATTTATATTTAGGATAGTTAGTTCTTCTTGTTGAATCGATCCCTTTACCATTATGTAATGGCCTTCTTTGTCTCTTTTGATCTTTGTTGGTTTAAAGTCTGTTTTATCAGAGACTAGGATTGCGACCCCTGCCTTTTTTTGTTTTCCATTTGCTTGGTAGATCTTCCTCCATCCCTTTATTTTGAGCCTATGTGTGTCTCTGCACGTGAGATGGGTTTCCTGAACACAGCACACTGATGGGTCTTGACTCTTTATCCAATTTGCCAGTCTGTGCCTTTTAATTGGAGCATTTAGCCCATTTACATTTAAGGTTAGTATTGTTATGTGTGAATGTGATCCTGTCATTATGATGTTAGCTGGCTATTTTGCTCGTTAGTTGATGCATTTTCTTCCTAGCTTCGATGCTCTTTACAACTTGGCATGTTTTTGCAGTGGCTGGTACAAGTTGTTCCCTTCCATGTTTAGTGCTTCCTTCAGGAGCTCTTTTAGGGCAGGCCTGGTGGTAACAAAATCTCTCAGCATTTGCTTGTCTGTGAAGTATTTTATTTCTCCTTCACTTATGAAGCTTAGTTTGGCTGGATATGAAATTCTGGGTTGAAAATTCTTTTCTTTAAGAATGTTGAATATTGCCCCTCAGTCTCCTCTGGCTTGTAGGTTTTTGGCCAAGAGATTCGCTGTTAGTCTGATGGGCTTCCCTTTGTGAGTACCCTGACCTTTCTCTCTGGCTGCCCTTAACATTTTTTCCTTCATTTCAACCTTGGTGAATCTGACAGTTATGTGTCTTGGGGTTGCTCTTCTCAAGGAGTATCTTTGTGGTATTCTCTGTATTTCCTGAATTTGAATGTTGGCCTGCCTTGCTAGGTTGGGGAAGTTCTCCTGGATAATACCCTGAAGAGTGTTTTCTAACTTGGATCCATTCTCCCCATCACTTTCAGGAATACCAATCAAACATAGATGTGGTCTTTTCACATAGTTCCACATTTCTTGGAGGCTTTGTTCATTTCTTTTCACTCTTTTTGCTCTAATCTTGTCTTCTCGCTTTATTTCATTCATTTGATCTTCAATCACTGATGTCCTTTCTTCCACTTGATTGAATCGGTTATTGAAGCTTGTGCATGTGTCACAAAGTTCTTGTGCTGTGGTTTTCAGCTCCATCAGGTCATTTAAGGTCATCTCTACACTGTTTATTCTAGTTAGCCATTTGTCTAACCTTTCTTCAAGGTTTTTAGCTTCCTTGCAATTGGTTAGAACACGCTCCTTTAGCTCGGAGAAGTTTGTTATTACCGACCTTCTGAAGCCTACTTCTGTCAACTTGTCAAACTCATTCTCCGTCTAGTTTTGTTCCTTTGCTGGCGAGGATCTGCAATCCTTTAGAGGAGAAGAGACGCTCTGGTTTTTGGAATTTTCAGCTTTTCTGCTCTGGTTTCTCCCCCTCTTTGTGGTTTTATCTACGTTTGGTTTTTGATGTTGGTGACCTACAGATGGGGTTTTGGTGTGGATGTGCTTTTTGTTGATATTGATGCTATTCCTTTCGGTTTGTTAGTTTTCCTTCTAACAGTTGGGCCTCTCAGATGCAGGTCTTTTGGAATTTGCTGGAGGTCTACTCCAGACCCTGTTTGCCTGGGTATCACCAGCAGAGGCTGCAGAACAGCAAATATTGCTGCCTGATTCTTTCTCTGGGAGCTTCGTCCCAGAGGGGTACCTGCCTGTATGAGGTGTCTGTCAGCCCTTACTGGGAGGTAGCTCCCAGTCAGGCTACACAGGGGTCAGGGACCCACTTGAGGAGGCAGTCTGTTCATTCTCAGAGCTCAAACACCATGCTGGGAGAACCACTGCTCTCTTCAGAGCTGTCAGACAGGGACGTTTAGGTCTGCTGAAGCTGTCTGCTGCCTTTTGTTCTGATATGCCCTGCCCACAGAGGTGGAATCTACAGCAAGGCAGCAGGCCTTGCTGAGCTGTGGTGGGCTCTGTCCTATTTGAGCTTCCCAGCCTCTTTGTTTACACTGTGAGCATAAAACCGCCTACTCAAGCTTCAGCAATGGCGGACAACCCTCCCCTTGCCATGCTGCAGCATCGCAGGTCAATCTCAGACTGCTACGGTAGCAGTGAGCAAGGCTCCGTGGGCGTGGGACCCGCCAAGCCAGGCACGGGAGGGAATTTCCTGGTCTGCCTGTTGCAAAGACTGTGGGAAAAGCGCAGTATTTGGGCAGGAGTGTACCGTTCCTCCAGGTATAGACTGTCACAGCTTCCCTTGGCTAGAAAAGGGAAATCCTCCAACCCTTGTGCTTCTCTGGTGAGGCGACGCCCCGTCCTGCTTCCGCTTGCCCTCCATGGGCTGCACGCACTGTCCAACCAGTCCAAATGAGATGAACCAGGTACCTCAGTTGGAAATGCAGAAATCACCCATCTTCTGCATCAGTCTTGCTGGGAGCTGCAGACCAGAGCTGTTCCTATTTGGCCATCTTGGAAGCCAGACCTAAATCCTCTCTCTCTTTTTGTTTTTAACTGAACTTCTGATATACAGAATTGGATTAAACATAATCCTTAGTTGTAATACACTGTCATCTTTGGTCCCATGCATAGCCCTCTTTAATTCTAATTTCCTTATTTATGTATTTACCCCTTTATAATTTAATGCATACCCATGAATCTACCACCCTACCCAGTGCCTAGAACATTGATAATCAAGCACCTCTGTGCCCCTTGTGTTGTCTCCGCCAATCTGCACCCTTGCTGAAAGGCAACCACTCTCAGAATTTTGTGCTTATTATTCCTTTGCTCTTTTCCTTATAGATTTTTTGTACACAGATGTGTGCCTCAATAATGCCTTGTTTCATTTTAGTTGTTCTGCAACTTCCTAAATTACTTACTCCTATGCCAGTACCACTCAATGTCATTGCTACAGTGTTAAGTAACCTGATATCTGGTAGACAAGTCCTGCTGTCCCCAAATTCCTCATTCCTTTTTAGAAGGAGATGCCACGGGGAATTGGGGACCCATTCCTGAGGACTTCACCCTGCCCTGGATGAAATTAGCACCAACTGTCTCTGCAAGCACCCTTCTGCTTCCCCTGCCTGGTCTCTGATATTGGATGTGTTTCTTTCAGTACCCATAGGGGCAGCTGGGTTGTTCCAGTGCTGCAGTGACAGGGAACACTGCAGAGGTTGGGAAGATCCGTGGAGCAGGGTGCATGCCAACCCAGAGGCACCCCCACCTGACACTCTCCCCATGTGACAAGGGCTGTCCCATCCAAGGCCAGCATGTCCAACCATTGTGCAGCTCCCTGGGGCAGGTTCCAAGTTAAACACAGTCAGACTTTCTGGGACAATTTTAAGCTGAGTTAGGAGTATCCTCTACCAGACCAAGGAACTGGTGCTGTGTGTTACTAATTCTGTCTGCCTGCAGGACCTTGCCAGGCTTCTTCAGTGGACTCAGGGCAATATGAAAGAGCTACTTTTTATTCATTACCTGCATCAGAGGACCTGGGCTGCATTTTCCTTTGTAGAGATGCAGGCTCATTTCAGCTGCCTCCTCTCTCCCGAACACTGGGTTTCTCATTCTCATTGACCCAGAACCTACAATATCCAAAGCAGAGCGGTAAGGGCTGGACAGCTAACACGAGACCCAGCCCTGCCTGTGGGAGCCCATAGGGGTGAGGACAGCTCCAGCAACAGGGAACAGTTCTACAGAGATTCAGGGTGGTCAGGGATTTCCTGAAGTTTGAGGGCAGGGAGACCATATTTCCCAAACCCCAAATTAGGACAATGAGGTCTGGCAGCAGGACAGAATATTTCAAACCAGGATCGTCTCATAAAACTCTCAGGTTTAGTCACCGTAATGATGAGAACCACTCACAGGCCTCTGCCTAGGAGGGTCTGATGAGGATGTGGAGAAGGGCTCACAGCAGCAGGTGTGAGCTGTGTTTCATGGGGACAGGGAAGGGCAAGGAGACCTAGGGAGGCTGCGTTCATAATGGAGTCAGGAAGATAGAAAGGATGGGACAAAGAGATGTTTAGGACGTGGACATGAAAGCACTTGGGGGTAGATTGGGCTTGGAGAGCAGAGGAGGGACATTGTGAGTGTGTCTGAAGATCTCAGCCTGGTAACATGGCTACAAAGACAGGGCTCCCACTAGAGAAGTACAGCAGTAAGGAGGAAGGGCAGGGAACTTGGTTTCACTGCGGAGAGTTGACATGTCTATGAGGCCACAGACAGGGCATGTGGACCAGTGTATTAGAATCACTCAGATCATGTTAAAATGTTGCTTCTGATGCAGTAGGTCAGGGTGGAGCACAAGATCCTGCATTTTCAACAGGCTCCCAGGTGACACTGGTGCTGCCAGTCCACAGATCACGTAGCCAGGCTAACGAGGGTCCCAGACAAGAATCGGGCAGAGATCACATGTGACAATGTCCCTAATTTGGATAAGGAGTTAAGTACATGTTGAATTGAGGCATGTAGTGTCATTTTTCATTTCCCCCCACAAGAAAAATGTCTCGACTTCCAGGAAAACCATTATCGATCACCCTGATTAGAATCCAGGGATGCAAAAATGGAAGGGGAGATGTGCCTTTATATAATTTTTTTCATATGAAGAACTGATTCCTCTAACTTTCACAGGTATGACTTTGGTTGTAAGCAGTTGAGCAGAGCGATATTTTTCTTTCTGCCTCTTTGGAAGTGAATTTTCTGATGAGGTTAGCTCCTTCTCTCCGTTTCACCCATGCGCTCACCAGCACAAGGTGGCAGGGTCTGCAATCAGACAGGAAGTGGCTGGTGTTGCAGTAATATTAGAGTCAGGGCAGCTCTGTGCCTTCATCACATCATGGCAGGGGAAGAATCAGAAGGTTCAGAACCCTGAAGACCAGGACTCCCATGCCTCCTCCTCATAATACCTGGACTCAGGTGTTCTCAGGCATATCCATTAGTATGAATTGAAGTCAACATGTGCCCCCTGCCAGGGGTCAGTCTCATTCTGAGACCTCAGTCTGCCTGCAGAAATAAGCAGTGAATGGATTTCAGGCATGGGCCCAAGGTTCAGGGGGATGTATGTGGTTCCTCTGAGAATAAGGAGGCTGTGTCCTGCCCAGGGTTGTCTCTGCAGACACCTCCTCCCTCTGCTTATATTCAGGGAAGGGTTGCAATTCAGCTCCTGCATATTGGGCTCATTTTGAACTTTAATGACACCAAAAACAAAACAGTTGACTTTGTGACTTGGTTTCCTTTGGGAGTTTAAATAAATATTACTATAGAAATATCATTCTCCTTGTCCAAGGCTTCTCTTCTAAGAGGTGTGAAGATAGAGGAGAATCATATTGGATCCTAGCCTTTCCTCTATGGCTTGTGGAGATTTTGTGGGAAGGCCAGTCAAACATATGGGTGCCCCACGCAGACAGGTTTGAAAGACCTACCTGAGAAGGGGGTTCTGGTTACATCCTTGCCACCCCACCAAATGCTCCCCAAGTCTTTGGGGCTCTATGATTCACCACAAGAGAGTGAGCCCCAGCATTTCAGAACTGACCAGATGCTTAGAGAAAATCTCATTCAGTGGCCTCAGACAGGAAAGAGAAGCTCAGAGAGGGAAGAAATGTAGCATCCCAAGGGGTTAATGGAAGAACTGAGGCTCAAACCCCTGTCTCCTGAACCCAGTCACCTCTGCCTCCACCTCCCTGCCTTCCTTGGCCTGAGGAGTGGCATTCACTGCAGCAGCCCAGGTCCCAGCCAGCCTTTCATCCCTGAGGCCCTGGGCTCAGGAGATCTCAGACTCAATCCTGAGGAGAGAAGACGGAGCAGCCTGTTGGAATGGAAGCTGACCCCAAGTCCACGTCCACAGAGATCAAGGCTCCTGGATCCGAGTCCAGTCCTCTGTTTTTCTCCCACTTTCCTTCAATTTCCAACCGGGGTTCCAGGCTTGCTACCAACATCCCAAGAGTGATATTTTTCGAAGGACACCATCTGCCCATTGTATCAACCCCAGAGGATCTTCTTCCACAGACCCAGGGAGACCAAATAACAACAGCAAACCAAATATCGATGGCATCTGAGCATGTGCCAGGCCATGCTTTAATCCTTTCCGTAGGTTACCTCCTTTAATTCGCACAAGCACCGTCAGAGACAGGTCCACGAGCTGAGTTTGCTAGGACCTTGGCTGGGATAGGACTTGAATTCCTCTGTGAAAATAGAGCCCACTCCGACCCCTTCCATGGATAGATTAGTAGTGGATCTGCCTCTGCTTTTGATGGTAAGAGGCTAGTGAAAGATTCTGGCTTGGGCCTTACACTAGGGTGGAGACTGAGCTAGGATTCGCCTCCAATACAGCCCCCCATGCCCCAGCCCGGGCTCTCAAAGGCTGGGCAAGGGATGGGACCTTCTTCCACCTCTTCACTCCCCGCCCAACCCAAACACACAGAGGTTTCTCCAAGGTGTGTATGCTTCGAGGTCAAGAAGACCCAACAGTGGTCCAGGACACAAACCCCAGTAGGACCTGAGTCTCCAGTGCCTGCCTGAAGCCAGTCATTCTTCCTCACAGCTGGGAGGGGGTCAATAGTGAACACCCATGTGGCTCAGCAGGGCTGGGGGGTGCAGCAGCAAGCCAGCAGTGGACAGGCAGCTGAGCACTGCTGAACTGTTGGCCAGGAAGGCAGAGACCTGTGGAAGGAAGGCCACCAGAGAAGGGTTCAGGTCTCCAGACCCCTTGTTCTTTTGACAGTGCTAGTGTGAGCCCATGGCTAAAATGAGCCTCACCTGTAAAGCTGAGTGAGGCCTCAGTTCAGCCAGTCCTGCCTTTGATAATAACAGCAGCTTAGAGCCAGCCCTGCCCTTGGGCCTGGTTCAGCCCCACCTCCCCGAGGAAACCTGCCTGGCCTCTGTCCAGAGCTCAGAAGCCACATCCCCAGGTCTGCAAGGCTCCTCTAACATTTATCTCACAGGCATCACTTGCCTTGCCATTCACTTTTTCATGTGCATTTTTTTTTTCTATCAAATCTAATTTGATTTGGTACAGTCAAGGCCCTTTCACTGCCAGGATTAAATGTGATTTCTGTTCTGCCAAACGTCAACCGGTGGAGAGGAGCCTCAGCCATCACGCCAAGCCATTTGCCACTCTGATGGAGACACAGGCTGGAGAAGGAAGGCGAGGCCACTCTGCCAGCTGGTGGCTGAGACTTGCCAGGCACCCAGGGCTCCCAGCTGCCTAGCTGCATGGCAGGTCAGGGAAAGGAGGACAAATATTCTCTTAGGCCCTGCAGTAGAACTGAGGTCTAAGAACTGAGAACCGAACCGAATTCCAGAAGCTCTTTGTTCCCAGTTCATTTCCTAGTCCTTAGCCCTGCCCCTCCCACAGTCCCTCACTGGCTGCCCCATTGGCCTGCCTGACCTCATACCCTTGGTTCCTGGGAATAGTGAATTGTTCAACTGGATGAGGAGGGAGGAGAAGAAAAAGAAGGCTGGTGGGTGGAGCAGATCTGAAGAGACGGCCCTGCGGCCTCCAGGTTTCCCTGAGGGGAAATAATGGTTAAGTCGGTGGGGAAGGGGGTGGAGTGTGGTAAGTCATTGGTCAGAGACTGGGGTGCAGAAATGGGTTTAGGAGTAATGCTGAGGTTGATAGTGGCCCAGGTAATAGTGGCTGGATGGAGGAGAGAGTCCCTGAGGATCTGGCAGTCAAGAATCAGGAGCCTGAGTGATGAGAAAGTGATCCCTGTGGAGGAGTCATCAGGGCGTGACAGGTGTGGGTGGAGAGGGGCTGTGGGGGGCCAGGCCAAAGCCCTGACAAACACTGGGCCAGTGGTCAGTGGATGACAGCATCAAGGAGTGGGGAGAGGACTGAGCCAAGTGGTGTAGTGGTGTGAACCACACAGGAAGGGGGATTTCTCACAAACAGAAGGTGGGTGTGGAGCTTTGTATATGGCAGAGGAGCCAGGAGGGGCCCTGCCCTGCCTCCAGGCCTGAGTGAGCACGCAGCCCCCAGAGAAGGTGGAAGGGCAACGGGGTGCCGGCACAGAATGCTTGGTCCAGTTGAGGCAGCTGGGGGGAGCTCACAGAAGGAGCTGGGGTTGCAGTTTTCTGTATGTGGAGTGGCAGTTCCAAAGGGTGTAGTGGAAGATTTGAGTGGTAGGGAAGCTGAGGGCTGGAGTCAGAGGTAAGGGGGACAGAGCATCATGGGGGGATGGCTCTTTAGCAAAGTCAGCTTCTAGAAAGAGGTTCTACTAAGCATCAGGATCCAACAGAACTTTAAATTGTTCCATTCTACCTTCCTTCACTTCAGGGTGTCATTCACTCTCCTCTTTTTCTGGAGGTGGGTACCATCCTGTTTCTAGGGCTCCTTTTTCATTTTGCTGGAATGCCTCCTTGAGTAACTTTCAGACTAGGTGGACAGAAGCTCTTCTTTCAGAGCCACTGCACACATCCAAAAAGGAAGCTGCTGTTTGCTCTGCAACAGTGTAGCTCCCTTTAGCCTGGGAGGGTGAGGAGTCTTTGGGTGAAAATATTTTGCCAGACACACTCTCCTGTCAGTACTGAGTCAGGGAGCTGATGGGAAGGCCAGACCCTTGAGTTCTTCATCTAAGTGGAGGTGTCTTTCCCACACATCCTGCCCACCTCTGCTGTGGAGGTTTTGCCCATGCTCTATTCAGCTTCTCTATTGGACCTTCACAGCTCCAGGAGCCTCTCCCAAAGGCTGCCCTGCTCAAACAGAGCTGGATCAGGCTCTGCAGCTGGGGCAGACAGGAACACAACTGTCCCAGATGTTGGGATTACAGTTCTTTAAGGATTACCCTATGTTTGCTCCTTGGAGCTTGGGGTTTCTCTGGGACTCTTTTGGTGAGAGCCCTGCACATCCCTGGTATACAAGGCTACTGGTCTCGTTGCTTGATTTCTCCACCATCCTGTTGCACCTGCTTCCTGTCTTCCTGGAATTTACCATAATGTCTGGCTGCTGATGGCCTTTCTTGTTTTCCAGCACTCTTATCCTGTCCCTCATGCACACGCATGCACACATGAGCGAATCTTCTGTCATTTCAGAGAGACGCTGGGTAGGAGGGGTGCAGTGTGTGGGCCCAGGCTGCCCCCTTGATCACACTGCCTTTGTCTTTGGAACAGCCCCACACGGTTCAGCTGGAACATTCGAATGGAATTTTTCAAGCACTCCCTGTTCTGGGTTGTCCCCTTTGGAGGCTTCTCACATCCTTGCTTTGCAGCGTTGCTAGGGAAGGCCATGCATTATTTAGGACTATTTTCCTGTGCAACACTCCTCTGCACAAGAAGTAACTTGATAGCTCCGTATCCCAGGGAAAATGAGGGCCCCACCTGGGCTGTGGGGACCATCTGTGTGGATGACGCTTGTTGGCACAGAGTTCATCTGAAGATGCTGCTTGTGTCCCAGCTGTAGTCACAACCCTTTTTGCTGGGGAAACAGTGAAGCTTGTCAACAGAAAACGCTCCAAATTCCAAATGCTTCCTAGATGGGAGCTGAGGTCTCTGTTGGCCATGACAGGGCCAGTCGGTACAGGGATGCCATATTTTAGAAGTAGCATTACTACAGGTAATGATACACTTGACAATTTGCATGATTAAGTGGATTGACACCTAACAGATGCAGACCCTGAGGGCAGAGGAGCCAAGTCATTGAGGAAGAGATGACACTTGATTTGAGTCCAGAAAGATGAGGCATGTTCCTGGCAGGAAGTACAAGGAATGGTGTTCTAGGAAAAAGGAGCAGCATGAGGGGAGTCTCAGGGGCATGAAAGCAATTCTGAGGCTTCGGACACCAAAACCATAGTCTGTGGATAACTGATGAGCACAGTGTCTGCCACAGAGTGTGTGTGTGCTTGCACATGTGTGTGTCTCCTCCTCATTTCATTCCCTGAAAACAAACAGTGCTCAGGTCTATTTGAGTTCAGCTTTCAGGGCTGTCACTCAAACCCTCCCCTATCTGCCGACCATTGTCTAAAATTACAAGAGAATTTCACCTCTTGACTCTAAGATGCTGATCTTTTTTCAAAATATAAATACAGGGTTGGGGTAGGGTAGTGACTTGTGTCTTGGCATCTTCTCACTGCAGGCAGAGAAGACTTCAGAGGGCCCAGGGAAGCAGCTTAAGCCACCAATCTCTGCACCAAGATCTCCACCCATTTCCATCACAGAAACAGGCCATCATAACTGGATGCAATAACTTTCCCCATTTTATTGATAGCTAAACAGAGTCCCTGGGAAGTCCAATGGCTCACCTAGGGTTGTGCAGGTGGTCAGTGATGGAAAATTAAGGAATATTCAGATCACTGGAGAACTTTTGAAATGATTACCTTGTCATATTTTTAGCACAGAACCAGACATCCATCCCTGGCTCCAGGAAATCTTCATCAAGAGCAGAACATTGTTGTCAATTAGGATGATGTACTGAGGCATTTGTAGAACCACAATAAGTAAATTATGACTATTTTTAAGGGTGCTTCCTGGGCTGATGGCCTGAAATAAGACACATTTTAGAGAGAACACCTTTAAGGCAAGGGGCCTGTTACGTCATACCATCATCACAACAGCCCATAGATGGAGGTGTTGCTATCCCCATTTTACAGATGATAAAAATGTGGAGCCACATTTTTCTCCTCTATTAAATGGGTGTTGGGAGCAGAAACTAGGATTCCAAGCCAGCTCCTTCCCCCTACTTTTTCCCATTAGGGCAGGCAGGCAAATGCTTCACTTGTGTTGCGTCTCACCAAGTACTTCTGTCAGTGATTTTTTTTAATGTAAACTTATTTTTGAAGTATAAGATATATGTAGACAGCACACAAATCTTAAGGGTGCTGCTTGATGATGTTTACAAACAACATGCTAGTAGAACCAGAACTCAATTCAAGCAGCAGAAAATTCCAGCCCCCCCTTCCCAACCCCCAGGAATCCCTCATGCCTCCTCCCCATCACTACTCCCTTAAGGTCACCTCTGCCCTAACTTCATCACCTTGCTTTTGCTTCTATACAGAAGACGTCACACAAAATGTACTTTTTCTCACTCAAAGTTATGTCGAAAGATTCCTCCATGCTTTTACATATAATTGTGGTTCCTTCATTCTCGTGGCTGATTAGTGTTCTATATGAAGTTACACAATTTATTTTTACATTCCACTGTTGATGGACAGTAGAATTGTTGCTTTCAGTTTGGTGCTGTTACAAGTAATGCTCCTATGAGCATTTGTGAATGAACATTTTGGTGAACATGTATATGCTTTTCTGTTAGGTGTTTACCCAGGAGATTCAGCAGTTTTAGTCAATGTGGCTAGTTTTCCAAAGTGGTTGTGCAGTTCACGTTGCCACTAAAAGCATTGTGAGCATTCTGGTTGCTCTACATCCTCATCAGCACTTAATACTATCTTTTTCATTTTAGTCATTCTTTTTTTTTCTTTCCTAATTTCAAGTTTTTGGTTTCTTAATTTCAACAGGTGGTTTTTGATTTCATGGAAAAAGTCTTTAGTGGTGATTTATGAAATTTTGATGCACTACTCAATGTGTAGTCTTTTATCCCTCAACCCCCTCCCACCCTTTCCCCCAGGTCCCTAAAGTCCATTATATCTTTGTTTTTTTTTTTGAGATGGAGTCTCACTCGGTTGCCCTGGCCAAAGTGCAGTGGCACGATCTCGGCTCACTGCAACCTCCGCCTCCCGGGTTCAAGCTATTCTTCTGCCTCAGCTTCCCGAGTAGCTGGGACTACAGGTGAGCACCACCATGCCTGGCTAATTTTTGTATTTTTAGTAGAGACAGGGTTTCACCATATTGGCCAGGCTGGTCTCAAACTCCTGACCTCGTGATCCACCCGCCTCGGCACCCCAAACTGCTGGGATTACAGGCGTGAGCCACCGTACCCAGCTTTTATGTCGTTCTTATGACTTTGCATCCTCATACCTTAGCTCTCATTTATAAGTGAGAACATAGATGTTTGGTTTTCCATTCCTGAGTTACTTCTCTTAGAATAATGGTCTGCAACTTCATCCAGGTTGCTGTGAATGCCATTATTTCATTCCTTTTTTATGGCTGAGTAGTATTCCAAGGTGTGTGTATATATATATATATATATTATCATATTTGGTTTATCCACTCATTCATTGATGGGCATTTAGGCTGTTTCCATAATTTTATAACTGTGAATTGTGCTGCTATAAACATGCATGTGCAACTGTCTTGTTCATATAATAACTTATTTTCCTCTGGGTAGATACCTAGTAGTGAGATTGCTAGATCAAACAGTAGTTCTACTTTTAGTTCTTTAAGGAATCTCCACACTGTTTTCCATAATGGTTGTACTGGTTTACATTCCCACCAGCAGTGTAAAAGTGTTCCATTTTCACCACATCTACACAAACATCTGCTATTTTTTGACGTCTGTTATTTCTTAAATTATGGCCATTCTTGCAGGAGTAAGTATTTCATTGTGGTTTTAATTTGCATTTCCCTGATAATTAGTGATGTTGAGCATTTTGTCATATGTTTGTCAGCCATTTGTATATCTTCTTTTGAGAATTTTCTATTCATATCCTTTGCCTACTTTTTGATGGATTATTTGTTTTTTTCTTGCTGATTTGCTTGAGTTCCTTGTAGATTCTGGATATTAGTCCTTTGTCAGATGCATAGTTTGTGAATATTTTCTCCCACTCTGTGTTTACTCTGCTGATTATTTTGCTGAGCAGAAACTTTTTAGTTTAATTAGGTCCCATCTACTTATCTTTGTTTTTATTGCATTTGCTTTTAGGTTCTTGGTCATGAACTTTTTGCCTAAGCCAATGTCTAGAAGAGTTTTTCCTGTTATCTTCTAGAATTTTTATGGTTTCAGGTCTTAGATTTAAGTTTTTGACCCATCTTGAGGTGATTTTTGTATAAGATGAGAGATGAGGATCCAGCTTCATTCTTCAACATGTGACTTGTCAAATCCCAGCACCATTTGTTGAATAGGTTGTCCTTTTCCCACTTTATGTTTTTGTTTGCTTGGTCAAAGATCAGTTGGCTGTGGGTATTTGGCTTTATCTCTGGGTTCTCTATTCTGGTCCATTGGTCTACATGCCTATTTTTATACCAGTACCATGCTGTTTTGGTAACTATAGCCTTGTAGTATAAAGTTGGGTAATATGATGCCTCCAGATTTGTTCTTTTTGTTTAGTCTTGCTTAGGCTATGTGAGCTCTTTTTCAGTTTCATATGAATTTTAGGATTGTTTTCTCTTGTTTTGTGAAGAATGATAATGGTATTTTGATGGGAATTGCATTGAATTTGTAGATTGCTTTTGGCAGTATGGTCATCTTCACAATATTGATTCTACCCATCCATGAGCTTGTTTTGTGTCATCTATGAATTCTTTCAGCAATGTTTGGTAGTTTTCCCTGTGGAAATCTTTCACCTCCTTCATTAGGTATATTCCTAAGTATTTTTCCTTTTTTTTTTTCTTTTCTTTTTTTTTTTTTCTTTTTTCTTTTTTTTTTTTTTTTTTTGCAGCTGTTGTAAAAGGGATTGAGTTCTTGATTTGATTCTGGTCACTGTTGGTGTATAGCAGTGCTACTGATTTGTGTACATTGATTTTGTATACTGAAACTTAACTGAATTCATTTATCAGATCAAGGAGCTTTTTAGATGAGTCTTTAGGGTTTTCTAGGTATACAGTCATATCATCGGCAAATAGCAACAGTTTGACTTCCTCTTTACAGATTTAGATGCCCTTTGTTTATTTCTCTTGTCTGACTGTTCTGGCTAGGACTTCCAGCATATACTGTTGAATAGCAGTGGTGAAAGTGGGCATCCTTGTCTCGTTCTAGTTCTCAGGGGGAATGCTTTCAACTTTTCCCCATTCAGTAGTTTAATGTTGGCATGGGTCTGTAATAGATGGCTTTTATTACCTTAAGATATGTCCCTTCTATGCCAATTTTGCTGAGGCTTTTAATCATAAAGGGATGCTGGATTTTGTCACGTTTTTTCTGCATCTATTGACATGCTTATATGATTTTTGTTTTTAATTATGTTTATGTGATGTATCACATTTATTGACTTTTATATGTTAAACCATCCCTGCATGCCTGGTGTGAAACCTGCTTGATCATGGTTAATTATCTTTTTTGATATGCTGCCGAATTCAGTTAGCTAGTATTTTGTTGAAGATTTTTGCATGTATGTTAATTAGGGATATTGGTCTGTAGTTTTCGTTTTTTGTTATGTCCTTTCCCGGTTTTGGTATTAGGGTGATACTGGCTTCATAGAATAATTTAAGGAGGATTCCCTCTTTCTCTATCTTTTGGAATAGTTTCTTTTTTTTTTTTTGCAGCAATATATCAATTTAATTTGTAAATGAGGTATAACAGGTACACTGCAAAAGATATATAAGCATACTGTTCAGTGAATTCTTAAGTATATACACATGTAATCACCACTCAGATCAATACATAGATTCCCAGCACTGGAACAGGGCTCTCTTATCTTTAATGTCAATAGCACCAACAACCCCAGCCCCACCATCTCACCCCCAAGTAACCACTATTCTCACTTCCATCACCATAGATTAGTTTTGTCTGTTTCTGAATTTTGTATAAGTTGAGTAAAATATAATTGTTGTATGATTCTTTTTACTTTATATTATATATGATTTATAAGATCAGTTATGTATAGTAGAAGTTTTTGTTTTGTGTGGCATTGCATTGTATTAATATACCGTAATTTATTTATCTACTCTCTGATGTACATTTGGGTCACTTCCAGTTTTTCTTTTATTATTATTATTATTATTATTATACCTTAAGTTTTAGTATACATGTGCACAACGTGCAGGTTTGTTACATATGTATACATGTGCCATGTTGGTGTGCTGCACCCATTAACTCATCATTTAGCATTAGGTATATCTCCTAATGATATCCCCCCTCCCCCCACCCCACACCAGTCCCCGGTGTGTGATGTTCCCCTTCCTGTGTCCATGTGTTCTCATTGTTCAATTCCCACCTATGAGTGAGAACATGCAGTGTTTGGTTTTTTGTCCTTGTGATAGTTTGCTGAGAATGATGGTTTCCAGCTTCATCCATTTCCCTACAAAGGACATGAACTCATCATTTTTTATGGCTGCATAGTATTCCATGGTGTATATGTGCCATATTTTCTTAATCCAGTCTATCATTGTTGGACATTTGGGTTGGTTCCAAGTCTTTGCTATTGTGAATAGTGCCACAATAAACATACGTGTGCATGTGTCTTTATAGCAGCATGATTTATAATCCTTTGGGTATATACCCAGTAATGGGATGGCTGGGTCAAATGGTATTTCTAGTTCCAGATCCCTGAGGAATCGCCACACTGATTTCCACAATGGTTGAACTAGTTTACAGTCCCACCAACAGTGTAAAAGTGTTCCTATTTCTCCACATCCTCTCCAGCACCTGTTGTTTCCTGACTTTTTAATGATCGCCATTCTAACTGGTGTGAGATGGTATCTCATTGTGGTTTTGATTTGCATTTCTCTGATGGCCAGTGATGATGAGCATTTTTTCATGTGCTTTTTGGCTGCATGAATGTCTTCTTTTGAGAAGGGTCTGTTCATATCCTTTGCCCACTTTTTGAAGGGTTTGTTTTTTTCTTGAAAATTTGTTTGAGTTCTTTGTAGATTCTGGTTATTAGCCCTATGTCAGATGAGTAGGTTCCAAAAATTTTCTCCCATTCTGTAGGTTGCCTGTTCATTCTGATGGTGGTTTCTTTTGCTGTGCAGAAGCTCTTTAGTTTAATTAGATCCCATTTGTCAATTTTGTCTTTTGTTGCCATTGCTTTTGGTGTTTTAGACATGAAGTCCTTGCCCATGCCTATGTCCTGAATGGTATTGCCTAGGTTTTCTTCTAGGGTTTTTATGGTTTTAGGTCTAACATGTAAGTCTTTAATCCACCTTGAATTAATTTTTGTATAAGGTGCAAGGAAGGGATCCAGTTTCAGCTTTCTACATATGGCTAGCCAGTTTTCCCAGCACCATTGATTAAATAGGGAATGCTTTCCCCATGGCTTGTTTTTGTCAGGTTTGTCAAAGATCAGATGGTTGTAGGTGTGTGGTATTATTTCTGAGGGCTCTGTTCTGTTCCATTGGTCTATATCTCTGTTTTGGTACCAGTACCGTGCTGTTTTGGTTACTGTAGCCTTGTAGAATAGTTTGAAGTGAGGTAGCGTGATGCCTCCAGCTTTGTTCTGTTGGCTTAGGATTGACTTGGCGATGTGGGCTCTTTTTTGGTTCCATATGAACTTTAAAGTAGTTTTTTCCAATTCTGTGAAGAAAGTCATTGGTAGCTTGATGGGGATGGCATTGAATCTATAAATAACCTTGGGCAGTATGGCCATTTTCACGATATTGATTCTTCCTACCCATGAGCATGGAATGTTCTTCCATTTGTTTGTATCCTCTTTTACTTCATTGAGCAGTGGTTTGTAGTTCTCCTTGAAGAGGTCCTTCACATCCCTTGTAAGTTGGATTCCTAGGTATTTTATTCTCTTTGAAGCAACTTTGAATGGGAGTTCACTCATGATTTGGCTCTCTGTTTGTCTGTTATTGGTGTATAAGAATGCTTGTGATTTTTGCACATTGATTTTGTATCCTGAGACTTTCCTGAAGTTTCTTATCAGCTTACGGAGATTTTGGGCTGAGATGATGGGGTTTTCTAGATGTACAATCATGTCATCTGCAAACAGGGACAATTTGACTTCCTCTTTTCCTAATTGAATGCCCACCTTCTCCTGCCTGATTGCCCTGTCCAGAACTTCCAACACTATGTTGAATAGGAGTGGTGAGAGAGGGCATCCCTGTCTTGTGCCAGTTTTCAAAGGGAATGCTTCCAGTTTTTGCCCATTCGGTATGATATTGGCTGTGGGTTTGTCATAGATAGCTCTCATTATTTAGAGATATGTCCCATCAATACCTAATTTATTGAGAGTTTTTAGCATGAATGGTTGTTGAATTTTGTCAAAGGCCTTTTCTGCATCTGTTGAGAAAATCATGTGGTTTTTGTCATTTGTTCTGTTTATATGCTGGATTATGTTTATTGATTTTCATATGTTGAACCAGCGTTGCATCCCAGGGATGAAGCCCACTTGATCATGGTGGATAAGCTTTTTGATGTTTTGCTGGGTTTGGTTTGCCAGTGTTTTACTGAGGATTTTTGCATCAATGTTCATCAAGGATATTGGTCTAAAATTCTCTTTTTTTGTGTGTCTCTGACAGGCTTTGGTATCAGGATGATGCTGGCCTCATAAAATGAGTTAGGGAGGATTCCCTCTTTTTCTATTGATTGGAATAGTTTCAGAAGGAATGGTACCAGCTCCTCCTTGTACCTCTGGTAGAATTCGGCTGTGAATCCATCTGGTCCTGGACTTTTTTTGGTTGGTAAGCTATTAATTATTGCCTCAATTTCAGAGCCTGTTATTGGTCTATTCAGAGATTCAACTTCTTCCTGGTTTAGTCTTGGGAGAGTGTATGTGTCGAGGAATTTATCCGTTTCTTCTAGATATTCTAGTTTATTTTCATAGAGGTGTTTATAGTATTCTCTGATGGTAGCTTGTATTTCTGTGGGATTGGTGGTGATATCCCCTTTGTCATTTATTATTGCATCTATTTGATTCTTCTCTCTTTTCTTCTTCATTAGTCTTGCTAGTGGTCTATCAACTCTGTTGATCTTTTCAAAAAATCAGCTCCTGGATTCATTGATTTTTTGAAGGGTTTTTTGTGTCTCTATCTCCTTCAGTTCTGCTCTGATCTTAGTTATTTCTTGCCTTCTGCTAGCTTTTGAATGTGTTTGCTCTTGCTTCTTTAGTTCTTTTAATTGTGATGTTAGGGTGTCAATTTTAGATCTTACCTGCTTTCTCTTGTGGGCATTTAGTGCTATAAGTTTCCCTCTACACACTGCTTTGAATGTGTCCCAGAGATTCTGATATGTTGTGTCTTTGTTCTCGTTGGTTTCAAAGAACATCTTTATTTCCGCCTTCATTTCCTTGTGAACCCAGTAGTCATTCAGGAGCAGGTTGTTCAGTTTCCATGCAATTGAGTGGTTTTGAGTGAGTTTCTTAATCCTGAGTTCTAGTTTGATTGCACTGTGGTCTGAGAGACAGTTTGTTATAATTTCTGTTCTTTTACATTTGCTGAGGAGTGTTTTACTTCCAAGTATGTGGTCAATTTTGGAATAGGTGTGGTGTGGTACTGAAAAGAATGTATATTCTGTTGATTTGGGGTGGAGAGTTCTGTAGATGTCTATTAGGTCCGCTTGGTGCAGAGCTGAGTTCAATTCCTGGATATCCTTGTTAACTTTCTGTCTCGTTGATCTGTCTAATGTTGACAGTGGGGTGTTAAAGTCTCCCATTATTATTGTGTGGGTGTCTAAGTCTTTTTGTAGGTTACTAAGGACTTCCTTTATGAATCTGTGTGCTCCTGTGTTGGGTGCATATATATTTAGGATAGTTAGTTCTTCTTGTTGGATGGATCCCTTTACCATTATGTAATGGCCTTCTTTGTCTCTTTTGATCTTTGTTGGTTTAAAGTCTGTTTTATCAGAGACTAGGATTGCAACCCCTGCCTTTTTTTATTTTCCATTTGCTTGGTAGATCTTCCTCCATCCCTTTATTTTGAGCCTATGTGTGTCTCTGCACGTGAGATGGGTTTCCTGAACACAGCACACTGATGGGTCTTGACTCTTTATCCAATTTGCCAGTCTGTGCCTTTTAATTGGAGCATTTAGCCCATTTACATTTAAGATTAGTATTGTTATGTGTGAATGTGATCCTGCCATTATGATGTTAGCTGGCTATTTTGCTCGTTAGTTGATGCATTTTCTTCCTAGCCTCGATGGTCTTTACAACTTGGCATGTTTTTGCAGTGGCTGGTACCAGTTGTTCCTTTCCATGTTTAGTGCTTCCTTCAGGAGCTCTTTTAGGGCAGGCCTGGTGGTAACAAAATCTCTCAGCATTTGCTTGTCTGTGAAGTATTTTATTTCTCCTTCACTTATGAAGCTTAGTTTGGCTGGATATGAAATTCTGGGTTGAAAATTCTTTTCTTTAAGAATGTTGAATATTGGCCCCCACTCTCTTCTGGCTTGTGGAGTTTCTGCCGAGAGATCAGCTGTTAGTCTGATGGGCTTCCCTTTGTGGGTAACCCCACCTTTCACTCAGGCTGCCCTTAACACTTTTTCCTTCATTTCAACTTTGGTGAATCTGACAATTATGTGTCTTGGAGTTGCTCTTCTTGAGGAGTATCTTTGTGGCGTTCTCTATTTCCTGAATTCGAATGTTGGCCTGCCTTGCTAGATTGGGGAAGTTCTCCTGGATAATATCCTGCAGAGTGTTTTCCAACTTGGTTCCATTCTCCCAGTCACTTTCAGGTACACCAATTAGATGTAGATTTGGTCTTTTCACATAGTCCCATATTTCTCGGAGGCTTTGTTCATTTCTTTTTATTCTTTTTTCTCTAAATTTCTCTTCACGCTTCATTTCATTCATTTCATCTTCCATCGCTGATACCCTTTCTTCCAGTTGATCGCGTCAGTTACTGAGGCTTGTGCATTCGTCACGTGGTTCTTGTGCCTTGGTTTTCAGCTCCATCAGGTCCTTTAAAGACTTCTCTGCATTGGTTATTCTAGTTATCCATTCGTCTAATTTTTTTTCAAAGTTTTTAACTTCTTTGCCATTGGTTCAAACTTCCTCCTTTAGCTTGGAGTAGTTTGATCTTCTGAAGCCTTCCTCTCTCAACTCGTCAAAGTCATTCTCCATCCAGCTTTGTTCCGTTGCTGGTGAGGAGCTGCGTTCCTTTGGAGGAGAGGCGCTCTGAGTTTTAGAGTTTCCAGTTTTTCTGCTCTGTTTTTTCCCCATCTTTGTGGTTTTATCTATGTTTGGTCTTTGATGATGGTGACGTACAGATGGGTTTTTGGTGTGGATGTCCTTTCTCTTTGTTAGTTTTCCTTCTAACAGACAGGACCCTCAGCTGCAGGTCTGTTGGAGTTTACTGGAGGTCCACTCCAGACCCTGTTTGCCTGGGTATCAGCAGCGGTGGCTGCAGAACAGCGGATATTGGTGAACCGCAAATGCTGCTGCCTGATTGTTCCTTGGGAAGTTTTGTCTCAGAGGAGTACCCGGCCGTGTGAGGTGTCAGTCTGCCCCTATTGGGGTTGTCTCCCAGTTAGGCTACTCGGGGGTCAGGGACCCACTTGAGGAGGCAGTCTGCCCGTTCTCAGATCTCAAGCTGCGTGCTGGGAGAACCACTACTCTCTTCAAAGCTGTCAGACAGGGACATTTAAGACTGCAGAGGTTATTGCTGTCTTTTGTTTGTCTGTGCCCTGCCCCCAGAGGTGGAGCCTCCAGAGGCAGGCAGGCCTCCTTGAGCTGTGGTGGGCTCCACCCAGTTTGAGCTTCCTGGCCACTTGGTTTTACCTACTCAAGCCTGAGCAATGGTGGGCACCCCTCCCCCAGCCTCGCTGCCGCCTTGCAGTTTGATCTCAGACTGCTGTGCTAGCAATGAGTGAGGCTCTGTGGGCATAGGACCCTCCGAGCCAGGTGCGGGATATAATCTCCTGGTGTGCCGTTTGTTTAAGGCGTTGGAAGAGCGCAGTATTAGGGTGGGAGTGACCCGATTTTCCAGGTGCCACCTGTCACCCCTTTCTTTGACTAGGAAAAGGAATTCCCTGACCCCTTGCACTTCCCAGGTGAGGCGACGCCTCGCCCTGCTTTGGCTCATGCATGGTGCCCTGAACCCACTGTCCTGTACCCACTGTCCGGCACTCCCCTGTGAGATGAACCCGGTACCTCAGTTGGAAATGCAGAAATCACCCATCTTCTGCATCGCTCACGCTGGGAGTTGTAGACTGGAGCTGTTCCTATTCGGCCATCTTGGCTCCACCCCCCCAGTTTTTCAATATTACATATTAAACTGCTATTGGGTTGTGTCTGCACCAGCCAGGAGCTTTCCCTGACACAGAAGAGGGAGATGATCTGAAAGTCTATAGGCAGCAGCAACAGCAGTGGAATAGTTTCGGAAAGATTAGTACCAATTCTTCTTTGAATACCTGATAGAATTCAGCTGTGAATCCATCTGGTCCTTGACTTTTTTTTTGGTGGCAATTTTTTATTACCATTTCAATTTCACTATTTGTTACTGGTCTGTTCGGAATTTCTATTTCTTCCTGATTTAATCTAGGAAGGTTGTATATTTCAAGAAATTTTTCTATCTCCTTTAAATTTTCTAGTTTGTATGTGTAAAGGTGTTAATAATCCCCATGAATGCACTTTTGTATTTCTGTGGTATCAGTTGTAATATCTCCTGTTTTGTTTCTAATTGAACTTATTTGGATCTTCTCTTGTCTTTTCTTGGTTATTCTCATTAATGGTCTATCAGTTTTGTTTATCTTTTCAAAGAACTGGCTTTTTGTTTTATTTATCTTTTGTATTTTTTGTTTCAATTTCATTTAGTTCTGCTGTGATCTTTGTTATTTATTTTCTTCTGCTGAGTTTGAGTTTAGTTTGTTCTTGTTTCTCTAGTTCCTTGAGGTATGACCTTAGATTGTCTATTCATGTTCTTTCAGCTTTTTGATGTAAGCATTTAATGCTATGAACTTTCCTCTTAGCACTGCTTTGACTGTATCCAAGAGGTTTTTGTAAGTTGTGTCACTATTATCGTTCCATTCAAAGAAATTTTACATTTCCATCTTGATTTCATTGTTGACCCAAAGATCATTCAAGAGCAGATTATTTAATTTCCATGTATTTGTATAGTTTTGATGGTTCCTTTTGGAGTTAATTTCCAATTTTATTCCACTGTGGTCTGAGAGGATACTTGATATAAGTTTGATTTTCTTAAATTTATTGAGACTTGTTTTGTGGCCTATCATGTTGTCTATCTTGGAGAATGTCCCATGGGCTGAAGAAAAGAATGTATATTCTGCAGTTGTTGGGTAGAATGTTCTGTAAATATTTGTTAAGTCCATTTGTTCTAGGGTATAGTTGAACTCCATTGTTTCTTTGTTGACTCTGTCTTGGTGAACTGTCTAGTGCTGTCAGTGGAGCATTGAAGTCCCCCACTATTGTGTAGTTGTCTATCTCATTTCTTATGTCTAGTCATAATTGTTTTATAAATTTGGGAGCTCCTGTGTTAGGTACATATATATTTAGGATTGTGATATTTTCCTCTTGGAGTGATCCTTTCATTATGATATAATGTCCCTCTTTGTCTTTTTTTTTTTTTTTTTTTTTTTTTTTTTTTGAGACAGAGTCTCGCTCTGTCACCCAGCCTGGAGTGCAGTGGCATGATCTCAGCTCATTGCAAGTTCCACCTCCCAGGTTCACACCATTCTCCTGCCTCAGCCTCCCGAGTAGCTGGGACTACAGGCACCCGCCACCACGCCCAGCTAATTTTTTGTGTTTTTAGTAGAAATGGGGTTTCACCGTGTTAGCCAGGATGGTCTCCATCTCCTGACTTTGTGATCTGCCCACCTTGGCCACCCAAAGTGCTGGGATTACAGGTCTGAGCCACCACGCTTGGCCCCCTCTTTGTCTTTTTAAACTGTTGTTGCTTTAAAACCTGTTTTGTCTGTTATAAGAATCGCTACTCTTGCTTGCTTCTGGTTTCCATTTGCATGGAATATCTCTTTCCCCACTTTACCTTAAGTTTATGTGAGTTCTTGTGTGCTAGGTGAGTCTCTTGAAGACAGCAGATACTTGGTTGGTGGATTTTTATTCACCTTGATGTGGTACTCTCCTGCTTCCCCTAGGGACGGGGCTACCTGAGAGCTGGACTGCAAAGATTGGTATTGCTCTTCTGGGTCTAACCATGCAGTGGGGCTACCAGGCTCTTGGCTGGTGCTGGGAGATGTTTGCAAAGAGTCCTATGATGGGATCTGTCTTCAGGTCTCCCAGCTGTGGATACCAGCACCTGCTCTGGTGGAGGTGGCAGGGGAGTGAAGTAGACTCTGTGAGAGTCTTTGGTTATAGATGTTTAGTGTGCTGGCTTTCTCTAATGCTGGTTATGCTAGCAGTGAGATTGTAATATGGACAGACTTGGGACCCACTTGCTAGCCAGGATTTGGCATGCAGTGGAATTAACTCCTGTTTCTCCTTCCTTGGAGCAAGGTTGTTCTGTCATGAGTTGCTGTAATGTCCTGAGTTGGTTGGCCTCCAGCCAGGAGGTGGTGCTTTCAAGAGAGCACCAGAGTTTTTTTCCTGTTTCACAGAATTTGCAGTGGCCTGCTCCTTCTTTTCATTATGTTATTTTAATTACATCTGAGAGTTACAGAATGAATAAAAATTTAGAAGTAGACAAACATATGAGTCCTCATTTTTACATTAATATATAAATGTAAGTAGACAATAAAAAGTAGAAGAAAAGCCTATTTTTAGAAAAGACCAAATTAATAGCTCCTAACAGTGTCAGGGACATTTATTTGTTCATCAGTTGAGTCTGCATAGACAATCTTTGAATCACCACAGCTGTTTGAGCAAACCTGGATTGGAGGACAAGCTATGCAGTTAACTCTGAATTTTGGCTAAATATTTGACAACTTCTAAGCAGATCCTATCAGACGTCTTCATCACTCCAGACTTCAGTCCCAGGCATCACAGGAAAGAGGATATCATCATTTTAGTCTTCCTTGTTGGTATGTGGCAGAGTCATATTATGGTATTAATTTCTACTTTCCTGATGATTCATGAAGTTGAGCACTTTTACATATGTTTATTGGCCATTTGGATATTCACCTTTATGAACAATGATTCTTTTTCGGTTTTATCTTTAGTCAAAAAATAGTTCTAAGAATAGCTCCCATACTGGAAAATTCTGTGCTTCCTTTCCTATCCAGGTGATTATTTCCAAGCTTTGACATTTGGTAGTTCTAAGAAAAGCCTCAAAGCCAGGAGAGGTGAGAAAGAAGAGCCAAGAGAATGGGCGCAGCCAACGTTGGGCACTCTCCGAGCTCTTAAAGTTCCACAGTGGGGGCAGGAACTCAAGGACTTTCTCTGTGCACTTTGGAATTGTCAGTTTACTCTCCCCTCAGAAGTTCGGAGAGATGATTTATATTTCACATTTAGAGCTAGCAACGTACTCTGAACTCCTTTTCCTTCTTCCTTTGGAATTTAGAATCTAGATTGATTTCAGTGACTGCAGAGAGATGAAGATAAAAGACATTCTGTCCTCTTCAGCCCCTAATTGGGCAGGCAACACACAGGGAGTTGGGTTTGCTGACAAGGCTAAGCATTTTGGGCGTTGAATACCTATTATGTGCCTAGGGCATTAAAGTGATAAGAAAATCTCTTAAGGTCTGCCAATGATTTTGAAATTTTAACAGCTCAGTTTTCCTGATGCCAGATGGGGGACAGGGAGTGGGAGAACTGGGTACAAGGGTGTTGCTGGAGGAGAGATGGGGACACCCTGAGGGAGGGTTGTCAAATGTTGGCCTAGGCACAGTGATTGGGTGACTGGGAGGTGAGCGATCAGCCTTCTGCACCTGGAAAATAGGGCATGGCTGGGCTTCCCCTGTCCAGCCTCATTTTGTATGAGGATCGATATACTGTCTCCATATTTGACTATTCTGAAGATTTTGTACAAGTGGAATTATACAATAAAAATAATAATTATTTTAAAAAGAGAATACAAAAAATTAAAAAAAAAAAAAGATAAAAAAGAGGATACAGAGGTGAGTGTTTGGAGTCACTAGTGCTCCCTGCAGATAGCCTTGGGATCTGGCCTCAAGTGAAGGAGAGCTGGATGTACTCTTGTGCACAGCTTCCAAAGCATGCTCCCCAAGCCCCACTTTAATTTTAATGGCTCCCCTTATTAACTCTGCAGCTCAGGTAAATAAAAATTCCTATAAAACATATTCTCGACTCTTGACTACATTCCCATGTAAAAAGTACTTCACTGCAGGTTGTGATAAAAAAATGTTTGAAAGCTGCAGGCCTCGGGTGGATCTGTAGAGGGCCTTTCTCTGTGGTACTATTCCTATCACAACTCTTGTGTTAGTATTTACCACTCAACAGTTTTGTTGTATCTTAGTACATTATAGGATGTTTATGAAATATCATTTATTCTATTACCAAAAAAGTATTAAGATGCAGGTTCAGGCTTCCAGCATACTCCTGGAGGACTGGGGAAACCAGGCCTGTACAAACCATACCAGATGCCATGTGACCACCATCATCATCTTCCTTCCAGCTGATGCTAACTGATCAGCACTGTTCCTCTCCCCACAAACCTCCAGGCTGTCCTGTTTTATTCCTCCTTTGCCTTTGCCTGTTCTCTCTGCCTAGGATACCCTCCCCACCCTTATGTGCCTTTAACCCTCCTATTCACTCTTCAAAACCCCATTATGTGTCCTCTCTGTGAAGCTTTCAAACAGCTCTTCTATATAAGAAATTCCCAGTTTCTGTACCTGTATATTTAAGAATTATTGCATATATTACACTCTATTAAAATGATTCACCTATTTAAAATCCCAGATCATGAGCCTCCACCACCCCCCTACCTGCCCCCACCCTCTTCCAGAGCTGCCTCTGGTGCTAGCTTAGTTATCCCTGTATCCCCAGGGCTAATCAAAGGGCCTGGACCAGAATAAGAGCTTAATAAGGGGGTCTGCAATAAACCTAGTTAAAGTTGGTTTAACTGGTCCTATGTCCAGTGGTTCCATTATTTATGGATTTTAACTTACAAATTTTTCCAGAACTAGGTGCTGGAAGAAAATGTAACCCGCTGCTGACCATCAAGGAAAGCTATAGGGGAAGTTTCAGGGTTCACAGGCATTTCAGACAGCCTCTCAGAATCTAACCTGTTTGTAGAGGAAACCCCTCTGCAGATCCACCCAAGGCCACCAGCTTTTAAACATTTTCCATCATGACCTGAAGTGAGAAGTCCTTTTCACATTAAGACACACCAGGCCGGGCGCGGTGGCTCACGCCTGTAATCCCAGCACTTTGGGAGGCCGAGAAGGGCGATCACGAGGTCAGGAGATCGAGACCATCCTGGCTAACACAGTGAAAGCCCGTCTCTACTAAAAATACAAAAAATTAGCCGGGCTGGTGGCGGGTGCCTGTAGTCCCAGCTACTAGGGAGGCTGAGGCAGGAGAATGGCGTGAACCCAGGAGGCGGAGCTTGCAGTGAGCCCAGATTGTGCCACTGCACTCCAGCCTGGGCGACAGAGCAAGACTCCATCTAAAAAAAAAAAAAAAAGACACGCTGAACACCTACATCAGAGACCAGAGACAAGGCTTTCATGAAACAATATTTATCCTTGCTATGGGTATTGCTCCCATTTTCTCTTTTTTTAAAAAAAATTATGGCTGGTCACCACCCATTGAATTGATTTTGTGACTCTTTAGTCTCACTGGTTGCATTCCACAGTCTAATGAACACTCCTCTAGGCCTTCAGCTTATGTAACCAGAGAAATCTTCTCCAAGGAGAAGCCATTGACCCTGAAGGCCAGCTCAGAGGAGCAGGCAGGAGGCGGTATGCAGTGGGGGCTGGGATGAGAAGGTGCCAGGATGGCACAGGGCACACTCTAACTGCTTCCCTCTCATTGCAGCCGAGCCCCTGCCACTGATGGACCTGTGCCGGAGATCCATCCGCTCGGCCCTGGGCCGCCAGCGCCTGCAGGACATCAGCTCCCTGCCCCTGCCTCAGTCTCTCAAAAACTATCTGCAGTACCAGTGAGCCAAGCCTGATGGGCAGCACAGACACAGACACACACCGCAGGGCCCGACCCTCCTGTCATTCACAGTCCCATGGCACATAGGGGAAAGGATCTACCCTTCTCCTGGCTCCCCAGGACACTCAGTTCTTTCAAAGACCAGGATGTGGTACCAACTTTGGAAACGAAAGGTCTCTTGCCAACAGTATCTACTGCCCTCGAGGCAGCCCTCCCAAGTCAGACACCTCCTTCGGAGCCACAGAGAGCCTGGAGTCTGCACCTCCTGGAAATCCTGCCACCAACCAGGACACAGCAGCCACCGTATTGATCAGAGAGCCTGTTTCCTTATTCAAGAGAATGAATAAAACATTTAGGCAGGAGACTTTCTATTGTGTGCCCCGTTGCAGACAGGGCCAGGGAGAAATTAGCCAGTGCAGGGGGAAAATTGCCTCTGAATAATGAATGATGAAAGCCTGACGCCGTGCCCCTCCTGGCCCATACGCCTTGCCAGGGCGGCAGGATTGTCACACCGTTTTAGGACTCTGTGCCACTTTGAGAGACTGTTCCCAGGAGGCCCAACCGCAGACCTGGCAAGTGGACAGTGCAGTGTGGAGACACCTTCCGGCTTACCTCTTTGAACGTTGTTTACCTACCCCTTTCCACGTGCTCCCCTTCCCAGCCACTGACTCACAGTTCTCTGGATGCCCAGACACCTCTCTTCAGGGAAGATGAGTCTGACTGGTTTGCCCCAGGGAAGAGCATATCCTTACCATTATTTTAAGTAGCATTTGCATTTTAAAAGAGGAATGCGGAGAGGACAGTACTTAGTCCAAAGGTGCTAACGGGGGAACTGGGGGCATTGTGACACCCAAGTCTGATGTGTCCTGGGTTGGGGGGCCTTCCTGGAGTGTCAGGGTCTCTGGGCAACGTCCATTCAGGGTGCGGCATGGCTGTCACAAAGCTTTATTTGAGCAAATTATTTTTTCACTTTAGGAGACTTCTACAAGTTTGTTTCCTGTTTCAAATGTGTGTGTGATGTGCTGTTTATTTATCAGCTTGAGGTCCATGGGGGCAGCCTTGTGACTGGAAGGGTGGATATGGGAGACACATTCTCTACCTGCTCCGAGCCTGGTCCTCTCGCAGGAATGCTGCTGCTGCCTCCGCCGCCACTGCTGCTGCCACCTCTTATATGTTTCAGACACTCTCTGCCCAGACTCATTTTTAACTGGAAATCATCACAGCAGTGGGATATCAGAGCCCCAGACAGCACTGCCTCTTCCTCCCCACCCCACTGCCCCCACCTTAATGTGAATTTGACTGATGAATGAAGAGCGTTTCTAATAAAGTTTGTCATTCAGTCCTTCAGCTGCGTATTAAATGTTGTTTGGGGAGGGACCCAGAGAGCTTCTTCCATCAACCTGCCTGGTCCGTCAGACTGATAGAAGCCAGGCACGTGAATCCCTCTTTAGACATTTCTTGTCTCTTCTGACTTGTGGTCCTTGCTTGAGCCCAAACTCCAGCTATTTTGCAAAGGCCTGCCCTGGACAAGAGAATGTGCCTGTGTCCTGGGTACATGCAAAGCTGACCTTATGGTGGAGAAACAACTCAGCCTCCTGTTGCCAGAGCCAAGGGGTAGCCCTGCAAAGGGGCTTAGGGTCAGGCAGGGCAAACCCTATGGAACACCAGTTTCCAAGTGGACTGGAGGTGGGGCTGGATGTGACTGTAGTGAATGCATGTTGTCACCAAGGAGCAGTGCAAATTGTTGAAGCATGAGTGTAAAGAAAGGCCAGGCTCAGAGCTGATAGCAGTTCAGGAGTTAGAGTCAGGATAGGGTCTGGGTAAGGACTGGAATAGCATTCATTCAGCAGTACCAGCCAACAGCATGCGCTGTGCCAATTTCCAGGGACCCAGCGCCCAGGCTGATATATCTCATCTCCAGAGATGTGTAGTACAGCATAATAAAGTGAGAAGGAGCTCATGAAGAGGGGTGGATGAGAATAGAATATGAAGGGAAGGCTTCCTGGAGGAAGAGGCACTCTCCAGACTTGTTATTTTAAGGGCAGACAAGCTTCCTGAGGACCACCAAGAGACCAAACTTGCAGCACCTGCCCCCAGGGTAATGTTTCCAGCTCTGACCTCGGGGCTGGGCTCCGCATCAGGCAGCTTTCAGTCATTTTGTTTGCCAAAGGCAGCTTCCTGTGGCCATGACATGGAGGCTTTGAGGCTTTGTGTGTAGGAAGCCTGGGTTTGAGTCCCAGCTTCATCGTTTATGTGCTATGACCTTGGGGAAGTCACTTCCTTCTGTGCACACTGTGCTGGCTGAGCCAGGTAGCCAGTAACTGGGAACTCTTCCTCTCCCAGCTCATGGAGTCCCCATCTCAGCACCAGCTTTCCAGCTTGGATGCATCTGTCTTATCTCGGCTTCCAAGCCTCACTTATGTGGTTTCCCTCACCCTAACAATGTCCTCCCCATCTTTACCCTCTCAAGGATCTGGCTTAGCGTGGCTTCCTTGAGGAAGCCCTCTTTAACCACTCCCCCCATCTCTGCTTCTTCTGAGAATTCAGCTCTTCATGTCCTGACCTGAGGATGCCACTCCTGGGGCCCAGGACCCTCTCCTGAGCACAGGGACTTGAGCTCCTTTGCCCTGTGGTCTCACCTGCCCAGGGAGCTGTGGACCTTTGACGGGCAGGGCCTCTGCCTGCTCCTTCCCACACAGCCCAGACCAGACACATGGGCTCAGCAAAGATGGAGTGGTGGGTGAAGGTGCCCCTGCAGCTGGGATGACCATGGGAAACTGCAAGGAGGAGCGGGGAAGGGAGGATCCTCCCAGAGCCAAGAACCTGGCCTTGAGGCTCACGGATCTCTTGCCCTTTCATTCCCTCACCTTTTCCCAGGTATTTATAAGGCATTTTTCATGCACTCAGCACTATTATGAGAACATGAATAAGGAAATCTGGCCCTGCCATATCAGAGCTCACATTCTAAGGGAGAGACAGGACACACAAGCAAAGAAACAGATGATGTCAGAGGGCGGAGATGAGCAGCGGGTAGGCTAGAGCCAGGGAGCAAAAGGGACCCAGTAATTGAGGGTGATGGGGGGAGGCCCTCTGGGAAGATGCTGAGTACTGAAGAAATGAGAGGGAGCCAAATACCTGAAAGGGCGTGGATCTCCAGGTCATGGGGGGACTTCTGGCTCTCCCAACCTTCTCAAAGTGGGAACTCCCGAGCCCCAATGAGTTGAGCTGAGGAAAGGAAGCCCCTGTGCTGCCACTCCTGCCCAAGCCGCAGCTCAGCATCCCTGTGTGTGTGAGCCCCACACACCTCCAGGCTTGCTTGTGCAATTGTGCTCCCTGCAGGCATGCAAGTGCACCCACACACAGACACACACACGACCAAGGGCCTCTCCCCAGCAGACATCCTGGGAGCTCATGACCACCCCCCAGCGCCAGAGTCCATTATAACCCGGGCCCAGCCCCCTCCCATGCTTGGCACATTCTCTAAAGTTTGGCCTCTCCACGACCCATTTCCAGCAGGGGGACTTGCCAAAGCAGTCTCGCTAGTCACTTTGTAATTGTCTACGAATAGAGCATATGGTGGCACCGTCCCCCACAGATCTGATGATCCCCATGAGCACCCTGTTTCACTCTACCCCATTTGACATTCCCATATTCTGAGTAAAGCCACCCTTTTTCCCTTGCTTTCCTCCTCTGTCATCTGCACTAGCAGCTGGCTCCTGTGTGGGTTATCTTTCACTAGGAAACAAACATTTCATCTCCTTACAGTGTTACAGAAGAAGTGGGAGCAGGTAGCAAGTAACCCCATTATATGGCAGTTGATTTGTGCCAGGGCAGCTGTCTCTGTCCCCAGGGCCTTGGTCCCAGCCACAGCCTCTGAACAGGCGGCGCATATTTGCCAAGTCAGAAGAACAGGGAACCACACAGCATTACTCTTCAGGTCCCTAACAAGGAGTGGAAATGCCCAGTTTTAGTCCAAAACACAAGAAAATTGGTCCACTCTTGCCTATAGTTCTGGGTGCTTGGATCTCATTCCAGCCTACAGATTTGTTTTGTTATCATACTTGTGTGTGTGTGTGTGTGTGTGTGTGTGTGTGTGTGTGTGTGTGTGTGTGCGCGCGCGTGTGTTTTAATAAAATTGAGCCTAACAAAGAAAAATCAAGTAATTTAATAGAAAAATCCAGATTTCAGACTTCTCTTGAAAAATGGGGAGAGGTGTTAAAGCCAGGCCCACATTCCTTCATGGTGAGGTTGGCCAAAGCTGAGTAAAGGAAAGGCCTCTGCTCTGTGGTCCAGCCCTACGTCCAACCCTCCCACAACATAGCACTGGGACCTCTCACTGCCGCCACCCTCAAGGGCGTTCACTCCCTGCGTCTGGGCTAAGGCTTCTGAGTTTGCTTCTCTGGACTATTGGTATAAGACACATAAGTGGGTAGTAAGTACCCACACGTAGGCGTGCACACACATACACACACACGCGTGCACACACACACACCCACGACAGAGGGAGGGCTCAGGAGGGGAGAGTCTGCTAGCTCTGCACTTGACTTTGAAGTCTCTCCAGCCTCAGCCACCAATATTCAAGGAGCTCACAGATGCCCAGGATCTTTACTCAGACACCAGAGAAACCCAGGTGTTCCTGGCTAGATGGTGAACTCCTAGAGGACAAGGACAAGAATTCTCAGGGCCTATTTGTAATGAGCTGGGTGACATGATTAGACAGCCTGGCTGCACATTAGAATCCCTTGAGGAACTTTGTAAAAAGGCCCAGTGTACAGGCCCTTCTTCAGTCCAATTAAATCAGGACCTCTGTGGGTAGGGCCGGGCCATGGCAGTTTTTAAAGCTCCCTAGATGGTTCTAATGCTCAACTAGGGCTGAGAACCACTGGATAAGGCGCTTAATTAAGTCAGCTCCTTGAAGAGGTGGTTGACGTTTGTGAGAATGCACATCCTAGACCAGAAAACGCTGGCCCAGGCTCCCTGCATTCCCACAGCCGACGGGATACTGAGTGGTGGGAGTCCCCAGTGTGGCCAGGTCCAAAGGCAGGGAGTCCCTCCCAGCCCTTCTTCCCCCTTTCCAGCGATGCCGAGCTGGTTGCTCCTGAGCATGGGGGAGAAAGGACCAGCCACACCTGCCCTGATGCTGCACAATTCTTGACAAATTGACTGCAGCCCCACTCGCTCCCTGACCTGTGAGGCCCAAGCTGTGGGGCAGTCTTCCCAGACAGCATTGTCCTGAGCAATCAGAATAACCGTAGAATTAGAAGTGAAGAGCAGACTGAGAATGGCTTGGTCTTCAATGTACTATTTTGAATAGAAAAATTTGAGCTTATGAGAATTTGAGATAGTGAGTGGTTTGGTTCCTGGCATTTCCAAACCTTGCTTTCTTAAGGCCAGGTAACACATTTGGCCAATAATAAATAATAAATTATAATTATAAATTATATGCTTATCATTATAATTATAATTTATATTTATATTTGTATTTATAAATTATATAGTTATAATTATAAAATTATGCCCTTCACACACACACTTCTAGGTTTTAGAGTAAAATGAGCCATGAACAAGCCAAGCCTGGCTTGATGGCAGTGTTAGTGTCCCCAGCTGCTCTGCCTCTTCAATAAGCAGGGCTCTTTCCCTGGGAGGAGGCCTGGTACTGGGTGAGTGCAGCCCAGTTAGTCCATGGAGGAGGATCAGGGTAGGTCATTTCCCTTCTTCCAACCAGCTCCAGGGGCCTCAGTAACACTGTTCCTATGCCTGGGGATTTCCATTCAAGGGAGATAATATGTTGATGATTTGCTGCACAGTGATGGCATTTAAAAAAAAAAAGAGTTGCCTGTTACTTGCCTGATTCAACAAATGGCTCTGTACCAAGCTCTGTGCAAGCTCAAGAACACTCCTGCTGCCCGAGAGCGCCCCTACACCTCAGGGAGACCAACAGGCAAACAGGTGTCAACTGCCTGCTGACAGGATGGGCAGCAGGCCAGTGGAGAGAAGGCACAACAGAAACAAGTGCTGGAGTGTAGAGAGCATAGAGTGTGGTGGGGAGTGTTGAGGAATCCCAGACAACAGAGGAGAAGCTACATGGGGTGGCTCGGGGGACACACACTGATGAAGGGTGGGGCCTTGCAAGTCACACTCAGGAATAAAGGTTTGGGATTTGTCTTAGTAAGTTCGTGTTGCTATGACAAAGTACCACAGACTGCATAGCTTGTAAATAACCGGAATGTAAATATTCCTCACACTTTTAGAGGCTGGAAGTCCAAGATCAGGGTGCCAGCATGGTCAGTTTCTGGCAAGGGCCCTCTTCCGGGTTGCTGACTGCTGACTTCTCATTGTGTCTTCACATGGCAGCGAGCAAAAGAGCTCCCTAGGGCCTCTTTTATAAGGGCACTAATCCTATTCATAAGGCTCCACTCTCACAACCTAATTAGGTCCCACCTCCTAGTACCATTATGTTGAGGGTTAGGATTTCAACATATGAACTTTGGAGGGACACAAATAGTCAGTCCATAACAGTATGGGTCAATGTTCTAGGAGGAAACAGCTAGCACACTGAAATAGTAGACTGAAGAGAGTTCAGTAAGAAAGGGACTATTTACAGATGCATGGGCAGAGTTCGGGGAAACCAGCAGCTGAGGGTGAGGAACCCTGGGGTGGCAACACTGGGAGGGAAAACCATTAGCATCCCTAGGCTCAAAGGGCCAATAAAAGGGAGCAGTAACTGGGAAAAGAAAAAAACACAGCTGTAAGAGAGAGCCACCCAACAGGAGATACGAGGTTAGATGGAGGAACAGAGCCACAGCCACTGCCAACTAAAGCCTGGCAAGGAGGAAGCAGGACATAAATATTCTCACTTGCCCTTGCTCTTCCTCTCATCTCCTGTCTGTGCCTCCCACTGGCTGAAACTCAGGAGCACAGCAGACAAGGGAACCTGATTGGTATCATCCACAGACATCAGCTTTCTACACACAGAGCAGGGCAGAGGAGGAGGGAGAGTGGACGAGTGTCAGGAGAAGACTATATGCAACAGACTTTATCTATAGGATAAACAAACAAAATTGCAAAAATGCAAAACTTGAGTGCATAAATAGATAAAAGCTAATTTGTTTCAAATGTGGGTGGGGGACTTTTGAACCCCACTCCCGTACCTCTCCCATCTGAACATCAGATGCTAAATACCTGAAACACCTCCAAAGAGCCTTAGGTTATCATCAAAATTACATTATTCCTAAAGTACAACCCAAATGTGTGACACAAACAGGTAGGTCCAGAGCCTAGAACTAGATTTTGTAAATGCTGTTGCAAGAGCGACAGAGGATTTGAAGTGGGAATGATGAGGTCCAGTTTGTGTTTTTGTACAGCCTTCCTGCAGGGTCTTTGGATGGGGGCTTAGCAAGTCAGCAGGAGTAGAGGTGGGTAGCGGGCATGGTGGCTCATGCCTGTAATCCCGGCACTTTACAAGGCCAAGGCAGGCAGATCACTTGAAGTCAGGAGTTCAAGACCAGCCTGGCCAACATGGAGAAACCCTGTCTCTACTAAAAATACAAAAATTAGCTGGGTGTGGTGGCCCACACCTGTAGCCCCAGCTACTTGGGAGGGTGAGTCAGGAGAATTGCTTGAACCTGGGAGTCAGAGGTTGCAGTGAGCCAAGATTGTGCCATTGCACTCCAGCCAGGGTGATGGAGCAAGACTCCATCTCAAAAAAAAAAAAAAAAACCAAGAGTACAGGTGGGGAAATTGAGGGAAAGGCTGTTGGTTCTAGGGAGAAAAACAGGGCCTGAATGAAGTCCATGGGAGTAGGGGCTGGGAAAGAGAGCTGCTGCAAACAGGCCAAGTCCACAGAGATTAGTGACTTGGTGCATGCAGGACTCCGGCAAGAAAAGAAGTGAGGACACTCGCAATCCATTCATTCACTTGTTCTCTATACATTTATTCGGGGCCTGCTATGTGTGAGGCACTGCTGTTGATGCAGAGGACACTACAATGAAGAAAACAAATATAAAATCTGCACCCTTGGAGAGCTTATACTCTAGTACAAAAGGTGCATAGACAGGTAACCTGGTAAATGTAAAGTATCTCACATGCATGCTAAGCCAGGAAGGAGTAGAGAGAGCAGATGGCTGCGTTGCCACAGTAGTGTGTTTGTAAATGTTTAACAACCATCTCTCTGGGGATAAGTAAAAGATTTGTAGTGTTTGCTGTTTTCCATAATGTAAATACTCCCACCACAGCCAATTTTAAGCTCCAACGTGATGCCACTGAATGCAGATTGGGAAAAGATGATCAGTAGCCAACCATCATAGAGTGTTTCCAATCATACAGATATGGTAGATGTAAATGATCTGAACAGCAAAGATAATAATGAAATGTAGTAAAATAATTAAAAAGTGATGAGTTTTAAGTATTTATTTGTTTTTAATGTAATTTATTTAATTGTACACTTATATAATTTAATTTTTAATAATGACTGTAATAAATAGCCAGTTTGAAAGATTTCCAAAGTTTTAACCATCAGTTTTTGCAAGCCAGTATGAGCTGGCTCCAGGATACTACTATGTTGCTGAAATTAGGATTATCCCATATTAATTCTGACCTTGTTTGGGTACTCTACCAAGTTTCAGCACATTTCACTTGGCCTAACATTACAATGGTCCCTTTTCTGACAGTCCCCTTGATGAGTGATGAAGATAAGCTGGCTTAGAGTAGATGGGAGTGAGGGAAACCAAGCCTCAATGAAGTTTTCACAGCAATGACCTACACAGAGTCTGACCCATGTATGAGAGTTTATACCTCTAACTATTCCTGGGCACCCAGCATGCACACAACATTACCAGAGACACTAGTTCAAAACAGAGATGCAAAGATCTGAAAATGTTAGCAAATCAAACTTAGGAGTATATATATATATATATATATATATATATATATGTGTGTGTATGTATGTATGTATAGGTTCATCATGACCAAAGTGAATTCATTTTATGAGTACAAGTTTGGCTTAATAATCAAAAAGTGATATAATCATATTGTCCAAATTTAAAAAATTAAAAAAATTATCATCTCAATAAAGGTAGAAAAATTATTTGCTAAAATTCAATACCTTGTTTATGATTCTGGAAAAAACTTTCATAAAACTAGGAAGAGATACACTTACTTAAACTAGTAAAGGATATCCTATGAAACACCTACAGCTGATATCATATTTAATGAAAAATTATTGAATGCTTCCTTTTGAGATGAGTAGTAAGAAAAGTTGCCCTCTATTATCACTTCTACACAATATTGTATTGGAAACCCTAGGCAGTTTAATAAGCCAAAAATAAGAAATTAGAAGGTATAAAAATCGGAAGGAAAGAAACAAAACCACCATCATTTGCAAATGACATCATTGTATACATAGGAAAAAATATAGGAAACTATGAGAATTCATAAGGAAATTTAGAAAATATGAATACAAGGTTAATATTTTAGAAGTTGTATTTCTACATATTAACAACAAACAATTAGAAAATGAAATGTAAAACAATGCCATTTATAGTAACAAAAATAGAAAAATCTAATGAAAAATGTGCAAGACCTCTACACTGAAAATTACAAAACATTGGCAAAAGACATGGAAGAACTAAAGAAATACAGGGCTCTACCGTGTCAATTGGATAATTCAATATTGTTAAAAGTGTCAGTTCTACCCAAAGTAATCTGTATAGTCAATGCAATAACCAAACAAATTTTCTGAGCTTTTTTTGTGGAATTGACAAGTTGATTCTAAATTCATTTGAAAATGCAAAGGACCTAAAATAGCTGTAACAATATTAGAAAAGAAAACAATGTCAAGCCAAGATGGCCAACTAGAAACAGCTAGTATGTGTGGCTCTCATGGAGAGGAACAGAAGGCGTGAGTAAATACAACACCTTCAATTGAAATATCCTGATACTTGCATTGGGACTAATCAAGGAAACAACTTGACCCATGGAGAATGAACAAAAGCAAGACAGGACAGTGACCCACCCGGGAGCAACACAGAGCCAGGGAGACCCTCCCCTGCCCAGGGAAGTGGTGAGTGAATGTGAAACCCCAGGAAACCACACTTCTCCCATGGATCTTTGCAACCCTCAGGTCAGGAGATCTCCTTGTGAACCCACTCCACAGGGGCCTTCAATCTGATAGACAGAGCTATGTGGACTCTTGGCAGAGCAGCTGTTCAGGCATGTATGGAGAGCCTGGAGACTTAGATACTTGGGCTTTCCAGCAAAAAGTAGCTGCAGGTCCAACAAAATGGGAGATTAGACTCCCATACATACCCCTAGGAAAGAGGCTGAATCCAGGGGGCTGAGCAGTGACAACCTGCAGGCTCCACTTCCACGGCACTTCACAAGATAAGACCCACTAACTTGGAATTCCAGCCAGCCACCAGTAGTGGCATTGCACCTCCATAAGAAGGAGCTCTTAGGGGGAGGGGTTGAACACTATCATTGCTGTTTGGGCACCTTAGCCATTCCAGGCTTCAGGCTGTGGAGAGTCTGAGCCAACAGAGGGCAGAAGGGATCCCCCACAGCACAGTTGCTCTACCAAAACATGGCCAGACTGCTGCTTTAAGCAGATGCCCGATCCTGTTCCTCCTCACTGGGTGGGGCATCCCAACTGAGCGTCCAGCCACCCCTGCCCATGTTCACCATCTGACAGAGATTTGAATTCTCCTCGGACAGTGCTCCCAGAGGAATGGGTGGGCCGCCATCTTTCCTGTTTAGGCCACTTAGCCAATCCAGCCTTCAGGCTTTGGAAAGTGAGCAACTGGAGGCAGAAGGGATCCCCCAGCACAGCACAGCTGCTCTACCAAAATGTGGCCAGACTGCTTTTTTAAGTGGGTCTTCAATCCCATTCATCCTCACTGGGCAGGACCTCCCAACCAGGGTCTCCAGCCACCTCCTACAGTTGCCTTTGAGCTGGCAACAGGCCTGTACATTTTTGGAATGAAGTTCCTAGAGGGTGGAACAGGCTGCCATCTTTGCTGTTTTGCAGGCTTCACTGGTGATACCTCCAGATACTGGAAAATGTAAGGTGACTGGAGTGACCCTACAGAAAAGCAGCCAGACTGTTACATGGGTGCCCATTCCCATATCTCCTCACAAGGCAGGTCCTCCAGGCCTGGGCCTCCAGCCACCCTACGCCAGAGCTATCGAACCACTAGCAACTCAGCGATTCCCTGAGCAGAGCCTCCAGGGACAACTGAAAGCCTCTCTGCCACTGCCTCTGCAGTGGAACTGCCCTTGCCACCCTCTGACTAACGAAGGTGTAAAGACCCTAAGTGCTTTATCCATACTTCCAACAAGCTGCAGTCAACCTAAGGAGAGGAGGCCAGTCTGTCTCCCATGGGTTCCACACACCTCCCGCTGCTCATCACCAGACAGGGAATCCCTTGCTTGGGCCCAGCACATACCCTCCATCCTGGGCTGATTGCACTGAGCAATTGCTGACCCAAAGCTCTCCGAGGTGGAGTTCCCAGGAGACAAGCAAATGACCCTTGGCCACAACCACTACTAAGATCTCTTCCTCTGCTGCCTTCAAGTTGGGGAAGAAACATAAACACCGAGAGAGCCCCAGAGCTACAGTGAGCAGCCCAAGAGTGCCAAGTCATGATCTACACAGTCAGGACTCAAGGGGAAGAGGAACCCAAACTTTCAGAGCATTGAGAGGTGACTTGGCTGCAATTGTGAGGAAACACAGGGGAGCCACACAACCAAGCAAGAGTCTCCCAACTGACCAATAAGCCTAAGTGCCACCTGCTGGCTCACACCCCAAAGCTTCAACACCAAAAATACCTCACTAACATACAATTCTCTGAAACAAGGGACAGGAAGTCAGCATCAAATAAAGACCCTGCACAAAGCCTCGGCCCAGTGAAAACATTCAGAATAAAAGTCTATTGACTGTACTCAGTCTACACTGCAGTCAAAGGAATACCCACATGCAGAGATGAGAAAGAACCAATACAAGAACTCTGGTAACTCAAATGGCCAGAGTGTCATATGTCCTTCAAACAACCATACCAATTCTCCAACAAGAGTTCTTAACCAGGCCAAACTGGCTGGAATGACAGAAATAGAATTCAGAATATAAATAGGAACAAAGATCATCGAGATTCAGGAGGATGGCAAAATCCAATCCAAGGAAAATAAAAATCATGATAAAGCAATACAGGAGCTGAAGGACAAAATAGTTGGTATATAAAAGAAACTAACAGGTCCAACAGAGCTGACTAACACAATGTGAGACCGTTTCTCTGAAATAAGACAGTCAGACAAAAATAAAGAAAAAAGAATATGAAGGAATGAACAAAACCTCCGAGAAGTATGGGATTCTGTAAAGAGGCCAAATCTATGAATCGTTAGCATCCCTGAAAGAGATAAGGAGAAAGCAAACAACTTGGAAAGCATATTTCAGGATATCATACATGAAAACTTCCCTAACCTTGCTAGAGAGGCCATCAGTCAAATTCAGAAAATACAGAGAACTCCTGCAAAATTCTACACAAGAAGTTCATCCCCAAGATACATAATCATCAGATTTTCCAAGGTCGAAATGAGGGAAAAATGTTAAAGGCAGCTAGGGAGAAAAGGTAGGTCACCTGCAAAGGGAACCCCATCAGGCTAACAGTGGACCTCTCAGCTGAAACCCTACAAGCCAGAAGAGGTTGGGGGACGATATTCAATATTCTTAAAGAAAAACATCTTCAACCAAGAATTTTATATCCAGCCAAACTAAGTTTCCTAAGTGAAGAAGAAATAAGATCTTTTTCAGATAAGCAAACATTGAGGGAATTCATTACTGCCAGATCTGCCTTGCAAGAGATCTTGAAAGGAACACTAAATATAGAAGGGATAGACCACTATCAGCTAATACAAAAACACACTTAAACTCAGAGACCAGTATCACTGTAAAGCAACCACACAAACAAGCCAACATAATAACCAGCTAACAACACAATGACAGGATCAAATCCACACATATAAATGGCAACCTTGAATGTAAACAGGCTAAATGCCCCACGTAAAAGACAGATATTTTAATTCTCCTGAGACAGTGCTCCCAGAGGAAGGGGTGGGCCACCAAGCTGAATTTAAAAAAGCAAGATCCAATGGTATGCTGTCTTTAAGGGACCCATCCCACATTTAATGTCACTCATGGGCTCAAAATAAAGGGATGGAGGAAAACCTACCAGGCAAATGGAAAACAGAAAAAAAAAAGAGTTGCAATCCTAATTTCAGACTATTCAACATAGTATCAGAAGTGCAAGCCAGAGCAAAGTCAAGAGAAAGAAACAAAGGGCATCCAAATAGGAAGAGAGGAAGTTGAACTATCTCTGTTTGCAGAAGACATGATTCTATATCTAGAAAACCCCATAGTCTCAGCTCAAAAGCTCTTCCTACTGACAAACAACTTCAGCAAAGTTGCAGGATACAAAAATCAATGTACAAAAATTACTAGCATTCCTATACACCAACAACAGCCAAACCAAGAGCCAAATAAGAATGGCAATCCCATTCACAACTGTCACAAAAAGAATAAAATACCTAGGAATACAGCTAACCAGGGAAGTGAAAGATCTCTACAATGAGAATTACAAAACACTGCTCAAAAAAATCAGAGAAGACACAAACATCCCATGTTCATGGATAGGAAAAATCAATATCATTAAAACGGCTATATTGCCCAGAGCAATTTACAGATTCATTGCTATTCCTATCAAACTACCAATAACATTCTTCACAAAACTAGAAAAAACTATTTTAAAATTCATATAGAACCTAAGAAGAGCCAAAATAGTGAAGGCAATCCTAAGCAAAAAGAACAAAGCTGGAGGCATCACATTACGTGACTTCAAACTATACTACAAGGCTACAGTAACCAAAACAGCATGGTACTGGTACAAAAACAGACACATAGACCAATGGAACAGAATAAAGAGCCCAGAAATAAGGCCACACATCTATGCCCATCTGATCTTCAACTAAGGTGACAAAAATGAGCAATGGGGAAAAGACCCCCTGTTCAATACATGGTGCTGGGACAACTGTCTAGCCATATGCAGAAGATTGAAACTGGACCCCTTTTTTACAGCATATACAAAAATAAACTGGAGATGGATTAAAGACTTAAATGTAAAACTCAAATCTATAAAAACCTTGGAAGACAACCTAGGCAATACCAGTCAGAACATAAGAATGGGCAAAGATTTCACGACAAAGACATTGAAAGCAATTACAACAAAAGCAAAAATTGACAAATGAGATTTAATTAAACTCAAGAGCTTCTGCACAGCAAAAGAAACTATCAACAGAGTAAGCCCAGATTGGGTACTGCGCTTAATACCTAGGTAATGCAATAATATGTACAGCAAACCCCTGTGACATGTATTTACCTATGTAACCTTCACATGTACCCCCAAACCTGAAATACATTTTTTTTTTTTAATTGGTGAGACAGAGTCTCTCTCTGTCGCCCAGGCTGGAGTGCAGTGGTGTGATCTCGGCTCACTGCAACTTCTGCCTCCTGGGCCCGGGTTCATGCCATTCTCCTGCCTCAGCCTCCCAAGTAGCTGGGACTACAGGCACCCACCACCACACCTGGCTAATTTTTTTGTATTTTTAGTAGAGACGGGGTTTCACTGTGTTACCCAGGATGGTCTCAATCTCCTGACCTCGTGATCCACCCGCCTCGGCCTCCCAAAGTGCTGGGATTACAGGCGTGAGCCACCGTGCCCGGCCAATAAAAGTTTTAAAAGTTAGAAATCTACAGAATAGGAGAAAATATTTGCAAAACCCTGTGATATGTGTTTACATATGTAACCTTCACATGTACCCCCAAACCTGAAATAAAAGCTTAAAAAAAGTTAAAAAAAAAACCCTACAGAATGGGAGAAAATATTTGCAAACTATGCATCTGACAAAGTCTAATATCCAGCATCTACAAGGAACTTAAACAAATTTATAAGAAAAAATCCAAACAACCCCATTAAAAAGTGGGCAAAGGACGTGAACAGACACATTTCAAAAGAAGACATACATGCGGCCAACAATCATATGAAGAAAAGCTCAATATCACTGATCATTAGAGAAATGCAAATCAAAACCACAATAAGATACCATCTCACACCAATCAAAATGGCTGTTTAAAAAAATTAAAAAATAGCAGATGCTGGCAAGGTTGCAGAGAAAAGGGAACACTTATACACTGCTGGTAGGAATGTAAATTAGTTTAACCATTAGGGGAAGCAATGTGGGGATGCCTCAAAGAGTCAAAAGCAAAACTACCATTCGGCCCAGCAATCCCATTACTGGGTATATATCCAGAGGAATAGAAATCATTCTACCATAAAGACACATGCACGCAAATGTTCATTGCAGCACTATTCACAATAGTAAAGACAAGGAATCAACTTAAATGCCCATCAATGGCAGACTGGATAAAGAAAACGTGGTACATTCGCACTATAGAATACTATGCAGCCATAAAAACAAATGAGATCATGTCTTTTGCGGGAACATGGATGGAGCTGGAGGCTATTATCCTTAGCAAACTAACACAGGAACAGAAAACCAAATACCACATGTTCTCACTTAAAAGTGGAAGCTAAATGATGAGAACTTATGAACACAAAGAAGGAAACAACAGATACTGGGGTCTATTTGATGGGGGAGGGTGGGAGGAGGAAGAGGAGCAGAAAAGTTAACAATTGTGTACTGGGCTTAATGCCTGGGTAATGAAATAATATGTACAGCAAACCTGTATGACATGTGTTTACCTATGTAACCTTCACATGTACCCCCAAACCTGAAATAAAAGTTAAAAAATAATAATGAAGAAAAGAAAAACAAAATAGGAAACTTACATTACCAGATACTGAGAAAACTATGAAGATATGATGATTGTTACGGTTTGAATGTGTCCCCCAAAGTTCATGCATTAGAAACTTAATTCCCAATGCAACAATGTTGAGAGATGGGGCCCTTAAGAGGTGGTTAGGTCGCGAGGGCAGCCCTCATGGATAGATTAATGTTGTTACCTCGAGAATGAGTTAGTTATCATAGGAGTGGTTTCCTGATAAAAGGATGAGTTTGACCCTCTTCCCTCTCTTTTTCTGGCGTGTGCTGTCTTGCCCTTCTGCCTTCTGCCATAGGACGATGCAGCAAGAAGGCCTTTGCCAGATACAGGCCCCTTGACCTTGGACTTCCCAGTGTCCAGAACTGGAAGAAATAAATCTCTATTCTTTACAAATTACCCAGTCTCAGATATTATGTTACAGCTGCACAAAATGGACTAAGATAATAATTAAGATAGTTTGATATTGGGGTAAGCATAAAAACAAATAGACCAGTGAATAGAACTGAGTCCAGAAACAGACCCACACTTACATGGTCAATCGTGTTGCTGCAATTCACTGGGGGAAAGATGGTGTTTTCAACAAATGGTACTGGATCAATAGGATATCCATATAGAAAAAAACATGAATCCTCACCCCTACCTTACACCATAGACAAAAACTAAATGGAAAGTGATTATAAACCTAAATATGAAAGGCAAAACAGCAACAACAAAAAAACTCCTAGAATAATACATAGGAAAAAAAAACCTTTATGTTTTTGGGGTGGTCAAGGCTTTCTTAAACAGAAGACAGAATGCAGTAACAATTAAGAAAAAGACTAACACAGTGAACTTCATTGAAATTAATAACTTCTTTTCATTAAGAATCACATTAAGAGAGTGAAAGACAAGGCACAGTCTAAGAAAAGATAGTTGCAATATACATAACTGATAAAAGAGAGTATTCTTAACACTCCCAAATTGGAAACAATCCAAATGGCATCATTGGTAGAAAACAAAAATAAATAGTGGCATATTCACACAGTGGAATACTATACAACAATTTTCAGCAAAAGAAACACACTGCTGCTACACACCACATAGATGAAGCTCATGGAATGTTGAATAAAAGAAGCTACGCATAAAAGATTATATGATTCCGCTTAGGTGAATTCAAGAACAGGCAAACGTTATCTATGATTGTGGAAGTCAAAATAGTGTTACTTTGGAGGGAGAGAGGCATGTTATTGATTTTGGGAATGAGCATGAGGGAGCTTGCTGGGGTCCTAGAAAAGTTTCACATTTCTATCTGGGTGATGATTATATGAATACATACATATGTAAAAATGCATCAAACTATGTACTTAGGATTCGTGTACTTTGTTTTAGTACACCTAAGTTTTTTGTTTGTTTGTTTGTTTTTGTTTTTTTGTGACGGAGTCTCACTCTGTCGCCCAGGCTGTAGTGCAGTGGCCCTATCTCGGCTTACTGCAAGCTCCGCCTCCCGGGTTCAGGCCATTCTCCTGCCTCAGCCTCCCAAGTAGCTGGGACTACAGCCACCCGCCACCACGCCCGGCTAATTTTTTGTATTTTTAGTAGATACGGGGTTTCACCGTGTTAGCCAGGATGGTCTTGATCTCTTGACCTTGTGATCCGCCCGCCTCAGCCTCCCAAAGTGCTGGGATTACAGGCGTGAGCCACCGCACCCAGCCCACTGAAGTTTCTTTTTTTTTTTAAGGAGGAGGGAGGAGTAACATCCCCAAACTTCTGTGTTTAAAAAGTTACTACCTTCTCACTAGAAATTCTTTGGACTCAATGCAGTGTTTCCCTTGGCAGTAACTACATCTGAGCAGGGAGATGGTTCCATCGCGGAAAAAAGAAAGGGGGCTGAGAGATTTGAAGATCTGGAAGAACAAAGAATCCTACTGTCTAGTGAAAACAACTCCCAGAGCTAACGCCCTAGAAGCACTCACAGGAGTTCAACATCTGTTCAGTGACTCCCTGCATCAAGTGACCTCCTATAAAGCAAGTGTGGGTGCTCTCAGGAGCCCAACTGCACACAGGCCATACGTTCTAAAATTGCGAATTTTCATCTAAAATGCACATTCTTTTCCTGGATAATGATTATGTTACACAACAGCCTCTGGGATTTCCACAAAGAGCTAAACAGGATATCACTGCCCACTAGCTAGAGAAAAATCAGTCTTTTTTTTTCTTTTGTAAACAGAGAAGATACGCCTTTTCTTTTTCCTTTTCTTAAAAAAAAAAAAAAAAAATCTCCCGGCAGGTAAATCAATTCACTTTTCTCAATGTGTAGGCAGTCCCATATTCCTCACCAATTCCTCCAAAATTTTCAGATGAAGTTGCTAGGACTGGATTTGAATTATTAGAAATATAAAACAGAGACCAAAAAAAAATCCATTTCTTGTAGAAATACAAACACATATCTTCAGATGAAATGGCATGATATTTGGGACTAGGGGCAAGGAGAATGGATGGGGATATAAAGATGAAACAGAATTGTCAAGGCCAGGTGCGGTGGCTCACACCTGTAATCCCAGCACTTTGGAAGTCCAAGGCAGGCGGATCACCTGAGGTCAGGAATTCGAGACCAGCCTAGCCTGACCAACATGGTGAAACCCTGTCTCTACTAAATACACAAAAATTAGCCAGGCGCGGTGGCGGGTGCCTGTAATCCCAGCTATTCGGGAGGCTGAGGCAGGAGAATCTCTTGAACCCAGGAGGCGGAGGTTGCAGTGAGCAGAGATGCCACTGCACTCCAGCCTGAGTGACAGAGGATGACTGTCAGAAACAAACAAACAAACAAACAAACAAAAAACAGAATTGTCAATGAATTGAAAATTGTTGAAGCTGGGTGATGAGAACATGAGAGTTTATTATACTCTTTGTTCTAATCTTGTTTGAAATTGCCCATAATAATTATAATAAGAGAATTCTCTGCGGGTGAATTGATTTGGAAGGTTGAGCATTTACATATGATCACATGAGTTTATAATCAAGGAGATCCTGACTGATTTAATCAACTTGCCATTTCTCATCAAGCTTGGAAAATGAAAATAAAATTCCCTGATTTGATACCCAAGTCCCTAATTATTTTCTGCTTTCAATTGTTCTTCACTAACTGGTGTCCAAGCTTTGAGTTTAATATCTTGTTATTTTCATTTTTGATTGCTAAAGAACATATTGGTTCTTCTGTACTCTTTTTTACCTGAATTCTTTCAGTTAAATAACAGCATAATTATACATGTTTTTAATGCGTAGCAATAGTAAATTCCTTTTTATTGCTGAGTAGTATTTCATTGGATAGATATACTACAGTTTGTTTATCTGCTCACCATTGATGGGCATTTGGGTTGCTTCTGGTTTGGGGCCATTACAAATAAGGCAACTGTGAGCATTAATGTTCCGACATAGACTTTCTTTTCTCTTGGGTAAATACCTAGGAGTGGAATGGCTGGATCAAATGAGAGGTGTATGTTTAACTTTTTAGGAAACTGCCAAACTGCTTTCCAAAGTTTTGTCATTTTACATTCCCACCAACAGTGTATGAGAGTTTTACTTCCTTCACATCTTTGCCAACATTTGATATGATCAGACTTTGTAGTTTTAAGTATGAAGTGGTATTTCATTGAGTTTTTAATTTGCAGATCCTTAATAACTAATGAGCTTGAGCATCTTTTCATATGTTTATTTAGCACTCATACATCTTTTTTTGCTGAAATATCTGCTCAAATCTTTTTCCCATTTTTAATTGGTTTGTTTGTTTTTAATTAAGTTTTGAGAGTTCTTTACATATTCTGGATGCATATTCTTTATAAGATATATGCTTTATTTTCTCCCAGTGTGTGACTTGTCTTTTCATTCTCTTAACAGTGTCTTTCAAGAACAGAAGTTTTTTACTTTAATAAGGTCCAGATCAATAATTTATTCTTTTATAGACTATGCTTTTAGTCTCTTATTAAAGAAATCTTTGCCTTACTCATGATTCCAAAGACTTGCATCTGTATTTTCTTCCAGAAATTTTATAGCTTTAGGTTTTATATTTAGGTGTTTGATCCACTTTGAGGAAATTTTTGTATATTTTACCTTAGAGGAATTGATCAAAGTCATTTTATTGAGTGCATATATCCAAATGTTCCAGCACCATTTGTTGAAAAGACTGTCCTTTCTCCACCCAATTGCCTTTGCATCTTTGTAAAAACTGAATTGTCCCTATGTGTATGGTCTTTTTATAGACTCTTTATTCTGTTCCATTGATCTATTTGTCTTTCCTGATGCCAATATTATGCTATCTTGACTACTGTAGCTTTATAATAGGTCTTGAAATCAGATAGTATTAATCCTCCAACCTTGTTCTTTATGAAAGTCATTTTGACTATTCTAAGTCTTTTGTATTTCCATATAAACTGTAGAATCAGCTTGTCAATATCTCCCAAAAAGAAAATTTACTTGGATTTCAGTAGAAATTGCATTGCATCTATAGATCAGTTGTGGAGAGAATTGACATTATTGAGTCTTCTACTTTGTGAAAAAAAAAATACCTTTCCATTTATTTAGGTCTTTTTTAATTTCTCCCAAAAGTGTTTACTAGTTTTAGCGGACAAGACTTGCACTTCTTTTGATAGATTCACCCCCAGATATTTAATATTAATTTAATATTAAATCGGTGTAAAAGCAATGGCAGTTTTTGCCATTACATTTTAAAAACCGCAATTACTTTTGCACCAGCCTAATATTTGTTGATGTTATTGTAAATTTTTAAACACTTTTCTACTTTGGATTCTTGGTTGCTGACATATAGAAAACCAATTGATTTTTATATGTTGATCTTGTATCCTGCCAACATTGCCACAGTAGAAAATTTTTACCTATTAGTTCCATTGTCTTTTTGCAGATTTCACTAGTTTTTGTACATAATCGATCATGGTGTCTGCAAATAAGGACAGCTCTACTTCTTCATTATCAATCAAGATGCCTTTTATTTCCTTTCCTTGCCTTATTGCATTGGCCAGACCCTCCAGTACAATGTTGAATAGAAGCAGTGAGGGAGGACATTCTTGTTTCATACCTGCTTTTAGTGACGTAAGTATTCAGTCTTTCACTGTTAGCTAAGATGTTAGCTGTTTTTCATAGCTGGCTTTTAACAAGTTGAGAACATTCCCCTTAGAAGAAATGCTAGTTTGTTGTTGAGTTTTAATCTGGAGTGGATATTGGATTTTATCAAATGTTTTTTCTGCATGTACTGAGATGATTATATGGTTTGATTTTGCTTTTAGTTTGTTTATTATTTATGTATTTATTCATTTATTTCTCGAGACAGGCTCTCATTCTGTTGCCTAGGCTGGAGTGCAGTGACAGGATTATAGCTCAGTGCAGCCTCAGATTCCTGGGCTCAAGCAATCCTCCCGCCTCAGCCACCCCAGTAGCCAGGAGTACCAAGTGCATACCACCATATCCAGCTACTTTTAAATTTTTTTTGTAGACCTAGAGTCTCACTATGTTGCACAGGCTGGTCTTGAACTCCTGGTTTCAACCAACCTTCCCACCTCCCCGAATTTTGGGAATACAGGCATGAGCCACCACGCCTGGCCGTTGTTAGTTTATTAATGGGGAAAATTGCATTAATCATTTGTGACATGTTAAACTAACCTTGCATTCCTGAGATAAACCCTACTTGGTAATAATTTGTTATCTCTTTTTACACATTTTTATTAATTTGCTAACATTTTGTTTTAAAGTTTTGTATTTGTGTTTGTGAGGGATACTAGTCTGTAGCTAACGTCTCTTGTAATGTCTCTTATCTGGTTTTATGTAAGGGTAATATTGGCCTCAAAATGAGTTGGCAAGGATTCCCTCCTTTTCAATTTTCTGGAAGAGTTTGTGTATAATTTTAATACTATTTCTTTCTTAAATATTTTATAGATTTCATCAGTGAAGCCAACTGTGCCTGAATTTAATACCTGTTATGGGGATCTATGATCAGTAATCTTTGATGTTACTATTGTTTTGGGACACCATGAACCACACCCATATAAGATGGCAAACTTAATCAATAAATGTACGTGTTCTGACTTTTCTACTGACCAGCCATTCTCTGTCTCTTTTTCCTCAGGCCTCCCTCTTCCCTGAGAAACAGTATTGCCATTAGGGCAATTAACCCTACAATGGCTTCTAAGTGTTCTCACTTTAAAAGCTAGAAATTTCTCACTTTAAAAGCTAGAAATAATTAAGTTTAGTGAAGAAGCCATGCTAAAAGCCAAGACAGGCAAAAATCTAGGCCTTTTTCACCAAATAGCCAAGTGGTAAGTGCAAACGAAAAGTTCTTGAAGAAAGTTAAAAGTGTTATGTCAGTGAACGCATGAATGATAAGACAGCAAAACAGGCTTATTGCTAATATGGAGAAGTCTGAGTGGTCTGGATAGAAGATCAAACCAGCCACATTTCCTTAAGCCAAAGTTCAATCCAAAGTAAGGCCCTAACCTAATTTTATGAAGCCTGAGAGAGATGAGAAAGGTGCAGAAGAAAAGTTGGAAACTAGCAGAGATTGGTTCCTGAGGTTTAAGGAAAAAAGCCATCTCCAAACATAAAACTGTAAGATGAAGCAGGAAGTGCTGCTGAAGAAGCCACAGAAAGTTATTCAGAAGATTTAGCTAAGATAATTGAAGAAGATGGCTACACTAAACAACAGATTTTCATTGTAGACAAAACAGCCTTCTATTAAAAGAAGATGCCATTTAGGACTTTCATAGCTAGAGAGAAGTCAATGCCTGGTTTCAAAGCTTCATAGGACAGGCTGACTCTCTTGTTAGGAGCTAATGCAGCTGGTGACTTTTAAGTTGAAGCCAGTGCTCATTTACCATTGCAAAAACCCTGGAGCCCTCAATAATTATGGTAAATCTACTCTTTCTGGATGATAGCACAACTGTTTCCAGCATGGTTTACTGAATGAGTATCTTAAGCCCACTGTTGAGACCTACTGCTCAGAAAAAAAAAATCCTTTCAAAATATTACTGCTCACTGACAACACACTTGGTCACCAAGAGCTCTGATAAACACGTACAAGGAGATTAATGTTGTTTTCATGCCTGCTGACATGACATCCATTCTGCAGCCCTGATCAAGGAGTAATTTTTAACTCAAGTCTTATTATTTAAGAAATAGATTTAATAAGGCTGTAGCCGCCATAAATAGTGATTCCTCTGATTGATCTAGGCAAAGCAAATTGAAAACCTTCTGGAAAGGATTCACCATTCTAGATTCCCTTAAGAACATTCATGATTCATGGGAGAAGGTCAAATATCAACATTAATAGGAGTTTGAAAGAAGTTAATTCGAACCCTCATGGATGACTTTGAGGGGTTCAAGATTTCAGTGGAGGAAGTAACTGCAGATGTAATGGAAATAGCGAGAGAACTAGAATTAGAAGTGGAGCCTGAAGATGGGACTGAATTGCTGCATTAATTATCAGATAATTATTAAAAGATATTATTATTAAATATTAAATATTATCTTTTAATTATCAGATAATTAAGGCATGTACATTTTTTAGACATAATGCTATTTGTGTAGTGTATGTAAATGTTATGTTTATACTATACCATAGTCTGCCATAATAGATTATGGGTGAGCTAGCCTGGTAACTAGCTATGTTATGTTTATACTCTACCATAGTCTATTGGTGACTCACCATAATAGACTATGGTATAGTATAAACACTTATATACACTAGAAAGACAAAAAAATTGTGCAACTCACTTTATTGTGATATGTGCCTTATTGCTGGGGCCTGGAACGGAACCCACAGTATCTCTGAGGTACGTCTGTACTTGAGGGAGATCCCCCTGTCCATTACCAGGTTCTTTCTCTGTGCCACTCCCTCCTCTTCAGTGCTCTGCCCTGTGAACTCTAGCCACCTTGGCCTCCCTGGACTAGCAGCTCCATGTCCTCAAGTGCAGAGATACCACCAGGCTCCACTCGGGGTTGTTCTCTTTGCACCATGTCCTGGAGCCTCTCTTAAAGCAGTAAGCTGGTGCAATTCTAGGCCTCACCTTGTATCTCTTCTGTCGTCCAGAGAACATTGTCCTTAACAGGCAACAGCCTGATGTACAGTGTCTTATTTCATATGTCTTGTATATATTTTTCTGTTTGCTTGGGGTTTTTTGCTTCAGAGAGGAAGTTCAATCCAGTCCCTGGCCCTCCATTTTTTTCTGAAAGAATTATCGATCAACTGATTTTCAACAACATTGCCAAGGCAATTCAATAGAGCAAGGTAAGATTTTTCAACAAATAACACTAGTGTGATTTGATATTGATATAAAAACCAACTCTTATCTCACGCCATACACAAAACCTAATTTCTATTAGAAAACACATGAAAAAATTGTTGCAACCTGGGAATAAGCAAAGGTTACTTGGGGCCAGAAAAGCATGAAACATAAAGCAAAACGTTGATAAGTTGGACTTTATAAAAATCTTTTATCTCCAAAATACACTGCTTAAAAAAAGGCAAGTCATGGTATCAAAGAAAATATTTTCTATTCTTATATCTGAAAAAGTACTTGTATCCAGAACATATAAAGAACTTTTACAACTTAATATAAAGTTAATCAAAACAATATGAAAATGAACAAAGTATTTGAAAAGAAACTTCAACAACTTACAAATAAGCAGAGACACCACCAGGCTCCACTCAGGATTGTTCTCTTTGCACCATGTCCTGGAGCCTCTCTTAAGGCAGCAAGCTGGTGCAATTCTAGGCACACAAAAAGATGCTAAATATTATTAGTCTGGGGAAAAAGCAAATAAAAACCACAATGAGAATAGCTAACATTTAAAAAGCAAATTAAAAATGTTCACAATACCCAGTGTGAGCTAGGATGTGAAGTGTTTGAAACTCCTATACTCTGCTGGTGATGTGTAAAATGGTAAAACCACTTTAAGAAATTCTTTATGAATGTTTAAAACTTGAACATTCATTTACCATACAATCCAGCCATTCCACTCCCAGATAATTTCCCAAGAGAAACTAAAACCTCTTCACAGAAAGACATGTCACAAATATTTATAGCACCTTTACTTAAAATTTCTCCAAACTGGAAATAACCCAAATGTCCATCAATAAGTGAATACATAAGCAAAATATGGTGTATCTATAGAATGGAATTCTACTCAGCAATAAAAACAAATGGAATACTGATAACATATAGCAACATGGATGAATTTCAAAAATAATATGCAGAATGAAGCAATCATACTCAAAAAAGTATATACTATATCATTCCATTTATGTAAAATTCTAGAAAATATAAACTAATCTATAATAACAAAAAGCAGGTCACTGATTGCCTGGGGCTAGGATGGAATGCAAAGGGGTATGAAGGAACTTTGGGTGGTGATAGAAATGTTTTGTATCTGGATTGCAGCACTGGCTTCATTGGTGTGTATACATCTGCAAAAAGTGAAACTGTACACTTTAAGTGGATGCACCTCATTATATAAAAATTATACCTACATAGAGTTGATTAAGGAGACTCTAATATTTGGGAGATTTATTTTATTTTATTTTATTTTATTTTATTTTATTTTGGTTTTCTTGTTTTTTGTTTTTTGAGACAGGGTATCACTCTGTCACCCTAGCTGGAGTGCAGTGGCACACTCGTAGCTCACACAGCTTCAACCTCCTGGGCTTAAGTCATCCTCCCACCCCAGCCTCCTGAGTAGCTGGGACTACAGGCACACACCACAATGCCTGGCTAATTTTTTTTTTTGTAGTGATGGGGTCCCACTATGTTGCCCAAGCTGGTCTAAAACTAACTCTTGGTCTCAAGCGATCCTCCTGCCTTGGCCTCCCAAAGTGCTAGGGTTATAGGCTTGAACCACCATGTCTGACCAGGATTTCTGCTTTCACTTAGGACCTAGAAAGTTGCAAGACAATTCCTCTAACTATAAAAATGACATGTAGGACTGTGGACAAAACCGAAATAGGCCCACAAGAATAAAACAGATAAAGAATTCAACCAAAAGAATATACAAAATTTTATATATAAAGAATAAAAGCCAATGAAGATTGAAAGGATGTCCCAGAAGGAAAAAAAAAATGTGAAAACACAGAAAAGGCACATAAAATAAAGCAAACCGTCTTTTAAAGTGAAAAAGGACTCACCCCGAATTCTTTCTTGCATGAGATCCAAGAACCCTCTCTTGGGGTCTAGATCAGGACCCCTTTCCAGTAACACTGGGAGGGAAGGAACTGATGAGGAAGTGGAATAGTCTTGAACTGGCTGAGTTTAAATCTACAATTGACACATTTAAAATCAGTTCGGCTAAGGTGCCTTCAACTAGTACATTTAGTTCTTTTTCTGAAAAGGGAGTCTATCAGCCACTCACTTAAGAAAAAATAAGGTACATATTTGCATGTCTGAATTAAGATTGCAAATTTTCATACTGACCGCCTGTTAGCAAATTCCATTTCTGTCTTCATTCCTTTTTATTGTTACTTTGAAAGTATCCAACATCTCCAGGCTCTTTGCCTCTGTCAACCTAAATAACCAACAGAGAGAAGCCCTCTAAAAGAAAATAATATTTATTTGGGAATAGGGTATTGCAATGGGAATACACATACCATCGTAAACTATGTGTGTATTCAGGAAAGTAAGGGAAGACAAATGGTTTTAAAGAAAAAATGAGGAGGATTACATAATTGTTTTGAGATGATCACCCTTTGCTACAAGGATCAATAACAATGGTGACACCACTCTGAGTTTGGACAGGCAGTTGATGGGCAGGTGTCCCTGCAGAATTATCTTTTGTGTAAGGTTGTGATAACCTCTGTGCAATGTTTTGGTTTTTGTAGAACCTTTTGTGATAGTTTTTATTATCAGGCATTTGTGCATGAAAACCCTCTCTTTATAGCTTTTTTAGCTCTACTTGTCAGAGTTTGTTGTTGTTATTGTTGTTGCTGTTTTGTTTTGTTTTAACAGAAGTGACTCCATTTTGATTCTGACAACTTGCACACATCTGTGGTGTGTCTATGTCCTCCTCTGATTGTTGTGAGATTTCCATGCTAGAATGTTCACAGAAAGAAAGCCCATTCTCCCCTCTGTATGAAAGAGAATGTGCCAGGAGTCCACTGGCGATCTGAATAAACGGAGTTTAATAATTTGGTGCATATAAATCGACATTGGACCAGAATTTCAAAAGGACCATGGATGCCAGGGAAATTTCTATTTTCTGAAGAGAGATCATTCCTGTAATTTATGCTGGGGCAGAGAAAGTCATAAGCATAAAGAAGATTGCAGAAAGGTATTCGAAGCCCAGTTCCTGATAAGATGGAAAGATGAACACAGGACCGTGTCCCCTCAGTACTCTGTACATAGTAGATGTTCGATAAATATCTACACACTTTTTTAATAGATAAATAAAAAATTATTATTGTCCCTCACACATTTAAGTTCATATGCTCTTCCTTCCAGAAGTTTCATCATTTCAACCTAATTGGTTATTCAGAGATTGCGGACTTCGTCCCACCCTAGAGGGGGATATAATGACAGTCATCATTCCTTCTAGCCGCCTAGCACCCATGAACTGAATTTGGGGAATCCCCCACGGTGTGAATTGGGCCCTCCCACTAGAGGAGCTCTCTCTCCCAGTTTCCCTAGCAGCAAGGGACCAACCTGAGCCCCACCCTGAGTCAGCTGCCTCCATGCCAGACTGTAAATCTAAAGCTGATGATAAGGAGGGAATGGGCCCCCATGGGAGCCACTCAGCAAGGATGGCAGCAGCTGCAGGCTGGGGCAGGGCTCCCCTAGTTCCTGTGCCTGCCTCCCAGGGAGCATTACTCCTGACCATGCAGCCACCTTGCCTGGATTTCTGACCCACCTGGAAATTCTGTGAGCTATTTAATATTCTCTAAGCTTTGCTACTTCCAGTGAGATGGATGGGCCAGCAGCAAAGGCATCACCTAATTAGAAATGCAGAACCCCAGCCCTACCCCAGACCTACTGAATCAGAATCTGCATTTTAACAAGCTCCTCAGTGGCCTGAATTTGCATTAAAGTTACAAAGTACCAAAAGATTTCTCAACCATCCACAAAGAGTTTCTATCATTTGTGATAAAGAGTCCTGCTGATGGGAGTACTCATCTCTGGGTCCCCATCTTCTCATCCATACATTGAGAAGGCTTGACTTGACAGCCTTGAAAAAAAGGAAATTGTGACACATGCTACAACATAAGGGTGTTATGCTGAGACAAATAAGCCAGTCACAGAAGGACAAAAACTGCATGATTCCACTTGCACAGGTCCCTAGAGTAGTCAAACTAATAGAAATTAGAATGGTGGTTACTAGGGGCTGGGGTTGAGGGGAAAGGAGAAGGAGCTGTTTAATGGATATAGAGTTTCAGTTTTCCAAGAAGAAAAGGTTCTGGACATTAGTTGCACAGCAATGTGAATATACTTAACACAAACTGCACACTTAAAAATTGTTAAGGGCCAGACGCAGTGGTTCACGCCTGTAATCCCAGAACTTTGGGGGACTGAGGTAGGCAAATCACCGGAGGTGAGGAATTTGAGACCAGCCTGGCCAACATGGTGAAACCCAATTTCTACTAAAAATACAAAAATTAGCCAGGCATGGTGGTGCACCTGTAATCACAGCTACTTGGGAGGCTGAGGCAGGAGAATTGCTCGAACCCGGGAGGCGGAGGTTGCAGTGAGCCCAGATCGCACCACCGCACTCCAGTCTGCCTAACAGAGTGATACTCCATCTCAAATAAATAAAAATAAATTAATAAATACATAAATAAAAATCAAATCAAATCAAATCAAATAAAGTAAAATAAAATTGTTGGCCAGGCTCTGCGGCTCACGCCTGTAATCCCAGCACGTTGGGAGGCTGAGGCGGGTGGATCACGAGGTCAGGAGATCAAGACCATCCTGGCTAACAAGGTGAAACCCCGTCTCTACTAAAAAAACACAAAAAATTAGCCAGGCGTGGTGGTGGACACCTGTGGTCCCAGCTACTCTGGAGGCTGAGGAAGGAGAATGGCACGAACCGGGGAGGTGGAGCTTGCAGTGAGCCGAGATCGCGCCACTGCACTCCAGCCTGGGCGACAAAGCAAGACTCCATAAAAAAAAAAAAAGCATACGAAAACATGAAAAAGCACATGAAAAGATGTTCAACATCATTAGCCATCAAGGAAGAGCAAATTAAAACAAGGGTAAGATATCGCTTCGTAGCTATCAAAATGGCTAAAATACAAAATCGGGAGAATACCAAATGCTGGTGAGGATGCAGAAGAACTGGATCGCTCCTATTGTTGGTGGAAATGTAAAATGGTACAGTTCCTTGAACTATGAAAAATGATTTGGTAATTTCTCAAAAAACTAAGCATAGAATTACCATAAGACATAGTAATTTTACTCCTTAGCATTTATTCCAGAGAAATGAAGACTTACGTTTACACAAAACTCTGTATATAAATATGCACAGTAGCTGTAGTCATAGTAGCCAAAGCTTAGAAACAGTCCAGATGCCCAATGGTGAATGGTTAAACAGACAGTCAGACATCTATACCATAGAATACTACCCAGCAATACAAAGGAATGAACCACTGATACATCCAAAAACCTGGATACATCTCCAAATAATTATTCTAGATGAAAAAAGTCAATCCTAAAAGGTTACACTCCATTCATATGACATTTTTAAATGTAATGACTCTATTCATATGACATTTTTAAAATGTCAAAATTGTGGAAATAGAGAACAGATTAATGGTTGTGAGGGGTTAAGGAGAGGGTGAGTAGGAGGAAAGTGAGTGTGGCTACACAAGGGCAACCTGAGGGATGCTTGCAGTGATGCAAATGTTCTACCTTCACTATATCAATGTTAATTTCCTGGTTGAATATTGTGTAATAGCTTTGCTCAATGATGTTATCACTGAGAGAAAACAAGTAAAGGGTACACAGGATGTCTCTATATTATTTTTTACAACTGCATATAGATCTACAATTATCTCAAAATTAAAAGTTTGATTTAACACACACACACACACACACACACATAATTCCTTAATTTGGACAATACATTATACAGTCATCCCGCTTATAAGGCTCGCTATGACGACCTTTGCTTATGTCTCTATGTCCTGAAACTCCAGTTTGCACCTCTAGCCACACAGAATTGCTTTTGTTCCCCACACTTGCCTGCCAACTCTACTATTCCTCATCCCCACAGCTGAGTCCCCTGCTCCTAGAGGTCTCCTCTAGTACCCCATTCCCATGTCCTTCACCCAACCCTGCCCCCAGCATCATTTGTGTACCTCTCTCAAACTGAGCATATTCTCACAATTCCCCACTTGCCTGTCTGTCTTCTCATCTGGCTGGGAACTGATCTGCATTCACCTCTGTCCCCTCAGTAGCTGCTTGTTAAGTTGAGCTCAACTAACACTCACTAACACAGTCAACATTAACACCACACCTCTGCAATGCCATTGGACTCAGCACCCTGCCTAACCCATCCCTGTCTCTTACCTTCACTTCCTCAAAATTCAAAATTCTTTGCAGGAATATCCAATTAGCTGAGCCTAGGTCACAGGCCCATATCCCAGCCTCCAGAGGGGTAGAAAAGGGTTAGCCAATCACTACACATTCTGAGGCTGGAGGCAGAGCCCTGTCTCCTACCAAGCACCAAACAACAGAGAATTACCTACAAGCAGGAAGAGGCTTCTGTTGTTGGATGGCCAAAAAATAACAAATACCTAATCTACACCTCAAACTGCAGGAGCACGAAAAGTATAGAAGGCTCTCTAATTTCTTCTCTCCCTAAAAATGTTTCACTTGCTCTTCTTGCTTCCCTCACAAACTCTTTGGGCCACTTTAGCTCAAATAGAGCCAATATATAAAGGGATTACATTTACAAAGATTATTGAAAAATGACAAAAAATGCTCCAGTCCCAGGCATTCAGGGCCAGCTGGTGTCGGAAGATGTGGTCGTTGTCTGTGGCAATAAACCTTAAGTGCTTCCAGCTCATGCATGAATTCTCAACCTTCTTTGGATCCACTCTTAGCTCACCTTCAATTATCCACAACTCAAGTCAACTATGTGTCAGACCAAGAAATCCAGGGGGAGATGATGACGACAATGATGATGATGATAACAGCAATACTAATATCTATTAATAATATTTGATGAGCACTTTTACTCCAAACATGACTCTAAATGCTTCACATTATTTTATTTAATTCTCACAATATCCCCATGAAAGCAATACTATTTTATGCTCATTTTAAAGATGAGGAAATAGAAATCCTGAGAGATTTTCTACTGAAAATGCCCAAGGTCACACAGCTAGTAAGTGGTGAAGCAAAGGTCTAGTTCTAACCCCCATGCCACCCTGCCTTTTGAGAGCAGCTGCCTGTGAGGCAGGGACTACAGCACCCAGGCTCCAGCTGTTAGTGCCTCTGCAGGAGGTATTGGTGCTTCTCAAGCTCGCACATTGAGGAAGACCCTTCTCTTGTGAGGAGAGGCCCAGCTCCCTCCATCATCCAAGGAGGTAAAATATCATCAACATCTGTAACAGATAACTGACTGAATTGTCATTCTGGCTCTTACTTTCTTGGACTTCTTCAACATTCTCTTGGCTTCTCTTTTTACCAAAGGTTGGAAGCATGTTTCCTTGCAACTAAATGAATGGACTGGAGTAAAATGAAAATAAAAGCTTTCTCTAAAATCTCTCAATCCGTTGTTTATTTTTAAATAAATCGATGCTCGTCTAGAGCCCTGTGGGTGTGCTGGCAGCATTTGAGAAAGTCCTGGGTCTGGGAGCCAGCAGACACCTGTGTACAATAATGAACCAGGATCCTCTGCAACCTGAACTTCTAAAACAATCTTGTTGCTTGCCAGACAACTGGGAAAATATGCCCATTGACCTCCCCACTTCCCTGGCCAGGCCAGGGTTCCAGGAAGCCCAATGTTGTTATGCATCTGAGCAGGGGAGGGGGCAGGAGGTGCTGGGGGATGGGAATTTTTGTGCAGAGTGGGTGCATAGGCCCATGGAATATGGGGAAGGAAATCCATATAAATAGATGATGTGCCCAAGTCTTGGCCAGTGCAAATGCCCCATGGAGGCTGTGGTTCAGAGCGTGATGGCTTGTGGCCTCCTTCCCCATCCAGTGTTTCCCTGCTACCCTTTCCTACGGGAGATCAGGCAGGACATCAACAAACCCGGTTTGTTGATGCTTTAGTATTTCCTCACATGTTCCAGTGATAAGGGGCTTCTATTTGTTGAGCTCAGCAAGAATCAGACGCTTTATACACAGTTACAATATTTCTACATGAGGGCTTTGAGTCTGTCCGTGTAACAAAATGGAGGCTTAGAAATTTGGTCAAGGTTCAGAGTCAGCAAATGGTGGAGCTGAGCTAGGCCCAGGTCTTTCTGATGAGAAAATGTCTATGTTTTCTCTGTATATACACAGCACCCAGGAAGGCATGGTTGCCCCCAGCTTGGTGACACCCAAGACCACACCAGGCTCACCTCCACCAGCAAACACAGTGTTGAACAGGGTCACAGAGGGACTGGTAAGAGTAGGGGTGAGGAAGAGAAGAGCAGAGGAATAGTGCAAGAAATATTTCAATAATAATAATAACTGAAAATAATATCCAGTCATAATTGACTGCTTACTATAATTAAAGCAAATAAGAAGGAGACCGTTAGCCTAAGGTTGTCTGTATATCTGGAGCTCTTACAGAGTTAACCCAAAACTTCACTTGGAGGCATTTCTTGTAACCAATTTAAAACAACAACAACAAAACTGAGCTTTATCCAATCACAGGCAGCCAATTAGCCAGTCTGTTATAGAGCTAGGGATCTCCCCTTGAACTATACCCAAATAAAGCAAATGCTCAGCTGTAGCCAATCAAGTAATTTTGTCAACTTTACTTTTGCATTCAGCCTATAAAAGCTGGTTGCTCATGCTGCTGTGGTGGAGCTCTCTGAACCTCTTCCAGTTTTGAGTGCTGCCCAACTCATGAACTGTTCTTTGCTCAAATAAACTCTGTTAAATTTATTTTGTCTAAAGTTTTGCTTTTAACATGCTGTGCCAGACACTATGCAAAGCACTTTACATTATCTCCTCTAAAAGAAATAAATTCCTTAAACTAGCCACCTATGTGGGCAGGCAGAGTGAAAAGTCTCCTCTGCTAGATGGCATGGCTGAAGAATCTACCTCACGAGGATCCAGACCTTGTGAACAATAGACACCGTATACAGGTATGAGAACTCACTGAGCTGCACAGGCAGGCGGTTGATTCCTCCCACCAGACTCTCTCTCTCTGGTGGAGATATAGATGCCCTTCCCACCCACTCTTAGGAAGACTCTGCTTTCTTGTAGACATGTCTGGCCACCGTGATTATCCAACAGTTAGAATATTATCTCAGGGCTGGCCTGAGACATGTGCATGTCTCAGACAGGCTAATGAATCTGAAGCCCCTTCAATAGCTTAACAATATTTGTTCCATATGTGTCAGAGAAGTGTTCTCAATGAATATTTAAATGTCCCCTAGTATGCTTTCTGTCTCAACAGAAGTGGACCATGGTACATTTTGCCACATTTGTGTGGTGTCAAGTGCAGACATCTGAGTTAACTGGTACCATGTTTTCCATTTATTCTGCTGCTGTCTTAGTGGTCCTTGTAGATTGACACCTCAGACCCATCGGCCTGCCCTTTCGTATGATTCCACTGGCTGTGGTGGTTTTGTGAGGATCATAAATGTCCTTCAATTAGAGACAGGTGCCCCAAACTTTATTCTTCTAGTAACATACCGGCCTTTGCCAATTGTGAATTCCTCCTAGCCTTTCTTGAACCTGTCTCCATTTCCAGCCTGTGCTATCTCTCAAAGTGACAGGTTGCCCTTGGGGAAATAGGATATCCTTCTCTGTGTTTTAAAGTTCTCCCAAGTGTCTAGATTTTTGTCATAAGATCCAAGTCCTATTCTACACCTTCTCCATTATTTCACACACTTTGTAAGTCTCTAAGGATGAAAGAGGCAACTTCTTTGTCTCTCTTTCTTAAAAATTACACTCCGCTATTGCTCTAGTTTCTTGATGCTATTTTTTTTCTCACTGCAAAGGAGACCCCTCTTCTTGTGTGCCTGTGCTTGACATCAGGATTTAAATACAACTGCTTGCCTTTGGTATTGTGGCCTCACATTCCAGGCTTCCCTCGTGTCTGATTTCAAAACTGTATCCACTCCAACCACTGAAATGGATTTGCACTTCCACCACAACATTCAAGAGCGAGAAACATTGCATTACTTTCTTTTTTCCTAATTCAAATTCCATCTGGCTCTCAGTCCCTACTTCCCTGGGCAGTGAAACGCCCAACATAACTCACTACTGGGGATACCTTTTCTTCCCTAGGGTCACCCAAGAAGCCAGTGAGTCTCTCACAGTCTTGAAAACTTGGGGAAGGACCTCTCTGGTCTTCAACCTACCACTAAGATTCTCATTGCCCATGTTGTCTGTTTAAAATGGGTGGTGTCACATTTTACACCCTGTATAGGGCACAGTGTTTGTTTGCTGCTACTCCCAACATCACATCCTTTAGGGCCCAGTAACTGACAACTGTGTATAATCCCCTGGAGGCCTTGACACGAAGGTGAGGTGCCATTTTCACCATGTATGGACCTCACCATCACCTTCTCCTCCACCTCCAGGAGTCACCCCAAACACCAGGCACCAGCTTCCACCTCCTCCTCCTCAGGCAGAACCAAGCTTGGGCCCCTAGTGTAGAAGGGCTGTCTTCTGGGTGCCAGGTGCAGCAATCACTCTAGGTGTCTGCTGCTAAGCCCAGAACTCGCCTTTCCAGTGACTAAGCTTCTGCTTGAGGACTTTCATAGCCACAGGGGTGTGCTTGGCTCATTGTGCAAGCCAGAAGTACCTGGAAGTTAACGACCTGGAAGCAACCTCAATCAATGACTTGAGGATAAATACATCAGCTCCTGGTCCCTATGGTGGAACAACACATGGAGCTGTGTTTCACACAACCTCCCAGTGGGATGGAGCCCGAGGTGCCCTTGGCAGTAACCTTCTGGTCAACACACCCTGCATTAGCTGCCCTCCATGCCTGGGCTCACTTCTCCACTCTGCCTACTGTGTGCCTCCTGTGGTCACCTCCCAGATTGCCCACAAACTCTTGTACTAAGGTCTGCTTCAGGGAATCCCAACCTAGGAGCCCTGGTAGCTTCTGTTCTGGGCTCTGAAACCCAAAAGCTATCAACATCTCCAGAGGCAAAGGAGTCCAGACCTAGTCTGCCCTTATCTGTTAAGAAAGAAAAGAGAAGAAAGAAAAATGACCTTTTTCTCCTTCTGGAGTCTCCTCCACAAAGAGGATAAGAGAAATGAACAACACCATATATTTTACCGCCATAGAACAATTACTAACTGAGCACCTACTATGAGGCCAGCCTGGCCCACAGCCATCTGGGGGATAAAGAAGAAAAATGAGAAGGTGCTGATGACCCAGATCTCAGGAGAAGAAAATCAACGTTCTTGGTGTGGGAATGAACAACAGTGGAGCACTGACTCTGAGACACATGTCCTATATTCACATCCTCAGGTATTTGCTGGGAAAATTAGGGCTCAAGGGAATGCAGTGACTTGCTCAAGCTGAAGGTCACCTAATCCAACCATGGTGTGACCACGCCTTGGCCAGCAGGGTCTCTTGCCCTGATATAGGGGGCTCTGGTTGGCAAGGAGAGGACTTTGGCAATGTAGGCCCTACATTTGACAGGACCCAAACAGGGCTTCACTAGGGCTTAGTTTTCAAAACCATGTACTTCAGCTCCACCCAGCCCTTCTAGGGAAGGTGCAATTCAGAGAAGCTGCAACAAACACTCACAAAATGGGTTAATAACAGTATGGCAAACACCAAATTAATTGCCCACTCAAGTAATGCAGTCCATATGGGGGCCCTGGAGAGCAGAGACAATGGGTGGATTCTCTCCCTGTACTCAAGTCAGCAGGAGTCAAAGTCACTGAGATTGAGGATCCAAAGTTCTCCCAGAGCCATGAGTGGTGGCTTCACCTTATTCTGGCCTCCTTGCCTGTAACTTCTATAAAGAGAGTTTTGCAGGGCGTGAAGTCATTGCTGAGACAAAGTAGAGGTTGTGTTTTGTTGCGCTGTGAGCACTTTCTCAAAGAGAGGGTCTGTTTGGAGCTCTGCTTCCCTGGCTTTCCTCTTCTAAAGGCCAAGAGCTTGCAAACACTGCAATGTGAACTATGCATTAAAATTTTATACACTAATATATATTTTACTGAACTTTTTAATAACCCTGGGAGAAATAGCTTTAAATAATTCAATATGGTGTTGGCCCCGAGCTGAACTATGCTACAAGTAACCATGTATAAAATATGACACTAATATTGCATACCTTAATATAATAAATGTTTATCTTGATAATAAGCCATTTGAATTCTAGTAATGTGTGAGTTACAGTTGCTATGGCACAGTCTTGTTAAGGTTTTAAATGAGACATCAACAGCAAAAGCAACATAAATGTACACATTAATCTACTTGCTATTTATAAACGAACCAACTGGACAGTGAATAGCTTATTCATAAATAAAAGCTTTAAATGCCATTTATGAGGCAAGTGAATGACTGGAGGAAGTTTGCGGCCAGTAATGTATGTTTTCCTCAGAGCTACCTTTGGGATTTTATAGAAAGTCCAGCATGAGGACAGAGGTCAGTTTCCCCACCCAACAAGGAGGCCATTGTCAGAGGAAGGAGCCATTGATGCACAGTAGGTGTTCAATAAATTCTTATTGGAAGACTTTAAGTGGCTGCCTCAGGAAGAAGAATTTAAGAATTTGAGTGGTTTCCAAACCTGGCTATGAATCAAAATTACCTGGACGTTGTGTTAAAAATACAGATCTCCAAGTCCCGCCCAGATACAGAGCTAGAATCTTCAGATTTTCAGCCTAGGAATCTCACCCCAAGTCTACAGTCAATTTGCCTTTTAAAAAATTTTAAAAAATTCTACAAGTTTTTTTTATTTTGTTTTGTTTTATTGTTGTTTTGTGAGGGGCTAGGGGTTTGTTTGTTTGTTTGTTTGTTTTTAGAAACAAGGCCCCACTGTGTTGCCCAGGCTGAACTCAAACTCCTGGGCTCAAGCAGTTCTCCCACCTTTGCCTCCCAAGTAGCTGGGATTACAGGTGTGTGCCCTGCACCCAGCTCTATGGGATTTTTAGGGGAGAATCTTAAAGTTGGAAGAAACCCTGGTGATTATCTAATCCAACCTCTAAAATCACATAGCAGGTTTGTGGGCACGCTAGGACCCATCTGCGTTCTGATCCCATACCAATGTCCCAACATTGTTTTCACCAGGCCTGTGTCTCCAAACTGGGGCATGTGTCCACTAGTTGGATTAGTCAGGACTTGAATTTTAGTTACAAGTGGAAATAACCTAAGGCAAATCAATTTAACCAAGAAATTACATGGCTTTAGGTACAGCTAGATCCCAGGATTAAAATGATGTCATTGGGGTTTACCTCTTTCCACCCTTCACTTATGCTTCCTTTGGGTTGGTTCATTCCCAGGCAGTTTCCTCTACTAGCGACCTTGAAATTTCTAGGCTACATCTCAGCGGTTTACCCCCCCAAGCTGAAACAGGCTTTCTCTGTTGCAAGAGTAGCAGCAGACGCCCAAGGGCTGATACTCATTGGTCTGCTTGGGCCACATGTTAATTTTTTTTTTTTTTTGAGGTGGAGTCTCGCTCTGTCGCCCAGGCTAGAGAGCAGTGCCATCTCAGCTCACTCCAACCTCCACTTCCTGGGGTCAAGCGATTCTGCTGCCTCTTCCTTCCCAGTAGCTGGGATTATAAGGCATGCACCACCACAGCCAGCTAATTTTTTGTTTGTTTGTTTTGTTTTTGTTGTTGTTGTTGTTTTTAGTAGAGATGGGGTTTTGCCATATTGGCCAGGCTGGTCTCGAACTCCTGACCTCAGATGATCTACCTGCCTTGGCCTCCCAAAGTGCTGGGATTACAAGTGTGAGCCCCCGTGCCCGGCCCATTTCTGAAGCAAGCATTGCACTCAGAGGAATGTAACCTGAGTTACGGGTATACCTGGGACAGGGCAGGGTCCAGCCATGGACAGAGAGTTGGAGGGGTGGTTCCCCCAGAGAGAAATTGAGCCACTGGTACCAGAAAGGGAATAGAGGCAGGGCAGGAAAAGCAACAGAGCAGCTGTCTCCTCACCAACACTGTGCCAGCCACATGTGAAGTGACAGGTGAATGCAGGCATCTTCTGCAGCTCCCGTCTTACTGACAAAAAGTAGCTTAACACATCAATATTACGTTAAAACAAGCCCAGAAGTAGAGTGCAAAATTCTCATGAATTTTTAAGAGGAAACGAGTAATTTCAAAGAGCCCTCAAGCTTGCAGCAGGCGATGCCAGCTCACCCCAGACTCCCAAGGGCCCGGAGAGGGAGCTCAGTAGGCACATTCACTGGGGGAGTCTGGGAAGCCTGAACTGCAGGGTCTGGCCCTGAAATGATCTGCTGCTTAAATTATTCATTATTTGTTCTTTTGATAAATCTAATATCTCTCCACCCCGGTTGTAATTCCCTCATGGCAGGGCCTGCTCCCTTGCCCCTCCTTGATCTTCCCTTGTGTAGAAGGACCTGAAGGTCCCACTCCCCACTCCAGCCTCAGACACTTTGCCAAGATTGGGTCCTACTGGAGGGCAGACATAGGGTAGTCAATGTGCTCTAAGCCAAGCTAGGGAGAGCTTCAGACTGAAACAGGTTTAGCCTTGGCACTGCCAGACAGGCCAAGCACTGTCACCCCTGGATTCCTTTTCTCTGACTTTAGCAGCTGGGCTGGAGGACATGGGCATGAGGCCATCCATTTGTCCCACTGGCTGATCCTGTTCCTGGCCACTATGATGTGATGAGTATGAGCATCTTTGCCTTCAAGGTGCCCCTAGTCTAAGCAGAGAATGGGGCAGGATCTTGAGCATCAGGACACCATGTGTGGTTGTACAGCTTGAGCACTGCACAAATGTCCCAACTGAGGGGGCCAGTCAGCACTCACTTGCTTATCTGTGAACTCTGGCACAGGGCTATCTGCCCACAGGAAGAGATACAAAACCACCATAGGGCTAAGTGGCAGCTCTAAGGATGTCATGTTCCTAAGACCAGAGTCAGGTCTGAGGAAGAAGCTGGGAAGCGGAGCCATGGGAGTCTGAGGCACCAGCTCCAATACTGGATCCCCAAACCCAGCAATGGGGAGAGGAGGGAGCAATTGTGTGTTAGTAAAAGAGCAGAAACCTTAGTTAGAAGGCAGAAAGAGCCTGGAAACCAAGAGAGACAATGAGAAGTCAGAGGAAGTAGGCAGGTCAGGGAAAAGCTGGGAGAATCTATGAACTGCATATTTACCTCTAACCCATTCCTTGCCCTTCTCCTGCCTGCTCGGTATTGCAGGGAACTGCCTTCCCCAGGCTCTCTAGTTCTCTGACTTCTGGGTAGTGTTATGTGCAAAATCTCTCTTTACTGTTCCAACTCTGGCTACATGCTGTTCCCTTCATCCAGAATATCCTTCTCCACCAGCCTAACTTTTTCAGAACTCAACTTAGGTATCACCTTCTCTAGGAAGTATTTCTACCCACACAGTCTGAATTGTACACATTTTCTTCAAGCCCAACAGCCTCCTGTGCTTCCCTGTTATAACAGACCATATTGTGTTGTTCATCCACTGACATAATCTATTCCCATCCCACCTCACATGGGCTCTGAACTTTCAGAAGGCAGGGTGTCATCTCTCATCTCTGCATCCCCAACATCTAGCACAGAGGAGGGGTCCAATAAATGTTGGTTGGATGCCTACTCTTTATCAAGTGATTTGCATATGTTTTCTCATTGAATAATCACATAACCTGGCATGGCACAAACTGTCATTATCCTTCTCACTTCACAGATGAGTCTAAGTGACTTTCCCAAAGTTGCCCTGTTAAAAGGTAGTTCTTGGCTGGGCATGGTGGCTCTTGTCTGTAATCCTAGCACTTTGGGAGGCCAAGGCAGGCAAATCACCTGAAGTCGGGAGTTCGAGACTAGCCTGGCCAACATGGTGAAACCCCGTCTCTACTAAAAATACAAAAATTAGCCGGGTATGGTGGCACATGCCTGTAATCCCAGCTACCCAAGAGGCTGAGGAAGGAGAATAGTTGGAACCTGGGAGGCAGAGGTTGCAGTGAGAAGAGATCGCACCACTGCACTCCAGCCTAGGTGACAGAGTGAGACTCTGTCTCGAAAAAAAAAAAAGTGGTTCTTGAACCCAAATTCCCCCATGTCCTCAGCCCTTCCCAGCTCCTGAACAGCTTCTCCTACTTGAATGTTTTTCTAAGAGTCTTAGCACAATCCGCCCCTCCCACCCCACCCCAAGATGGATAACACCATTGCTAACCTCAGCCTTGAGATCTATGAGTTTTCTGGAGTTAGAATACTACCTAGGTTTAAATCTCTGTTCTGCTATTTGCTAGGTAACCTTAGGGAAGTTGCTTAATCTCTCCAAACTTTAGCTTCTTTATCTGTAAAATGGGTTCAAAAGAGTCTCTACCTTGTAAAGCTGTGTGAAACTTAAATAAGATGAGATATGCAAAGTCTTAGCATACCACCTGGACCATAGAAAGAATTTTAAAATATCAGCTAGTAGTAATAGAGTAAGTTGATTAATCAGATTATGTATTCTAACTCACTGCTTCTTAAACTTCAATGTGCCCGTGATTAAATTGGGGGTTTCCTTAAAATGCAGATTCTGATGCAGGAGGTCTGGTGTAGAGCCCCAATTTTGCATTTCCAATAAGCTCCTGAGTAATGCTTCTGCTGCAGGTCCAACAGCCCCACCCTTTGAGTACCAAGGCTCTAGGTCAATTAGGAGCAGGACCTTGAGAGTCAGGGGCTTAAAGGGGAGTGGAGGTGTATTATTTTGGAGTCAGGGGTCCTACCTGAGGTGGGATGAAACTGTGAATTTGGGAGGGGGTTCTGCGGTGGACCAAAAGGCAAGTAATAAGAGGGCAGAAGGGTGCCCTGTAGACCAGTGTCCTCAGCTTTTCAGATTGTGGCAGAGGGGCAAGAGGAAAGGAAAGAAGGATTGGGACTTCCTTCCTGGGACCTACCCTCTCACCTGCAGAGGGGTGAGTCTTACAACACATGAGCATGTATCTAGCTGCCAACTGCTGCATCCATCTGTCCTCAGGGAGGAATGCTGGGGCTACAGAATGGCCAAGAGGCTGGGAACAACTGGTCCAGAAAGCAAGTAGCCCTAGGTTCCTGTTCACTGGGGAGTAATGGCCCATCTCTCTGCCCTCCATCCCAGCTAGGGGTATGCAGGAGGTGTAGGGAGGCCCTGAATGGCTGAGCTCCTGAGGTCTGGGTCTAGTCTGACTCCCCGTCTGCTCCCCGCAGGCAGCACATATACCCCACCCAGTGAAGGGCCCGCAATTTCTTTCTGACTTTAATAGTGGCCTTCCAGCCCTGGCACCCCACCTGGTCATTTTGCTCAGGCCTCGCTTGATGAAGCCTAATAGGGGCTTCATCCTAGGCCCACCATGTCCCAAGGTTTTTGGGGAGGGAGTGTGAACTGCAACAGATTTCTAAGGGAAGCATGTCTGTCAATAAATTTTAGATTCTAGGAACTGCCTATGAATGGAGTGTTGTCAAATAGCCCCCACCACAACCAATGTGATGACCAAAAAGCTCCTCTGGCTGGCTTTGGGTTTTTAGCATATGCACATGGTTTTTTAAAAAGTCAGGGAGCACAGAAGAAATTATAAAAGAAGGCCCCAGATATCACCCTCCCTCCCCACCAACTCCCAGTGGGGCCACTCTGGACTCTTCCAGTTGCTTCTGCGTGTATTTCCCTCCAAGTCTCCAGATAATATGATTTTAACATACTTTCTAGACTTAATGATTTTAGGCATTATTTCTTAGTGCATATGACTAAACTCAGGTTATGCAGGAAACTATTTTAAATGTCTCATTTTGATGTCTTTATAAGTGTAAATACCACCTTTATACTTCTGCTCCTAGGGCCACCATGCCTCCAGAATGTCTCTTGACTCTCCCTTGGCAAGCTAAAGATATTAACTTCTCTCCCTACTCCTTCCTACCAACCCAAGATATGGCTTTACTTTAAGTTTTCTTTTCTTTTCTTTTTCTTTTTCTTTCTTTTTTTTTTTTTTTTTTTTTTTTTTTTTTTTTTTTTTTTGAGACAGGCTGTCACTCTGTCACCCATGCTGGAGTGCAGTTCTGTAATCTTGGCTCAATGCAAACTCTGCCTCCTGGGTTCAAGCAATTCTCCTGCCTTGACCTCCCAAGTAGCTGGGATTACAGGCATGCACCACCATGCCCGACTAATTTTTGTATTTTTAGAAGAGATGGGGTTTCACAATGTTGGCCTGGTTGGTCTCAAACTCCTGACCTCAAGTGCCTCACCTGCCTCGGCCTCCCAAAGTGCTGGGATTATAGGTGTGAGCCACTGCATCCAGCCTTACATTATGTTTTCAAGATTGATATTCTGTTCTACAACTCCAATCAAGGTTTATGTTCTTTGTTTACAGGCTGAATCTAACAACTGAAAATCAAGAAGCAACGTTTACACATTACGACTAGGCAAATATTGATGGCAGTTCAGCCGATACAGTAAAGTACTATGAGCACACTGCTTTTCTTGCAAACTTTTTATTTCTCCTGGAGTTTCTATTTATCTTTCTTTTCTCTTGTCCTATTTGCTTATATCACATCCTCACTTTTTTCAAACTTTCCATCATATCAAATATTCTAAGAAGCAAGGAATTATACTAAAAACATTTAATCACCAACCAACCCAATTTAATTCCATTTATGGGGATCACTTATAGCAGAGAGCAATCAGAATAGACAGAGCCCTTGTCACCAAAGCACCAAGGAAGGGTGCTGGGAGCCCCTGGTTGTGCCAGCCATGAACTTCTCAGAATCCGGATCATGGCAAGGTCCAGGAGATCCTAGGAAGGGGCTGGCCAATGGAAGAATGGCGGCTCATGTTAGCTGCTATTTACAAACCCACTCAGAAGCACTTAAACTGGCACATCCTGGCTAGCCATTGGGCCTGCTAACAAGTCATTTTCCCTGTGCCTTCCTCTCATTTCCATCTAAACTTGCTGCATTCTGGACTTGCTGTCCAGCCCCCTTCCCCACCGGGCTGTGCTGCAAGGGATCTCCTGTGTCCTAGACCCCATGTCTTCTTTCTTGGTTTATCCCTCTTGTTTGTGCTAAATAGAAGATTAAGTTTTACCATTTTATATTCAATTCAGAAGACAATCTTAAACATATTTAACCACCAACTCATTAAAAATTTTTAATCACTGGGCATCTTGTTACAAAATTACACAAAGACTCTGATATTTGAAAATCTCGTTTTCCTAAAGTTACCACCAGTGACATCCTATAGTTGAAAAAATGCTGTTTTGCAATTGCCTGAAAGTCAGAAAACAAGAGAGGAGGCCACAGTAGGCCATCGTTGGTGTGGAATTCCCATCCTCCTCTCGGGATGCTTCATGTACCAGGGTGATGCAGGGGTATACAATACATCAGCTACATCATTATCAATCTAGGTATTAAATACCAATAGATGATTAATTGTGTTCTTGTGATTTAGTTAAAAATTAAATGCAAATGGAAGTTCTAAAATTGTCCCCCTGGATCTCAGTGGGTCATCTTTCACAAGACTTGAGGTGCCCAGAATCCTACTTTTGGTACCACTGCTTTATTCAACATGCAGTTACTGAGTGTTTCTTATGCCCGTGTCTCCTGTTCTCCAGGAGCTCACTATTTAGAAGTGGGCACAGACAAAATAACACACCATGACACCAAGAGTGATCAGTAATGTGATAGAGGGAAGCACAAATGCCTGTGGGGGCACTAATGAGGGACCTCACCCAAAGGAAGCAAAGTCTAATCAATTGCTTAGATGGATGTACAGATAAGTGGGTGCATAGGTGGATGGATGGATGCATGGATACATGGATGGATGGATGTATGAATGGATAGGTAGGTGGGCGGGTTGATGAATAGGTGGGTAGATAAATGGATGGATGGATGAATGGATTGATGGATGGATGGATGGATGGATGGATGGATGGATGGATGGATGAGTGGATGGATGGATGGATGGATGGATGGATGGATGGATGGATGGATGAGTGGATGGATGGATGGATGGATGGATGGGCGGGTGAGTGGATGGTTGGGTGAATTGGTGGGTGGCTCAATGATTGGATGAATGGATGAGGAAACATCACAGAAGGCAGTAGAGAATGAGGGCTCAGTCCTGATTGGAGCAATCATCCCTTCCCTAGACTGTAAGGGGTGGAGACAATATATGAGTCATCCCTGGATTCCAGTGTCTGGCACAAGCCTGACACATGGTAGGCATTCAATAAATGTTTGTCAAGTGTGTGAATCAATGAGAGCTAATGAACACCAGGCATTGAGAGAGTTCAGCCAAATGTCTTACCCTTTCTGGGCCTCAGTTTCCCTCCATGTAAATTAGATATGAAAACATGCACCACCAGAATTTATAACACTACTGGTGCTGCAAAAGGTAGACTATGCTTGTGAATCTGCTTTTGAATTCACTGTGCGGCAGGCCTCAGAGAAGTAGCATCTTTTACTTCACCCAGTTTAGCACTCCACCCTTTGATATGTGTGCATTAGCTTGATGCCTAACTATCGCAACATTGGGATACGTATTGTTATGATCATGTCCCTTTGACAGATGAGGCTACTGAGGCTTGAATGGATGGATAAGCAACCTTGAAGCCAGACCCACCAATCCTGGCTCTGCTGTGTAAATCTGGGCAGATCACTTTACTTCTCTGAACCTCTCAAAGATGTAAAGATTAAATGAGATAAAGCATGTAAAGTGCCTGGCATGCAGGAGGTAATTAATGGTGTTTATTTGTTGCCCAAGCCAGGAAGTTGCAGAGACTGGATTGTGTTCTTTTTACCAAAGCATAATGCTACTGAAGCTTTTAAGTTAATCAACGAAAAAGATTAAAATTCTGGTTGGTATATGGTGCTTCAATACATGTAGGGAAGATTTCAGTAACACACTGTGGAACCTGTAATATCTAGAACAACTCACATTGTCAGTGAGCTGCTGTGGCCGCCCCCGTTTGCTGCTCCACCACTCCTTCCGTGCAGTATGTGTCATTTCTTTTCCCCGCCTGCCCCCTGGTGGTAGATTTGGGGACCACAGGCTCAGTCTCTTAACAACAGGCCTTGCAGGAGAGCCAGGCTCATGGCCGCCCCGCATTGCCCTCTGGTGACTGCTGCTAGTTAGCACTTTGCAGAGAAGGAAAGGAGGAATACCGTATGCGCCAAGGAAAGGATTGAAAATGCACTGGCTGGATCTCACTCTCCTGCTCCATCGTTCACTGGTTGTGTGACCTTGGGCGTATCACTTAACTTCCCTGCATATTAGTTTCCCTTATTGGCAAAATGGGTAATACACCCACTCGGAGTTTTTGTGGTGAATAAGATAACTGAGTTAAAACACCTAGCACAAAGTAGATGCTCCATAAAATGTAACTTCTCTCCCAATAAAATGAAAAATAAACAGTACATCATCCAATTATTACAAACTGCCTTACCAGTTTCATAGCAGAGTCAAGTATCTTGATAGATTGGGCCACAGGGTAGGTCAGTTTAGAGGGCAGGGGGAGATAGACAAAGGGGATTGTTAGGAAAATTCAAGGCTTGGGTCACAGCTGAGGATTGCAGGTAAAGATTCAAGAAGACATTGAAGATCTCTAGTCTAGGGGGAGTGGCCAAGATGGCCGACTAGAAGCAGCTAGTGTGTGTGGCTCTTAGGAAGAGGAACGGAAAGGGTGAATAAATACGCACCTTCAACAGAAACCTCCAGATACTCGCACTGCGACTAATCAAGGAAACAACACGACCAGGGAGGATAGAGAAAAGCAAGGCAGGATGACAGCCCACCTAGGAGCAACATAGAGCCAAGGGAACCTCCCCTGCCCAGGGAAGCAGTGGGTGAGTGGGCGACCCCAGGAAACCACATTTCTCCCACGGTTCTTTGCAACCCTTGAATCAGGATATCCCTTGTGAACCCACTTAGTCAGGTCCTTCAGCCTGACACACGAAGCTATGTGGAGTCTCAGCAGAGCACCTGCTCAGGCACGCGTGCATGGAGACCCAGGAGCTTTGGATACTCCAGCTCCGGGCTTCCCAGCAAAAGTAACCGCAATTCTGACAAAGCAGGTTAGACCCCTATACATACCCCTAGGAAAAAGGCTGAATCCAGGGGGCCAAGCACTAATGGTCTGCAGGCCCCACTTCCACAGTGCCTCACAGGATAAAAATTCCAGCCAGACACCAGTAGCAGCATGGCGCCTCCCTGGGATGGAGCTCCTGGGGGTAGGGCAGGCTGCCAGGTTTGCTGTTAGGGCAACTTAGCTGTTCCAGTCTGTGGGCTTTGGAGAGTCCAAACTGACCAGGGGCAGAAGGGATCCCCCAGCACAGCACAGCTGCTCTACCAAAACATGGCCAGACTGTTGTTCTTTAAGCAAGTTCCCAATCCATTCCTCCTCACCAGGCAGGACCTCCTAACCAGAGCCTCCAGCCACCCCACCAGTGTTCTCTGGCCAACAGAGATTTGAAAACTCCCTGGGACAGAGCTTTCAGAGGGAAGGGTGGGCCACCATTTTTGTTGTTTGGGTGACTTAGCCGTTCCAGCCTGCAGTCTTTGGAAAGCCCACCTGACCAGGGCAGAAGTGGTACCCCAACATAACACAGCTGCTCTGTGAAAGTGTGGCCAGACTGCTTCTTTTTCTTTTTTTTTTTTTTTTTTGAGATGGAGTCTCGCTCTGTCACCCAGGCTGGAGTGCAGTGGCATGACCTCGGCTCACTGCAAGCTCTGCCTCCTGGGTTCACGCCATTCTCCTGCCTCAGCCTCCTGAGTACCTGGGACTACAGGCGCCTGCCACCACACCCGGCTAATTTTTTGTATTTTTAGTAGAGACGGGGTTTCGCCATGTTAGCCAGGATGGTCTCGATCTCCTGACCTCATGATCCACCCGCCTTGTCCTCCCAAAGTGCCGGTATTACAGGTGTGAGCCACCGCGGCCGGCCGCCAGACTGCTTCTTTAAAGCAGGTTCCTGATCCCGTTCCTCCTCACTGGGCAGAACCTCCCAAATGGGACCTCCAGCCACCCCTGCCGGTGTTCTCTGCCCAACAGAGATTTGAAAACTCCCCGGGACAGATTTCCGGAGGGAGGAGTGGGCCACCATTTTTGCTGTTTAGGTGACTTAGCCGTTCCAGCCTCTGGGCTCTGGAAAGCCCAAGCTGACTGGGGGAAGGAGAGGTACCCCAACACAGCACAGCTGCTCTATGAAAGCATGGCCACAGTGTCTCTTTAAGCAGTCCCTGATCCTCTTCCTCCTCACTGGGCAGAACCTCCCAACCGGAGCCTCCAGCCACCCCCACCGGTGTTCTTCAGCCTGCAGAAATTTGAAAACTCCCTGGGACAGAACTCCCAGAGGGAGGGGTGGGCCACCATCTTTGCTGTTTGGGTGACTTAGGAGTTCCAGCCTTCAGGCTTTAGAGAGTCCAAGCCAACCAGGGGTGGAAGTAGTATCCCAGCACAGCACAACAGACCCATGAAAACATGGCCAGACTGCTTTTTTAAGAGGGAGGACAAACTCATTCCTCATCACCAAGTGGAGCCTCCTAACCAGAGCCTCCAGCTACACTCACCAGTGTTCTCCAGCTGACAGAAGTTTCAGGACTCCTTGGGATGGATACCTCCTCCCCCAGGAGGAGGGGCAGGCTGCCATCTTGGCTGTTTGGTCAACTTAGCCATTCCAGCCTTTGGGCTTTGGAATGTCCAAGGTGACCAGGGGCTGAAGTGTATCCCCAGCACAGCACAGCTGCTCTATGAACATATGGCCAGACTACTTTTTTAAGGAGGTCCCAATCCCATTCTTTCTGACTGAATGAGACCTCCTATCTGGAGTCCCTGGCCATCTACAGATGCATTTGAGCCAGCAACAGGTCCATACCACCTTGGAACAGAACTTCCAAAGGAAGGGGCAGGCTGCCATCTGTGCTGTTTTGCAGCCTTCACTGGTGATACCTCCAGACACTGAAAAATCTGAGGTGACCATGCACTGGAGCAGACCCCCAGCATACTGTAGCAGCCTGACAGAAAGGTGGCCAGACTGTTAAAAGAAAAAAAAAATCCATCCAAAAGTCAGTAACCTCAAAGATTGAAGGCAAATAAGCCCAGAAAGATGAGAAGGAGTCAGTGCCAGACCACTGAAAACTCAAAAAGCCAAAGTGTCCTCTTTCTCCCAAATGACCACATAACCTCTCCAGCAAAATTTCAGATGAGGCTGAGATAGCTAAAATGACAGAAGTAGAATTCAGAATATGGAAAGTTCAGAATATGGAAAGTTCATGGAACTAAAGGAGTACATTGTAACTCAATGCAAGGAAGCTAAGAATCATGCTAAAATATTGCAGGAGCTAACAAAGTAGCCAGTATAGAGAAGACTGTAACTGACCTGATAGAGCTGAAAGACACAGTACAGGAACTTCATAATGCAATCACAAGTATTAATAGCAGAATACAACAAGCGGAGGAAAGAATATCAGAGCTTGAAGACTGCCTTTCTGAAATAAGACAGGCAGACGAGAGAGAAAAAATGAATAAAATGGAATGAACAAAACCTGCAAGAAAAAGAATGAGATTATGTGAAGAGACTGAATCTACGATTGATCAGTGTACCTGAAAGAGATGGGGAGAATGGAACCAACTTGAAAAACATATTTCAGTATATCCTTGAGAACTTCCTCAACCTAGCTAGAGAGGCCAGCATTCAAATTCAGGAAATGCAGAAAACCCCAGTGAGATACTCAATATGAATATCATCCCCTAAGACACATAATCATCAGATTCTCCAAGGTGGAAATGAAAGAAAAAATGTTAAAGGCAGCTAGAGAGAAAGGCTAGGTCACCTACAAAGGGAAGCCCATAAGACTAACAGCAGACCCCTCAGCTGAAATTCTACAAGCCAGAAGGGATTGAGGGCCGATATTCGACATTCTTAAAGAAAAACATTCCAACCCAGAATTTAATATTCAGCAAAACTAAACTTCATAAGCAAAGTAGAAATAAGATTTTTTCAGACAAACAAATGCTGAGGGAATTTGTTACCACCAGACCTGCCTTACTTCCTGAAGAAAGCACTAAATATGGAAAAGAAAGACCATTAGCAGACACTACAAAAACACACTGAAATGTACAGACCAGTGACACTATAAAGCAACCACGTAAGTCTGCAAAATAAACAGCTAACATCATGATGACAGGATCAAATCTATACATACCAATACTAACCTTAAATGTGAATGGCACAATGCCCCAGTTTAAAAAACATAGAGTGGCAAGCTGGATAGAGAACCAAAGTCCAATGGTATGGTATCTTCAAGAGAGTCATTTCACATGCAACAACACACATAGCCTCAAAATAAAGGGATGGAGGAAAATCTACCAAGCAAATGGAAAACAGAAGAAAACAGGGGTTGCAATCCTAGTTTCTGACGAAACAGACTTTAAACCAACACGATCAAAAAAGACAAAGAAGGGCATTACATAATGGTAAAGGGTTCAATTCAACAAGAAGATCTAACTATCCTAAATATATATGCGCTCAACACAGGGGCACCCAGGTTCATAAAGCAGGTTCTTAGAGACCTTCAAAGAGACTTAGATTCCCACACAATAATAGTGGGAGACTCTAAAACCCCGCTGACAATATTAGATTATTGAGAAAGAAAATTAACAAAGACATTCAGGACCTGAACTCAGCACTGGATCAAATGGACTTGATAGACACCTACAGAACTCTCCACCCAAAAACAAGAGAATATACATTCTTCTCATTGCTACATGGCACTTACTGTAAAGTTGATCACATAATTGGAAGTAAAATACTCCTCAGCAAATGCAAAGGAACCAAAATCATAAAAAACACTCTCTTGGACCACAGTGCAATCAAATTCAAAATCAAAACTAAGAAATTCACTCAAAACCATACAATTTCATGGAAGTTGAATAACATGCTCCTGAATGACTTTTTAATAAATAATGAAATTAAGGCAGAAATCAAGGAGTTCTTTCAAACTAATGAGAACAAAGATACCATATACCAGAATCTCTGGGACACAGCTAAGGGAGTGTTAAGAGGAAAATTTATAGCACTAAATGACCACATCAAAAAGTCAGATCTCAAGTTAACAACCTAACATCACAAAAGAAACTAGTTCTAAAAGAACTAGAGAACAAAGAACAAACAAATGCCAAAGTTAGCAGAAGTCAAGAAATAGAGCTGTACTGAAGGAGATAGTGACATGAAAAACCCTTCAAACAATCAATGAATCCAGGAGCTGGTTTTTTGAAAAAAAATTAATAAAATAGGTAAACCACTAGCTAGACTAATAAAGAAGAAAAGAGAGAAGATTCAAATAAACACAGCCAGAAACAACAAGGAGGATATTGGCACTGACCCCACAGAAATACAAACTACCATCAGAGAATATTATAAACACCTCTGTGCATATAAAGTAGAAAATGTAGAAGAAATGGATAAATTCCTTGACACATACCCCTTCAAAGACTGAAACAGGAATAAATTGAATCCCTGAATAGATCAATAACGAGTGGTGAAATTGTGGCAGTAAGAAATAGCCTACTGATCAAAAAAAGTTCAAGACCAGACAGATTCACAGCTCAATTCTTCCAGACATACAAAGAAGAGCTAGTACCATTCCTACTGAAGCTATTCCAAAAAATTGAGAAAGAGGGACTTCTCCCTAACTCATTCTGAGGCCAGCATCATAGAATGATACCAAAACCTGGCAGACATACAACAAAAAAAGGAAACTTTAGGCCAATATCCTAGATGAACATCAATGCAAAAATCCTCAACAAAATACTGGCAAACCAAATCCAGTAGCACATCAAAAAGTTTATCCACCATGATCAAGCAGGCTTCACTGTGGATGCAAAGTTGGTTCAACATACACAAATCAATAAATGTGATTCATTACATAAATGGAACCAAAGACAAAAAGCACATAATTTTCTCAATAGAATGCAGAAAAGGATTTTTATAAAATTCAACATTAATTCATGTTAAAAACTCTCCATAAACTAGGTATTGAAGGAACATACCTCAAAATAATAAGAGCCATGTATGACAAACCCACAGCCAACATCATACTGAATGGGCGAAGGCTGGAAGCATTTTCCTTGAAAACTGGCAGAAGACAAGGATGCCCTCTTTTGCCACTCCTATTCAACGTAGTATTGGAAATTCTGGCCAGGGCAATCAGGCAGGAGAAAAAAAATGAATGGCATCCAAATAGGAAGAGAGGAAGTCAAATTATCACTGTTTGCAGATGACATGATTCCATATCTAGAAAACACCATAGTCTCAGCACAAAAGTTTATAAGCTGATAAACAACTTCGGCAAAGTCTCAGGATACAAAATCAATGTGCAAAAATCACTAGCATTTCTATACACCAACAACAGTGAAGCTGAGAGCCAAATCAGGAAAAAATTCCCATTCACAATTGCCGCAAAAAGAAGAGATACCTAGAAATACAGCTAACTAAGGAGGTGAAAGGTCTCTACAAAGAGAACCACAAACCACTGCTCAAAGAAATCAGAAAGGACACAAACAAATGGAAAAATATTCCATGCTCATGGATAGGAAGAATCAACATCATTAAAATGGCTATACTGCCCAAAGCAATTGATAGATTCAATGCTATTCTTATTAAACTACCATTTACATTCTTCACAGAACTAGAGAAAACTATTTTAAAATTCATATGGAACCAAAATAGAGCCTGAATAGCCAAGGCAATTCTAAGCAAAAAGAACAAAGCTGGAGGCATCATGCTACCTGACTTCAAACTATGCTACAGGGCTCAGTAACCAAAATAGCATGGTACTGGCACAAAAACAGACACACAGACCAGTGGGACAGAATAGAGAACCCAGAAATGAGATCACACACCTGCAACTACCTGATCTTAGACAAACCTGAAAAAAACAAGCAATGGGGAAAGGATTCCCTATTCAATAAATGGTGCTGGTATAACTGGCTAGCCATATTGCAGAAGATTGGAACTGGATTCCTTCCTTACATCTTATACAAAAATTAACCCAAGATTGATTAAAGACTTAAATGTAAAACCCAAAACTATAAAAATCCTGGAAGACAACATAGGCAATACCATTCCGTATGCACGGCAAAGATTTCATGGTGAAGATACCAAAAGCAATTGCAACAAAAGCAAAAATTGACAAATGAGATCTAATTAAATGTAAGAGCTTCTGCACAGCAAAAGAAACTATCAACAGAATAAACAGACAACCTACAGAATGGGAGAAAATATTTGCAAACTATGTATCTGACAAAGGTCTAATATCCAGAGTCTATAAGGAACTTAAACAAATTTACAAGAAAAAAAACAAGCAACCCCATAAAAAAATGGGCAAATGACATGAGCAGACACATTTTGAAAGAAGACATACATGCAGCCAATAATCATGAAAAAAAGCTCAACAGCACTGATCATTAGAGAAATGCACATCAAAACTGTAATGAGGTACCATCTCACACCAGTCAGAATGGCTACTATTAAAAAGTAAAAAAAGAAACCCAGATGTTGGTGAGGTTGTGGAAAAAAAGGAACACTTCTACACTGTTGCTGGGAGTGTAAATTAGTTCAGCCATTGTGGAAGGCAGTGTAACAATTCCTCAAAGACCTAAAGACAGAAATACTATTCGACCCAGCAATCCCATTGCTGGATATATACCCAAAGGAATATAAATCATTCTATTATAAAGACACATACACATGTATGTTCACTGCAGCACTATTCACAATAGCAAAGGCATGGAATCAACCTAAATGACCATCAATGATAGACTGGATAAAGAAAATGTGGCACATATACACCATGGAATACTCTGCAGCAATAAAAAGAAAGAGATGATGTCTTTTTCAGGGACATGGATGGAACTAGAGGCCATTATCCTTAGCAAACTAACACAGGAACATAAAACCAAATATTGCATTTTCTCACTCCTAAGTCGGAACTAAATGATAAGAACATCTGGACACATAGAGAACACACTGGGGCCTTTCAGAAGGTGAGGGTGGAGGAGGGAGAAGATCAGGAAAAATAACTAATGGGTACTAGGCTTGATACCCAGGTGATGAAATAGTCTGTACAACAAACCCCATGACACAAGTTTACCTATGTAACAACATGCACTTGTACCCCTGAACTTAAAAGTTAAAAAAAAAAGATCTACTCTATGACCTTAAGGAATGACCTCTACTGTGTTGTTAGGACATAAATGTGAAGCTTACAGGACACAGCAGAGGAGATGGAAGTGCAGATAAGTGGGGAGATAGGTAAATGGATAGATAGATGGATGAATAGCTGGGTGGATGGGTAAGGGTATAGGTGGATGGATTGGTGAGTAGATAGATGGATGGATGGATGGATGGATGGATGGATGGATGGATGGATGAGTGTATAGATGGATGGTTGGACAATGGCAAGTGTTCTAGCAAGACAAGAAAGGACTGAGGGATAGGCCACCCAAGGCTCCCTGGAAGAGGGAATATTTAAGCTGCAGTAGAATCTGGATATGAAGAATTCTGCAGCAGACAAGCCAGAGAGAAGAAGGCAGGAGCAGGAGGTCGGGCTACTCTGGGACCAGGAACTTCACTCATATAAGGAGGAGCCCATGAAAACATTCAAACAGGGACATGATGCAGATATTGTATACAGCACCTTCACTTGACTTCTCTGTGTGGGTTGGCTGGGACAAAGAATGACTAGATTTGGTCAAATGCACAAATAATTTAAGGCAACAATCTCTGAAACAAGTATTGAGTAGGAATAGCAAAGGGTCTGTCTCCTGGCCCTGGCAATTTTACTCAGAATCTGCTGGGCCTGCTACTACTCTGTGCAGGGTTGCAGTTGCCCCATCAGAGCCAACCGAGCTAGCTCCTCCTCGCTGCTGTACAGGGGGCGTGGCAGCTTCTCCTTCCACTGGGAGTCAGCCAGACATGATGCAGGGGCTGATCCCAGACCTGCTGAGCATCAGGATTACCTGGGAGACCCAGGTACTTATAAAACAAACAAACAAACACACAAAACAAAAACTCCCAGCTCTAGCCCAAAACAACTGAAGCCAAATCTATAGGGTTTGGCCTTAGAATCAGAATTTTTAATAGCTCTGCAGGTGATGGAGATGTTTATACAGGTTTAGGATAATTGGTGAGGTGAGAAAGAGCAGCGATTTGGAATCAGACCCAGGGACAATCCCAGGCCCCTTCCTTTTGAGCTGTGCAGCCCTGGGAAAATCATTTCACCTCTCTGAGTCTCAGTGTTTCCAACTATAAAATAGTCATGATAAACTCTCCCCAGAAGGGATGTCAGAGGCTGCCAGCACAGTGCCTGGCACATAATAGGTGCTCAATAGATAAAAAATTAAACCCATGGGTGCCTGGGGCCCTGATTGCCCTTACCTGTGTTACACATACACAGCCTATAGTTGCTAATTAAGTCTCCCCAAGAAGAAATGTCTGGAAGTAACTCTGGGGAAAAACAGGGAAGTCCCCAGGAAGGGAGTGCTGCAGCAGATTCAAAAAACAAAAGCTAAGATTTGGCCTGGAACTTTCCTTGGCTGTGACACCACCCCAGATAGCTGGGCCCTTAGTGGGGCAGAGAAGAATGACCCTGGGGCCTCATGTCCCATTTAGGGACTCTTCCTCCCTCCATCCAGCCCCCAGACACCCTCCTTTTTTTTGTTTAAGGCAAGCCAGATCTAGCACCCAGGAGAGCTGCTGGCATTCAGCAGCCTCTGAACACCATGGCCCAGAGGTCTATTGGCTATGGGGTGATAGTTTTTGATGACCTGAATCACTGCCCTGAGATAAAGTCATGAGGTAGGAAGGACAAGATTTGATCTTTGACTGGGTATGAAGAGATATAAGGGAGTCAAAGGAGAGTCCTGGTTTCTGGTCTAAACAAGAGGTGAACCAAAAATGGGCAAAGAAGGAGAAACGGTTCGTTTCACTGGGATAGGACATGCAGGAGGAGGAAGGTTTGTGGCAGGGAGAGAGCATGCATTTATTTGGGCAGGTGGAAGAGAGTTACATCGGGATTAATTTCAGCTCCTGGTAACAGACCCAACACACAGGGGTATTCCGTTTTGTTTGTTTGTTTTTCTTCTCTCATAAAAGAAGTCCAGATAAGCATCCATGGCAGATCTTGAGGCTCTACTAAGTTATCGAGGATCCAGACTGCTCCCGTCTTTTTGCTCCTCTACATGTGACTGTCATCCTTAAAAATCTTCTTGTGATCCAAGATGGCAGTGAAGTCAGGCATTACACCTCATTCCAGACGGTGAAAAGGAGAAAGGGGGAGAGGGACAAGGATGTGACTCCAAGTTAACTGAGCTTCTTTGAAGGAGCCTAGAAGTCCCGCATGACACTTTCACTTCTCAATGGCTAGAACTAGGTCACATGACCACAACCACTTGCAAGGAAGGCTAGGAAATACCTTTATTGTGGACAGCCATTTGCCCATATTTAGAAATATCAGGAATCTGTTACCAGGTAAAAGGGGAGGATAGCTGCAGGAATGCAACCGGCAGTCTCTGCTATAATCTGAGGAGAGCAAAGATCACCTGGTTACCATCAAGCAGGCTATCCAGAGGCAAAACACGTTATCTGAGGAATTCAGAAGTAATTAGGCCTTCTTATTATCTAAAGCAGGCATCTGTTCCAGGTTTCTTTCCCAAAATATTATAAGTAACTAGAATTTCTGCACATCTCTGCAATTCATGCATATGGAAACTCATTGTGCAACCCTTGCTGATATTAAGGCACCAAAATGTCTACAAATATAATCATTTATGACCTACATGGCTTATGTTTCATTATGTAGATTCCTCTCGTGCCATCTCCAGGCTTTTAGGTCCAGAGTTGTGTTGATGAAAAAGCCAAACTTTGTGAAATATCTGAAGAGATTTATTCTGATCCAAATGTGAGGACCATGACCTGTGACACAGCATCAGGAGGTCCTGAGAACATATGCCCAAGGTGGATGGGTTACAGCTTGATTTTATATGTTTTAGGGAGACATAAGGCATCAATCAATATATGTAATGTACACATTTGTTTGGTCCTGAAAGGTGGGAAAATTCAAAATGGGTGAGGGAGTGATTTTCTTATTGGCAATTGCTTGAAAGAATTAAGTTTTTATCTAAAGACCTGGAATCAATAGAAAGAAGTATCCAGGCTAGAATAAGGGCTTGTAGAGACCAAGGTTCTTATTATGTAGATGAAGTCTCACAGGTGGCCACTCTTAGAGGCAATAGATGGCAAATGTTTTCTATTCAGACCTTTAAAAATGTGCTAGACTCTCAGCTAATTTCTTTAGGATCAGAAAAAGACCTGGAAAGGGAAAGAGATTCTCTACAGAATATAAATTTCTCCCTTGGCAGGGCAATTTAAGAGTATCTCAAAGAAATATATTTTGGGGTAAAATATTTTTATTTCTTTCAGGGCCTGCTATCTGTTATGTGATGCTATACTAGAGTCGGATTGGAATTTGGTAACTTACTGCTATAAACAGTCTGTTTTCTCCCTCTTAAGATCTCTGTTTTCACGTTAATGATGGTCAGTTGTGCCTGAGTTCCAAAGGGAGGAGAGTATAATGAGGCATGTCTGACCTCCCCACCTTCCCATCATGGCGTGAACTAGTCTTTCAGGTTTCCCTGGACTCCCCCTAGCTAAGAGGAGGTGTCTATTCATTGGTTGCGAGGCTTAGAATTTTATTTTTGGTTTACAGTTGTCTCTAGTGATCAACTCCTGTCCCTCCTGGTAGACAGGAGAGGTGGGACACTTTTACAAATCTATTTCCTACTTTTAGATAAATAGAGGGCAGAGGTCTTTCCATGTATCTGTTTCTTCTCAATTGTCTTCAGCAGGGTGAGGGACAGGTGTGGTGATAATGAAGGAGGGAGGGACTGTTCCGAGAGTGTGACATGTGGATGTGAGATGCTGCTGGTGGAGTGGGGCTCTGTAATGGGGAGGTCTGCAGTGTGGCTGTGGGTGTGAGTGGCTGAGGCAGAAGACAAATGAAGGCCCTGGCTGTCTGCAGCCCCAGAGGCTAGGATATTGGATGGGTCAGCCTCTGGGCACTGGAGACTCCAGGGTGAGGACAGGACCTGCAGTGAGGAGGGAGGCGGTGAGAGGGAAGTGCCCAGGAGGGTAGGATGTGTCAGCACTGAGCAGGAATGAGGGTGACAGAGCTGTACTGAAGCTGCTGTTAAAGTGAACTAAATATGGTGGCCTGAGAAGGATTCTGTACTCCTATAGTTAAGTCCTTGCGGACGAACTGCAGCCTAGTTTAATAGGTAGACAAGATTGAAAATCTAACTTAGGAGTATGTGCCTGTAACAATAGCTAAGTCTTGGCCAATTCCAGCAGCTGTACTTCAACCATTCAGTCATTGCTGAGCGTTCATACTGTTCAAATAAGGCAAACACCAAGCTGTACCTGTACCTCATTTCTGATTTCTGTATGTCTGTCAGGCCTCTGAGCCCAAGCTAAGCCATCATATCCCCTGTGACCTGCACGTACACATCCAGATGGCCAGTTCCTGCCTTAACTGATGACATTCCACCACAAAAGAAGTGGAAATGGCCTGTTCCTGCCTTAACTGATGACATTATCTTGTGAAGTTCCTTCTGGCTCATCCTGGCTCAAAAGCTCCCCTACTGAGCACCTTGTGACCCCCACTCCTGCCCACCAGAGAACAACCCCCTTTGACTGTAATTTTCCTTTACCTACCCAAATCTTATAAAACGGCCCCACCCCTATCTCCCTTTGCTGACTCTCTTTTCGGACTTAGCCCACCTGCACCCAGGTGATTAAAAGCTTTATTGCTCACACAAAGCCTGTTTGGTGGTCTCCTCACATGGACAAGCACGAAATTTGGTGCTGTGACTCGGATCAGGGGACCTCCCTTGGGAGATCAATCCCCTGTCCTCCTGCTTTTTGCTCTGTGAAAAAGATCCACCTACGACCTCGGGTCCTCAGACCCACCAGCCCAAGGAACATCTCACCAATTTTAAATCAGGTAAGTGGCCTCTTCTTATTCTCTTCTCCAACGTCTCCCACTATCCCTCAACCACTTTCTCCTTTCAATCTTGGCACCACCCTTCAATCTCTCCCTTCTCTTAATTTCAGTTCCTTTCCTTTTCTGGTACAGATGAAGAGAGATGCGTTTTATCCGTGGACCCAAAACTCCGGTGCCGGTCACAGACTCAGGAAGACAGTCTTCCCTTGATGTTTAATCATGGGGGGGAAACCTGCCTGATTATTCACCCACGTTTCAGAGGTGTCTGACCACGCAGGGACACCTGCCTTGGTCCTTCACCCTTAGCAGCAAGTCCTGCTTTTCTGGGGGAGGGGCAAGGACCCCCACCCCTTCTCTCCCTGTCTCTACCCCTTCTCTGCTTTTCTGGGGGGCAAGAAACCCCCAAATCCTTCTCCTTCACCCTTAGTGGCAAGTACCGCTTTTCTAGGGGGCAAGAACCCCCCAACCCCTTCTCTCCATGTCTCTACCCCTTCTCTGCTTTTCTGGGGGCAAGAACCCCCCAATCCCTTATTTCCACACCCCAACCTCTTATCTCTGTGCCCTGATCCCTTATTTCCACACCCCGACCTCTTATCTCTGCACCCCAATCCCTTATTTCTGTGCCCCAACCTCTTATCTCTGCACCCCGATCCCTTATTTCTGTGCCCTGACCCCTTTTCCACTTTTCTGGAGGACAAGAGCCCCCCCACCCCTTCTCTCCGTGTCTCTACTCTCTCTTTTCTCTGGGCTTGCCTCCTTCACTATGGGCAAGCTTCTTCCCCCTTCTTCTCCCTTAGCCTGTGTTCTTAAAAACCTAAAACCTCTTCAACTCACACCTGACCTAAAACCTAAATGCCTTATTTTCTTCTACAATGCTGCTTGACCCCAGTACAAACTCGACAGCGGTTCCAAATAGCCAGAAAACGGCACTTTCAATTTTTCCATCCTACAAGATCTAAATAATTCTTGTCATAAAATAGGCAAACGGTCTGAGGTGCCTGGCATCCAGGCACTCTTTTACACATCAGTCCCTCCCTAGTCTCTGTTCCCAATGCAGCTTGTCCCAAATCTTCCTTCTTTCCCTCCCACCTGTCCCTTCAGTCCCAACCCCAAGTGTCGCTGAGTCCTTCTAATCTTCCTTTTCTACAGACCCATCTGACCTCTCCCCTCCTTGCCAGGCCGAGCTAGGTCCCAATTCTTCCTCAGCCTCCGCTCCTCCATCCTATAATCCTTTAATCACCTTCCCTCCTCACACCTGGTCTGGCTTAGAGTTTCGTTCCGTGACTAGCCCTCCCCAACCTGCCCAGCAATTTCCTCTTAAAAAGGTGGCTGGATCTAAAGGCATAGTCAAGGTTAATTCTCCTTTTCCTTATCCCAAATCAGAGAGTGTTTAGGCTCTTTTTTGTCAAATATAAAAACCCAGCCCAGTTCATGGCTCTTTTGGCAGCAACCCTGAGATGCTTTACAGCCCTAGACCCTGAAAGGTCAAAAGGCCGTCTTATTCTCAATATACATTTTATTACTCAATCTGCTCCCAAAATTAAATAAAACTCCAAAAATTAAATTCCGGCCCTCAAACCCCACAACAGGACTTAATTAACCTCACCTTCAAGGTGTACAATAATAAAGTAGAGGCAGCCAAGTAGCAACATATTTGAGTTGCAATTCCTTGCCTCCACTGTGAGACAAACCCCAGCCACATCTCCAGCACACAAGAACTTCCAAATGCCTAAACCGCAGTGGCCAGGCATTCCTCCAGGCCCGCCTCCCCCAGGAGCTTCCTACAAGTGCCAGAAATCTGGCCATCAGGCCAAGGAATGCCCGCAGCCTGGGATTCCTCCTAAGCCATGTCCCATCTGTGCGGGACCCCACTGAAAATCAGACTGTTCAATTCGTGGGGCAGCCACTCCCAGAGCCCCTGGAACTCTGGCCCAAGGCTCTCTGACTGACTCCTTCCCAAATCTTCTTGGCTTAGCAACTGAAGACTGACGCTGCCCGATCACCTCGGAAGCTCCCTAGACCATCACGGACGCTGAGCTTCGGGTAACTCTCACAGTGGAGGGTAAGTCTGTCCCCTTCTTAATCAATACGGAGGCTACCCACTCCACATTACCTTCTTTTCAAGGGTCTGTTTCCCTTGACTCCATAACTGTTGTGGGTATTGACGGCCAAGCTTCAAAACCCCTGAAAACTCCCCCACTCTTGTGCCAACTTGGACAACACTCTTTTATGCACTCTTTTTTAGTTATCCCCACCTGCCCAGTTTCCTTATTAGGCTGAGATATTTTAACCAAATTATCTGCTTCCCTGACTATTCCTGGACTACAGTCGCATCTCATTGCCGCCCTTCTCCCCAACCCAAAGCCTCCTTTGCGTCTTCCTCTCGTATCCCCCCCACCTTAACCCACAAGTGTAGGACATCTCTACTCCTTCCCTGGCAACCGATCACATGCCCGTTACCATCCCATTAAAACCTAATCACCCTTACCCCACTCAATGCCAATATCCCATCCCACAGCATGCTTTAAAAGGATTAAAGCCTGTTATCACTTGCCTGCTACAGCATGGGCTTCTAAAACCTATAAACTCTCCTTACAATTCCCCCATTTTACCTCTCCAAAACCGGACAAGTCTTACAGGTCAGTTCAGGATCTGCGCCTTATCAACCAAATTGTTTTGCCTATCCACCCTGTGGTGCCCAACCTGTACACTCTTTTTTTCTCAATACCTTCCTCCACAACCCATTATTCTGTTCTGGATCTCAAACATGCTTTCTTTACTATTCCTTTGCACCCTTCATCCCAGCCTCTCTTCGCTTTCACTTAGACTGACCCTGACACCCATCAGGCTCAGCAAATTACCTGGGCTGTACTGCCGCAAGGCTTCACAGATAGCCCCCATTACTTCAGTCAAGCCCAAATTTCTTCCTCATCTGTTACCTGTTTCAGCATAATTCTCATAAAAACACACATGCTCTCCCTGCCGATCGTGTCTGACTGATCTCTCAAACCCCAACACCTTCTACATCCTGGGCATGGTTGGATACTTTCACCTTTAGACACCTAGTTTTGCCATCCTAACAAAACCATTATATAAACTCACCAAAGGAAACCTAGCTGACCCCATAGATCCTAAATCCTTTCCCCACTCCTTCTTCCATTCCTTGAAGACAGCTTTAGAGACTGCCCCCACTCTAGCTATCCCTGATTCATCCCAACCCTTTTCATTACCCACAACCAAAGGGCAATGCTGTGCAGTCAGAATTCTTACACAAGAACTGGGACTGCGCCCTGTAGCCTTTTTATCCAAACAACTTGGCCTTACTGTTTTGCCTATCCCTCAAGTCTGTGTGCGGTGACCACTGCTGCCCTAATACTTTTAGAGGCCCTCAAAATCACAAACTATGCTCAACTCACTCTCTAAAGCTCTCATAATTTCCAAAATCTATTTTCTTCCTCACACCTGACGCATATACTTTCTGCTCCCTGGCTTCTTCAGCTATACTCACTCTTTGTTGAGTCTCCCACAATTACCATTGTTCCTGGCCCAGACTTCAATCCAGCCTCCCACATTATTCCAGATACCACACCTGACCCTCATGACTGCATCTCTCTGATCCACCTGACATTCACTCCATTTCCCCATATTTCCTTCTTCCCTGTTTCTCACCCTGAACACACTTGGTTTATTGATGGTAGTTCCACCAGGCCTAATCGCCACACACCAGCAAAGGCAGGCTATGCTACAGTACAAGCCACCAGCCTGCCTCTTAGAACCTCTCATTTCCTTTCCATCGTGGAAATCTATCCTCAAGGAAGTAACTTCTTCCATCTGCTATTCTACTACTCCTCAGGGATTATTTAGGCCCCCTCCCTTCCCTACACATCAAGCTCAAGGATTTGCCCCCACCCAGGACTGGCAACTCTTAACTCCCTCTTAGAGTGGATAGATGATCTTTGCTGGCAGGGGACCCTCCAATACTTTCACCCTTACTTTTATACTATTCCTTACTTTTATACTCACTCTTATTCTCATTCCCATTCTTATGCCACTCTCTACCTCTCCCCAGCTATCTCCACCACACTATCAACCTTACCCATTCTCTCCTAGCCACTTCTAATCCCTCCTTAGTGAACAACTGCTGGCTTTGCATTTCCCTTTCTTCCAGTGCCTACACAGCTGTCCCCGCCTTACAGACAGACTGAGCAACATCTTCTGTCTCCTTACACCTCCGAACTTCCTTTAACAGCCCTCACCTTTACCCTCCTGAAGAACTCATTTACTTTCTAGACAGGTCCAGCAAGACTACCCCAGACATTTCACATCAGCAAGCTGCCGTCCTCCTCCACACTTACTTAAAAAACCTTTCTCCTTATATTAACTCTACTCCCCCCTTATTTGGACCCCTCACAACACAAACTACTATTCCTGTGGCTGCTCCTTTATGTATCTCTCAGCAAAAACCCACCAGAATTCCCCTAGGTAATCTTTCACCTTCTCGATGTTCCTTCACTCTTCATCTCCAAAGCCCAACTACACACATCACTGAAACAATTGGAGCCTTCCAGCTCCATATTACAGATAAGCCCTCTATCAATACTGGCAAACTTAAAAATGTTAGCAGTAATTATTGCTTAGGAAGACACTTACCCTGTATTTCACTCCATCCTTGGCTACCTTCCCCTTGCTCGTCAGACTGTCCTCCCAGGCCCTTTTCTTGTTTACTTATACCCAGCCCTGAAAATAGCAGTGAAAGTTTGCTGGTAGATACTCAACGTTTTCTCATACACCATGAAAATCGAACCTCCCCCTCTACACAGTTACCCCATCAGTCCCCATTACAACCTCTGACAGCTGCCGCCCTAGCTGGATCCCTAGGAGTCTGGGTACAAGACACCCCTTTCAGCACTCCTTCTCATCTTTTTACTTTGCATCTCCAGTTTTGCCTCTCACAAGGTCTCTTCTTCCCCTGTGGATCCTCCACCTACATGTGTCTACCTGCTAATTGGACAGGCACATGCACACTAGTTGTCCTTACCCAGAAAATTCAATTTGCAAATGGGACCGAAGAGCTCCCTGTTCCCCTCATGACACCAACATGACAAAAATGAGTTATTCCACTAATTTCCCTGCTGGTCGGTTTAGGACTTTCCACCTCCACTATTGCTCTCGGTACTGGAATAGCAGGCATTTCAACCTCTGTCACGACCTTCCGTAGCCTGTCTAATGACTTCTCTGCTAGCATCACAGACATATCACAAACTTTATCAGTCCTCCAGGCCCAAGTTGACTCTTTAGCTGCAGTTGTCCTCCAAAACCGCCGAGGCCTTGACTTACTCACTGCTGAAAAAGGAGGACTCTGTATATTCTTAAATGAAAAGTGTTGTTTTTACCTAAATCAATCTGGCCTGGTGTATGACAACATAAACAAACTCAAGGATAGAGCCCAAAAACTTGCCAACCAAGCAAGTAATTATGCTGAACCCCCTTGGGCACTCTAATTGGATGTCCTGGGTCCTCCCAATTCTTATTCCTTTAATACTCATTTTTCTCCTTCTTTTATTCGGACCTTGTATCTTCCGTTTAGTTTCTCAATTCATCCAAAACCGTATCCAGGCCATCACCAATCATTCTATATGACAAATGTTTCTTCTAACATCCCCACAATATCACCCCTTACCACAAAATCTCCCTTCAGCTTAATCTCTCCCACTCTAGGTTCCCACGCCGCCCCTAATCCCGCTTGAAGCAGCCCTGAGAAACATCGCCCATTCTCTCTCTCCGTATCACCCCCCAAAAAAATTTTCACTGTTCCAACACTTTACCACTATTTCATTTTATTTTTCTTATTAATATAAGAAGACAGGAATGTCAGGCCTCTGAGCCCAAGCTAAGCCATCATATCCCCTGTGACCTGCATGGACACATCCAGATGGCCAGTTCCTGCCTTAACTGATGACATTCCACCACAAAAGAAGTGAAAATGGCCTGTTCCTGCCTTAACTGATGACATTATCTTGTGAAATTCCTTCTGGCTTATCCTGGCTCAAAAGCTCCCCTACCGAGCACCTTGTGACCCCCACTCCTGCCTGCCAGAGAACAACCCCCTTTGACTATAATTTTCCTTTACCCACCCAAATCTTATAAAACAGCCCCACCCCTATCTCCCTTTGCTGACTCTCTTTTTGGACTCAGCCTGCCTGCACCCAGGTGATTAAAAGCTTTATTGCTCACACAAAGCCTGTTTGGTGGTCTCTTCACACGGACACGCATGAAAATGTCATTTCCCTTTTTTTGTCTATAAATCTTCTTCCACCATGTGGCTGCGCTGGAGTCTCTGTGAATCTGTTGTGATTCTGGGGACTGCCTGATTCATGAATCATTTGTTGCTCAGTTAAACTCCTTTAAATTTAATTTGGCTGAAGTTTTTCTTTTATCATCACCTTTGCAAAAATTATAACTGAGACAATTATTACAGTGAAAGAGATCTGGGCTAACTTACTCCATCTTGCTTCTACCCACCAAGCTGTCCTTGTTCATTCCTGGGTATAGGCCAGACAAAGTCCTGGGAAGAACTTACTTAGTTTATGGTTTAGATCTGAAAGAAAGACAGTAACAGCCCTTTCCCAAAACAAATTTCCTCCTGCCTGGAGACTAGACTGCCTTTGCAGGACTAACAAATTAGCCACAAGATTAGAAATTATGGTTTAGGAGTCATGCAGCCAGAGGCTGCAAGATTCTAAACCTCCCCAAATTGCTACTGTTGTAAAACCTAAGATCAGTGCTTAAGATATTTTGCAAACCCTGCACTGGATGGATCAGCTGGCACCACCCAGACAGATAAACTGGTTCCTCCGGTCTTGTGGCCCCCACTCAGAAACTGGCTCAGCACAAGAGGACAGCTTCAACTCCATATGATTTCATCTCTGACCTGACCAATCAGAGGTCCTGATTCACTGGCCCCGTACCCACCAAATTATCCTTAAAAACTCTGATCCCCAAATTATTGGGGAGACTGATTTGAGTAATAATAAAACTCCAGTATCCACACAGCTGACTTTGCATGAATTACTCTTTCTCTATTGCAATTCCCCTGTGTTGATAAATTGGCTCTGTCTAGGCAATGGGCAAGGTGAAACCATCTGGCAGTTACAAATTAGCAGAAGCCCCCAAAGAGAGGGGAATTTTATACCAGGTGGTGGGGAAGTGGCATGGGAGTAGGGACAGCTGAGGTATAAGGCATGAAGGAGGAGTCACCTGCATTGAAGGAATGTGCAGGTAGCAGTGTCCTGGGGGCCAGACAGTGAAGGCAGGTGCTGGATGAGGCTTTCATTGTGAGGGGTAAGAATGAAGGGAGTTTGTTTTCTGTGAAACAGCAGTTACAGAGGCCTCTGTGGGAGGAGCTGGCTCCTTCTCAGTGAAGTGTGAGGAACTGACTACTTAGCAGGATGGGCACTGGCACCCTTGATGCCAGTGCTCTATCCCTCCCCCAAACTAGACCTAACGAATGGATTGTTGCACTCTTCCCTGGTGAGAGCCCTGCAGGGGCCCCTCAAGCCTCAACAGTTTCCTGGGATGTCACCACCAATGAACTAGATCAGAGGTTGGCAAATTACAGTCCACAGGCCAAATCCACCCTACTGCTTGTTTTTGTAAAAAAAAGAAAACAAAAAGTTTCATTGGAACATTTGTTTATTTATTGTCTATGACTGCTTTCATGCTACAAGGGCACAGCTGAGCAGTTGTGACGGAGATGTTGTAGCCTGAAACCCTGAAATATCTATTACCACTCACCCCCACAGCCACACTACAGATGTCCCCATAACTCAGCCTCTTAAGAAAAATTTTGCTGTATTAAAGTCTGTATGAGAGATTAAACACATTGCTCTCCTGGATTAGCGTAATACTCTGCTCAGGGATAAATGCATTTAAAATTTTTAAAATGTTTTTTAATGCTGAAAAAGTATGATGCAGTAAATGGCAAAAAGTGAACTGATCTTCAATGTACAGCCAACAGATTTTTACATATAAATATATTCATGTAGCCAACACCTAAATCATGATAAAGTACATTTCCAGTCCCCTCAAGGTTGCTTTCCACCTGATCACAGGCAGTAGCCCCACTCTTTGGCCACCTGACCTCTTACCTCTGACCTTTAACGTCATTAGTTTTTCCACCTCTTTAACTTCATGTGAAGGGAATGATAACATACGTAGCCTTTTGTTTCTGATGTCTTTCTTTCACCTTATGTCCATGAGATTCATCCACTTTGTTGCAGACACCTGTATTTTATTCCTTTTTATTGCTGTATAGTATTCCATTGTACAGATGTCCACAGTTCAGGGGTTTTCTAATCCATTTTCCTCCTGATGGACATTTGGATGCTTTCAGTTTGGTGCTATAGTGGAAAAGGTTGTGATGAACATTCTTATATATGTGTTTTGCCAGATGCATGCACTTATGTCTCTCAAACATATACTTAGAAATTGAATTTCTAGATCATGGAGTAGGTGTTTATTTTAGTAAATACTACCAAATAGTTTTCTAAAATTGTACCAATTTACATTTCATTTGCAAATACATTTAAATGGCAGGAAAACTTTAGCTATTTGAGTGATGTCTCCTAAAAGTGAGCTCTTCTATATTATTGTGCAGATAAAGGAAATGCCAGAACCAACAGACCTGGAAATCACAGCAAGAAGTGGTCATACCAAGCTGGTATGAATGTGAATCAACTGGATGTCATTAGTACCATATAAAATGAATAGTGCCTCCCTTGGCTCCCAGATCCTGGAGAATCCAGGCCTCAGCTGGGCTGTGTTTCTTGGGCCACTCAGAATGTTTTCTGTCAGGGTTTGGCTCCAACTAACCATACTCACGGGAGACTGATGTACCCCTTGCCCCAGAAGGAGTGTGTTCACAGCAGTGGGATCCTGATCTGATGCCAGGAAGGCTCCTGATCATTCTCAAATAACGACTTCCTGGTAGTGATGTGCTGAGAAGGTAAGGTTTTAACCGTTCAGCTGCTTAAGAAGCATGGACCCTGAAAAGAATCTCCCACCCCATGGCTGAAGTCCCTCCCTAGTGGCAGGATTGAGGACCCTCTATCCAGAGTCGCTCCTCCTTGGATAGTAACATTGTCTCTCTGAATCCCAGGTTTTCTCTGCTGCTCACCTTCCACTGCACACTCCTTATTTTATTTTATTTTATTTTATTTTATTTTATTTTATTTTATTTTATTTTGTTCTATTTTTGAGACAGAGTCTAGATCTGTCACCCAGGCTGGAGTGCAGTGGCCCGATCTCGGCTCACTATATCCTCTGCCTCCTGGGTTCAAGAGATTCTCCTGCCTCAGCCTCCCGAGTAGCTGAGATCACAGGCGTGTGCCACCTCACCCAGAAGATTTTTGTATTTTTAGTAGAGACGGGTTTCCCTATGTTGGCCACTCTAGTCTCTAACTCCTGAGCTCAAATGATCTGCCCACCTCGGCCTCCCAAAGTGCTGGGATTACAGGCATAAGCCACTGCACCCTGCCTCCATTGCACACTTCTTGAGATGGGTTCATGTCCCTGAATTAGCTACTGTCTCTCTGTGCTACCCCAGCCAGCCCAGGAGTCATCCTTTGTGGATTTCATTCATCATATCTTAGAGCTCTGGGGGCCTTAATGTTGTAGTTGCTGTAAGAATTTGATTTGGGACAGGTTGAGTTTCTATCCCTAGTCTGCTCAGGCTACTATAACAGTTTACTATACACTGGGTGGCTTATAAACAACGGGCATTCATTTTTCACAGTTCTGGAGACTGGGAAGCTGAAGATCAAGGTGCCAGCATATTCAGTGTCTGGTGAAGGCCTGCTTTCTGGTTCATAGACAGTGGCTTTTCACTGCGTCCTCACATGGTGGAAGGAGAGCTCTCTGGTCTCTGTAGTTCCTCATAAGTACACTAATCCCATTCATGAGTATTCCACCCTCATGACCTAATCATCTTCCAAAGGCCCCACCTCCTAATACCATCTAATTAAGGATTAGGTTTCCACATTTGAATTTTGGGGGACCACAAATATTCAGCTCATAGTAATTCCTTTTAGGACACCTGAGTCTAGCAGGAAAATAGAAGCACAAGTCAAGAGCTTAGGGGATCTGGTTGGACCAGGATTTAGATTTGGTAAAATCTAAAAAATTAAGTTGAAGGATTAACTCAGGTTACATAGAGCAAATGGCTGAAAATTTAACCTTGAGGAACACTCCAAAATTTTAGAGCAGAAGGGGTAGAGGACCTAGAAAGAACCATATTTTTGAAACTAAGAGCACATCCATCAATCCTGCCATATATAGTAATTATTCAACACATTTGAATTGTTTCAGAAGGCTTTGGACTATTAGTACTGACACCTTAAAGAGCTTCCCATGAATTAAGTGCCAGAAGGACTTTGGACCAGATTCTGACATCTCTGATTGTCATCCCTCATCATGTCCGTCTCAGACGCAAAGGCACATTCTGTGGGATAGGAGTGCTTTGAGGGACTCTTTTGGATTCTACTCCAGAATGGAAAGCAAAGTTTACCCGCATATCCCTTGGCAAGACTTAAATAGGTGACTGTATAAATGAGAGTTCAAGGGTAGTGGTGGAGTAGTGCTATGGGGAAGGAACGAAACTTTATTTGCAGAACAAAGATTAGACTGTATGTGAGACAAAATACCATCTCTGCCTGTCTCCCATTTCCTATTGCAATGTCTGGCCATGTTTGGTGCCCAATAAATATGTGTGGAATGCAGGGATGAAAAACAAATAAATGAATGGATGGATGATGAGTAGATGAATGCATAGATGGGTGGAGTATGAGTGAAGAATGGATGAATGAATGAATGGATGATGGATAAATAGTTGGCTGTATAGACATATGGAGGATAGGTGAGGGATGGATGATGGGTGAGGGATGGATGAATGAATGAATGAAAAAATGGATGCATGGGCAGTGGACAGATGGTGAGTGGATGGATAAGTAGATGAATGGATGGATGAGGGATTGGATGGAGGGCAGAATGAGATTTTATTCACCTGTCTTCCAATATGGTTGCTGCCCTCCCCTCTGCTATGGCCCAAGTCAGCAGGACCCACTAAGAAATTATAGCAGCCTTTTACTTAATCTCTTAAAATTCAGGGACGGGGCTGAAAGACAAATTTCTCTTTCAGCACTGAGGTTTATGTTTACATAACAATAAAATTATAGATATGAAACTGTATATCTATATATCTATATAATGTTACAGGAAAAAGTTAAATTGAAGGATTAATAATGTATGTAAATACATAAAACTTCTAATATGTATTTATATGGCCTCTAAAAGAACACAATAAAGAGAGTACTACTCAAAGAAAAAACACATCATCTTAATGGCATTTGCAATATTTTAGATTCGTAATAATGGGCCCTATATAATTAATTCATGAGAAATATTTTCAAGGTCTTCCTTCTTTGACATTTCAAAAAGATGCCTTCAGAGGACCTGGAGCTTAAAAAAGAAAAAAGGAAAGAAAAGAGAAGATTTTTAAAATCTTACAAAAAGATGCCTATAAAAAAATCCCTGTACATTCATTTGCCTTTGCTGCAAATAACATGCACCCGGGAAGCACCATTTTTCACCTACTTCATCCCCCACACAGACCCGAAAGCCTTTCTGACATTATGACCCAGGGTCCCCACAGCATGACTGGAGTGACTCATCAATTGTCCTGCTCTATTCTAATGGCTCCTAGTGTGGAGATAGGACCCAGGGGTCCAGCCACAGAGACAAGCATTTTAAACTAGGGGAGAGCACAGTTAGGGAGGAATTCCTGTACCTGCCCCATCCACCTTACAGGGTTTCTGAGAGAACCCCTGAAGCAAAATGGATCAGAAGGCTCTTTGTCACTTTCCAGGCCCTGAGTAGAAATTCATGTCATGGCTATTAGAGGAGGATTGTCCTTTCAGAGAGACTCTGACTTGGGTTGGGTCACATCACTCATCTGTTCAGAAGGCTCTGGAGCCCCCTCTCACATGGCAAATATAAGCAAAGCCCTCCCCACAACCTGCAGGGCCATTTATGGTCTGGCCCCACTAACTTTCCAAGCTCGTCTCTTACAACACTCCCTCTACCAACTGGAATTTGACCTACCAAGCTCGATCCTCACCCCTTCCTCACCCCAGGACCTTTGGACTTGCTCTTCCCTCTGCCTGGAACACTCTTCCCTCAGAAGTGCCCACTTTTTGAGCTCTCTGCACAAACACTTCCTCATCACACTGAATCTTCCTCACCAACCCTATCTGAAATACCACCCACTTCCTACTCTGTCCCCTTTTTCTTCATGGCAATAATGTATTAATTTACTTATTGTCTGACTCCTCAAACAGAATGAAACATCCATTAAGGCAGGGACATTGTCTGTCTTACTCATTGGTGTATTCATGGCACTTACAACATCAGTAGGTACTTGTATTAGTTATCTATTGCTATGTAACCAATGATCACTAAGGTAGTAACTTAAAACAACCCATGTTTACTATCTTAAAGTTTCTGTGGGTCAATAATCTGAGCATGGATTAGCTGAGTCTTCTGTAGTAGACTTTCTCATCAGGCTGCAATCAAGGTGTTGGCCAGAACTGGAGTCTCATCTGCAGGTCTGATTGAGGAAGATCCTACTTCCAAGCTCATGTGGTTCTTGGCAGGATTCAGTTCCTTGTGAGTTACTGGACTGAGAGTCTCAGTTCTTGCTGGCTGTGGCCAGAGCCCAATCTCAGTTGATTTCCAGGGGGTTTTCTCCATAGAGTAGCTCACAATATGGCATCTTGCTTCATCAAAGCCAGTAAAGAACAAAGTCTGCCAACAAGACAGAAGTTGCTTCTTATGTAACATAATCATAGAAGTGTTGTTTCATTGCCTTGCCATATTCTATTGTTAGAAGCAGGTCTCAGGGCCTGCCAACACTCAAGTGGAGGGGATTACATAGGGTGTGAATGCCAAGAGGTAGGGACTGTTGGGAGTCAATTTAGAGTCTGTCCACCATGGTGCTCAGTAAATACTTGCAAAATGTTAAATCCAATGTTGAAAACTGATGCTCGGGTAGAAGAACTGTGAGAATCAAGATTTTTGCAATTCATCTCTTACACAATGTAGAACTTCTGTGAAATTTACTTTGTTCTTTTCTCAACTTCCCTCTGATGCTTTGTGGCTAGCTGGCTTGTGTGCCTGCACAGGCTGCCCCAAGTTTTAGGGATTCAATCAAGAGAGACGACCCACATGCAATCCTGGCCCTTCAAGACTCTACAACCCAAAGATCACCATTCAGAGCTTATTCCTTACCCACCATGATCTCCAGAATTGGAGAGTTGCAGCTTTCCTTATTCAATGCTGGAAATGTTGTTCTTATTGAACAGGCACTTGCATTGATGAGGTCTTGTTGCTAGCCAGGTTAATAATGCATCCAAAGGAAAAAAAAAAAACTGTGCAGTCGGGTGGATCTTATTAATATGATTCAATTTTAAAAGGGCTATTACTTCAGAGTCATAATGTCTGGGATGCTGTTAAAGAATCCTTTTTTTTTTTTTTAATAAGTCACCATGACAACAGAGAGACACCCCATCCCCCAGCCTGAATCAATTACAGATTTGTCTGTGTAGGGGATTAGAATGCCTTCAACTTACTGGGAATTATTCTTTGCTGCATTTGGCAAAAGCCCTGGCTTCTTGTCCAGAGTACACAGGAGTCCCAATCCATCAATATTCACTGATGAAGCATCACTGTTCATTAACAGGAACTCGGTCAGCAGACATTTATTGATCACCAGGCATGTGAAGGCACTCTGGGGCATTCAGGGACATGGCCATCTGAGAAGCTGACAGGCCCACTATGGTGACAAATCACAGCTAGTCAAGGCAGTAGAAGCCACATAGGGCTGACCTGCACAAGGGACCTGAGACCAACCAAGACATGACATGCAGCCTTCACAGTTCTGATTGGTGGGGGAGGGCTGGACTGATGGGAGGACCAAGACCACATAGAGGAAAATGACCCTGGGCCTTAATTTTATGCAAACCCAATGAACAAATTTCTGGGTCAAGTTGGTCATGTCACTTAACCTCTTTGGCCTTTACTTTTATCCCTTACATGAAATGGGATTAAGGTTCTCCCTGATGAACTCCTGGGATCACAGGGAGCATCACAGAAGAAAACAGAAGAGTAGGCTTGGTAAGGACAGTGCTTCATTATCTATGTAAAGGAATAAGGACAGGTGGACCTCAAGGTGGCCACTGGGATGGGCAGAGGGGAGGAGGGAGAAGGGCCTTCCCAGCCTGGAGGGGCAAAGAAGTTTGAGCAGGAAGCCCCAGCTGAGCAGGGGCCATGCTAAGAGGAGCCTCCACAGTGGTTCCCAGCCCTGCTTTTTGTGGCTGTTCACCCATCAGGAGAAGCACACACAGTGAACCTCAATCCAGTGAGAAGACAGTGCTCCCTGCAAGCTGGATCATGAGACAACAAGCCCGGGCATCTCCACCACATGGGGGTCCATTGCTCTGTACCTTCCAGCTGCCACCTGGAGCACAAGTGGGCTGCTGGGTTCAAGGGATGAGGTGGGATAGGAATTGTGAGTTACTGAAGTGGGCAAGACCATTGCCTCCAAGTCCTTCCTCAACCTCATTCATGTCTGTCTGTCACCCTGCCTGTCCTCCCCATTGCTCCTCCCTTCCCCAGACTCCTATTCTACCATCACATCCATCCCAGCTTGCTAGCCATCCAGCTGCCCTAGCGCTTCCTTGCCATTGCTAAGAAGAAAGGCAGCCCTGTTGGCATTGCCTGTTATTCTGTGCATGATACTGAGTGCTTGTTTTGTGGAAGGCAATGGTTCCCAAACTTGGCTGGCCCTCAGGGCCATCCCCAGACCTCCTGAACAGGCCAACAAATTCAGCAGGGTAAAGCAACCAGGGGCCCAGGCCACAAATCTTAGGAGGCTATTGCTTCAGGGTCTTGCAAGTGCAGGGTCTGCTCCTGAGAACGGGGGCTCCTTGAACTTTTCACCCTAGGCTCCTCTCTTATTCCACCTTTGTCTCAGCCCAGCTCCTGAGAAAAATCTGTGTGTGTGTGCTTTGAATCTGTATTTCAACCAGTGCCCAAGTCCAGTGCCCAGGCCAGGGTTTTGTACCCACTGCCCTATAGGAGTACTAGTGGGGCCTGTCTAAGCTCTCCTGGATATTCGGAATAAGGAGAGAGAACAGGGTTTCCAAGAAGTAGTTCCCCACTTTTGGGACGTGGTAGAGGGGACACATTCTTTGCCTCCTCCAGCCTCAACATGAAGCCCTGGAGGTGGTGATGGTTTGATGGATGCCAGAGCAGCTGACACCTGCAAGGCTCAGCATTCCATCTCCCTGGAGAAGCCCGCCTTCCCCCTTTGCCATCCTCTTGCCCACCCCAGGCCACCTGGCCCAGGGAATAGAGCATCCCAGATACTGTGGTCCTTCTCCAGTCTGCATATGTCGAAACCTGGGGTAAGAGTCAAACACGGTATCTCTGTAGGGTAGAGTCTCTCCTCTTGTCCATAATTCTGTATGAGGTGACCAAGGAGGGGCCTCCAGGAACCCCCACAGGCTGACTTTGCCCAAGGCCAAGCAGCAGGTCCCACTCTTTCCCCCACTGCAAAACCCCATTGCAGTGGTCCCTAAACCTATTGTGATGTTCCCAAATAAAGTCTCCTGTACCATGCTTTAACAGGTATCACTGAATAATTTTTTCTTTAACAACACCATAGCCTAGGAGAAGAACATGGTGCTTCTCACTTTCACCCAAAAGGACTGGTAACTTGGATCCTTTAAAGTCAAAAGTGAGTTTTGACTGTACACAGGGTGACTATTTGTGAGGAATTGGGAGACTAAAAGGGGCTGAGACATTCACCAAGGTCCAGACATGACACCGCACCTTACCTGGGCCAGGAGCCAGCATAGGTAGGGAGGATGTTGAGATCCTCCATCCTCCCAAACTCTCTTGGGCCCAACAGGGGTTTCCACCAGGAGGAGTGAGAATTAATGGAGGAACCCAAGTTGTCGGATGGAAGGGGAATGAGACTGAGAAGGGAGGCAAGAGTCAGGCAAACAGAGGTCAAACCTGGCTCCGCCCAGAGAGCCGTGTGATGCTAGGCAGGCTGTTGAAACCTCTGAGCATCATTCTCCTCATCTGTAAAATGGAGTTAATATTCCCAACAACCACTGGAGCTTGAATGAGATGGTATATGTGAAGATGTTTAGCAAAAGGTCTGGTGCACAGGAGGTGCTCAATAAAGGGCAGTTGTTTTTATGGGTCATTTAGAATTCTTGAGGAAGCCCTTCTCCTGAGAGAGAAGCACATACAGACGTGCTTTGCTTTTGAGCTTCAGTTGAGAGTCATGGCCTTCAGAATATGGAAAGAGAGTCCCATCTGCAAACTGTCTTCTGCCTGAGAGGCCAGGCTGTGCAAAAACCCTGAAGCGCCCAGGACATGGCTCTGCCACATCTGCCCCTGCCAGAACCATGGAGGGAAGAAAGGCTAGGCTGACTTCTGCTCACCCAACGGACCTTCACCTCTGGGAAACCTTCCCTCTTCTCCAGGCCAGGTTAGGCCCTCCTGCTCAACCCCTATCACTGACTCAATATTGTAGTCTGTTGCTCGTTTGATCATATGTGTTCTTAAACAGGCTTTGGGGGCTGTCAGGCAGATACCCGTCAAGATACTCAGCACAGTGCTGAGAATGCCTTAAACACTCAATAAATGAATGAATGGAGATTGGAGACCTCTTGAAAACACACTTCATTCTTTGTCCATCCTGCCACACTACCATTATGCTGGCCTCTTACTCTTCCAAAAGGACTTAGGTTGATCCTGCCTTTGTTTACCCAGGATAATGGGAGATCACCCCAGTTGTCCCAAGCCTACCTCCTACCCTGCCCCAGCCTGTGGCTCAATTCAACCTCTCTGTTTTAGGCTATTTTGAAACCCACGTAGGATCCAAGGTAGTGGGGATGGGGTGTTGGAGCCAGGTATGATGGGAGGGAGGAAGGGTCAGAGGACGAGGGAGTTAGGACTCCTTAGCTCTTTGCTCCCTGTGAGGTGTGTGAAAATTGTTGGTACTCTGGGAATTGAAGGAGCAGCTAGCTCTAGTATTAGCCAGCTAGACCTAACATTGCTTTAGTTACTTGGGTGGAAGGGATCTTTTAGGCCCCCATTAAAGGCAGATGAACAGGTCTCTGACATCCAGGATTACGTAGAGCTGGGAATTGTTGGTGCTCCCACCAGCCATAGTGGGGAAACCTTGTAATGCGTGGGAACTTAAATAAAGTACTCAAAAGGGTATTATCCTAGTAATGGGGAAAAACCATGTATAGACTAAAGGCTGGTCTGATCCCACATAACAAAGCATAAACATAAATATTCAAACAGAGCAAACTGTTTCTAAGTAACTTATGTGTCCTAGAACAAAGTTCAAAAATATTTGTTAGAAAACAGGAATATTCAGTACCCACAAAAATATAATTTACATTGTTTGGCATTGAATCAAAAATTACCAGGCATGTAAAGAAGCAAGGAACTACATCCCATGATAAGGGGAAAAAAATCAAAATCAACCCAGAAATTATACATTAAATAAATAGGCACATTAAAAAACTCACAACGCTACTATATACGGTCAATAAAGTAGAGGAAAATATGAGCATGTTAAATAGAGACATGAAAAATACTTTTTAAGTTCTTTTCTTTTTATTCTTTACAGAAGGTCTTGCCCTGTTGTCAGGCCAGCATACATGGCTCTCTGCAGCCTTGACCTCCCAAGCTCAAATGATCCTCCCATTTCAGCTTCCCAAGTGGCTAAGACTACATGTATGCATCACCACATCTGGCTAACTTTTTAATTTTTTTGTAGAGACAGAGTCTCCCTATGTTGCACAGGCTGGTCTTGAACTCCTGGACTCAAGTGATACTCCTACCTTGGCCTTTAAAAGCATTGGGATTACAGGTGTGTGCCACCACACCCAGTGAAAAATACTTTTTAAGTAAAGCTTCAATCAAGTGTCTAGATATAAAAAATAAAATATCAGAGACAAAAAATGCACTGGATGAGACTAACAACAGATTAGACATGGCAGAAAATAAAAGATAGGTGAACTTGAAGATGTAGAAATAGAAACTAAAACAAAACACAGAGAAAAAAAGATGGAAAAAAATGAAGAGTATCAGTGAGCTGTGCTACAATTTCAAGCAGTCTAATATGTGTGTAATTGGAGTCCTCAAAAGACAGTAGTGGACAGAAAAAATATTTCAAAAAATAATGGCAGAAATTGTTATAAATTTGGCGAAAACTTCATATATAAAGAAAATTAGACCAATGTGAATCATAATCTAATTGCTTAAAACCAATGATAAAGAGAAAAGTATAAAAAGCAAGCGGGGGGAGGGGGGCACAGGCATTACATAAAGAGAAAGAAATATAAGAATGACAATGGACTTCTTTTCAGAAACAATGCAAATAGGAAGACAGTGGAAGAACATCTTTAAAGTACAGTCATGTGTTCCATAACAGATGCTGCAATGATGGATCACATATATGACAGTGGTCCCATAAGATTATAATAGAGCTGAAAAAGCCCTGTTAGCTAGTGATGTTGTAGTCATTGTAACATCATAGCACAATTGCTTAATTTTTTAAATAAAAATTCTATAAAACCTTCCCATAAAGAAACTCCAGGTCAAGATGGCTTAGTGGTGATGCCTATCAAACATTTAAGGAAGAAATAATACTCATACACATAAAGTTTTCCAGAAACTGAAATAGGAATGAGCATTTCCTAAGTCATTCTATGAGGCCAGCATTACTCTGATACCTGGACCAAACATTATGAAAAAAGGAAAATTATAAATCAATATCACTCATGAACATAGACATAAATATTCTTTAAACATTTTTAGCAAATCAAATACAGCAATGTATTAAAAGGGTAATGTATCATGACCAAGTGGAGTTTAGCCCCAGAAATCCAAGGCTGGCTTAACATTAAAAAATAATCAGTACAATTTACCATATTAGCAGATAAAAAAAGAAAACCATATGATCGTCTCAACTAAAAACTGTATGATCCATCTCTTTATATGGACGAAGAGCAACTGAGAAGATCCAACATCTATTACTGATTTAAAAAAAAAAACCTCTCAGTAAATTAGGAATAGAAGGAAACTTCAACATGATAAAAGCAATTTATGAAAAGCCCATAGTTAACATCATACATAATGGTGGATGTCAAAGACCCTCTAAGATCAGGAACAAGGCAAAGATGTCCAATCTTACCACCCCTGTTTATGCCATTATACTAGGTTTCGGTCAGTGCAAAGTAACAAGAAAAAGAAATAAAAGGCATCCAGATTGAAAAGGAGGACGTAAAACTGTCTTTATTCACACATGACATAATCATCTCTGCAGGCAATCTTAAGGGACCTAAAAAAGCTGCTAGAACTAATAGATTAGTTTAGCAGAATACAAGGTCAGTATACAAAACTCAATTTTATTTATGTCTACTACCAATGAACAATTAGAAATAGAAACTTAACAATATCATTTATAACAGCATCAAAAATTTTGAATCCGTAGGTGTAAATAAACAAGAAACGTATAAGACCTGTGCAATGAAAACTAAAACATTGCTAAGAAAAATTAAAGAAGATGCGAACAAATATAAAAATATGGTGTACATGTGTCAGAAGATTCAATACCGTTAAGGTATCTAACCTTTCCAAAGTGATCTACAGATTCTATACAATCCCAGCCAAGTTTCTAACAAGGATTTTTTTTTTGTAGAAATTTACAAGCTGATTCTAAAACTTATATGGAAATGAAAAAGACATAGAGTGATCAAAACAATTCTGAAAAAAATAAAATTAGAAGACTTATGCTCTTGCCATCGGGATTTATTATAAAGCTACTGTAATCAAGACAGTTTGGCATTATCATAAGATAGACATTTAGATCAGTAGAACAGAATAGAGAGTTCAGAAATAGACCCACAGATACAAATCAATTAATTTCCTACAAAGGTGTCCAGGCAAGTAACTGGGGAAGGGATAATGTTTACAACTGCTGCTAGACTAGTTGGAATCATATGTAAAAACTTGACCCTTACCTCATACCCTATATAAAAATTAACTTGAAATAGAACATAGACTTAAATATCAGAGCCAAAACTGTAAAACTTCTTGAGGAAGTTAGAAGAAAATCATAGTTGTATTGGGTTTGGCAAAGATTTCTGAAAGAGAACACAAAAATCAAGAACTGTAAAAAAAAAAAAAAATCAATAAGTGGCACTTTATCGACATTTAAAACTTTGTTCTTCAAAACACATTGTAATGAAAATGAAAAAGGCAAACCCATAGGCTGGAAGAAAATATTTGCAAATGTAAATCTGACAGATTTGTGTCTAGAATATATACAGAACACTCACAACTCAATAATATGGCAAACAACCCAATTAAATAGTCAAAAGATTTGAACAGATGCTTCACCAAGGAAGATACACAGATGGCAAATAAGCACATGAAAAGATACTCAGCATCATGAAACAATGGTGAATTACAAATTAAAGCAAAAACAATATTGCTACCCACCCACCAGAATGGCTAAAATTAAAAATATTGACCATACCAAGTGTTGGTGAGGATATGGAGCAAAAGGAATTCTCAGCATTACTGATGAGAGTGTAAAATGATATAAGCAGTCTGGAAAACAGTTTGACAATTTCTTTAAAGGTTAAACATATCCCTATCATGTGACCCAGCCATGCCATTCCTAGATAGTTACACAAAAGCAATGAAAGAATGTGTTCATTGGTACAAGTACTAATACTTGTACACAAATGTTCACAGAAGCTTTGTCATAACCCAGTCTGGAAACAACCCAAATGTCCATCAATGGTGAATCAAAAACAAACTGTGGGATATCCTTACCATGGAAAAATAGTCAGCAATGAAAATGAATAAGTTATTGATACGAGCATCACTGTGGCTGAATTTCAAAATAATTGCGCTAAGTAAGTGAAAAATATCCAGCAAAAAAAAGCATACATACTATATGATTTCATTAATACAAAATTTGAGAAGATGCAAACTACTCCATAGTGATAGAAAGCAGATTCATGGTTTGGACTAGAGTGGTGATGGAGACGACTAAAGTGGGCAAATTAGAGGAATATTCACAGAGGGAATGATGAACAGGACTTGGAAAAAGACCAGATGTGGAGGATGAGGGAGAGAGAGGTGTTTCCCATGTTTCTAATTTTCAGATTAGGACAGTTGGCACAGGCGCTATTCCCTACAACAGAAAACACCAGTTAAGTTTTGGACATTATGGAGTTTTTGGTGCTTTGAGAAGTTCAACGGAATCACTGAGTAAGCAATTGGATATTCTGGTCTGTCCTCAACAGGGAGGTGTGGGCTGAAGGCAAAGGATCTCAGAACCCAAGGCAACTCAGCCAGTGTTCATGAATATAAGTCGCCTGGATCCACTGAGGGAAGTGGTGAGCCCAAGTAGTTTCGGGATGCAATTTGTGAACAATCCAAACTTGTAAGATAAATTTGTTCTGCTCCTCTTTGGAGAATACTGAGATGTTTTATTTTCTTTTTATTTAGTGGCTTAAAAAACATATATATGGGGCAAAGAACCCAGTGCAGTTTAGTGAAAAGGGCCCTGAAACGTTCAGGAGGCCTGGATTTTAGTCCTGGGTCTCCCACTACCTAATTTTGTGACTGATTTTGGGTAAGTTGATTCTTCTCTGTCTCTTGTTTATTCTGGGCATAGAATTCTACACTGGCAATGACTTACAGCACTTTACGGCTGTTTTCTAGCTTCCAATCTCTCTCCTTTGGGTCCTAACTGGAAGTCTAGGGTATCGCCTGGGCCCCATCTCTCATGGACCCTGAACTACAATTGCTGTTTCTCAAGTGGCCATGAGACTGCAGAAAGCTCCGTCAGCTGCTCAACCTCCTCTCATCTCCTTTCTGATTAACATTCCATTATAAAACAAGAAGTATGGTCTTTTAGCCCATCTATCCATTCATCCAATTTTCATACAGTACCTACTATGTGCCTGGTATTGTTTTAGATGGAATAGAAAGCCAGAGTCCTTGTTGTCCTTTTATGACTTCTAAATGTTATTTGTGTTCATCTAGTACTTGTTTGTTTCTTTTTTTTCTTTAGAAGCCTCTTTCAGTTGGGCTTAGAGGTTAGAAGACAAAAATGAGTATTTAGATCTATGATTCAGCAAATTACTGCAGTTCTTTGATTTTTTGGCTTAAAGTCAAGTTCAGAGCCATCTCTTATTTTTATTTAATGTGGTTATTTTGTGTTCTGTTCTTCCAGATTTGGCTTTCTAATTAAATTTCACCCAGATAGATGGGAAAATGAGTTTGCCTCCCTAGCTGCTCTCAGGAGGGGGAAGGGACTTGCATAATAGGCCTGCTAGGGGTGGGGAGAAGGGATTACAGCTGGTGGTAAGTAAAATGAATCATGCATACATAAATAATAGAGAACAGACCACCCTGGAGCTGGCCTGGATTGCATTTTTAAAAACTATACATGTGTTAGAGACAGTGCAGCATTTCTGCAAGAAGCTAAGGATGATCTTTAGCTTTTTGCAAGATATTTATCTCCCTGAGGCCCTGCAGTTGCCAGGTGTGGGGTAGAAGTGTGAATGAGGCCATATTCTCTCTTTACATCACAGTTTGATATTCTCTACTATATTAATCAACATAAATCTATTATGTATAATTTTAGTTTTAATCTTTATTTTTGTGTGCTTTGTATTTTTCCAAGTTTCAACAATGAATAGGTACTTCTTTTGTCATCGGAGAAACAAAACCCATGGTAAATGGAATTTTGAAATGAAATTTATTCTCTGGATACTGTGATGGGCACAGAAGAAAGGTTTAGTGTGGATGTATAAAATCTGTCATAAGTCAAGACTGCAGGCAGCACAGGCCTTTGGAACTTAGAACATGGTGCAAATAACCACTCCACCTCCATCCCCTAGAGGACTCCCTGGTATTGTCATCTGTCATCTCAGTCTCTGTCCTAGACTATTTGTCTTTCCCCATGGTAAAGTCCCTTTAAGTGTAGAGGCAGTAGCTCATTGTTTCTTTAAGTCTACAGTACGGGACAAAGGAGGCTGTGCAAATATTTGTACAATTTTTGCTCAAAGGCTTGAAAGTGAATTGAAGCTGGACACCTGCTCCCAGTTGCTTATAGTCTAGGAAGGGATCACTTGTGTAACATGGGAGCAAATGCTGCCTAGCGGAATATTCGTGACTTGGGTGAGTCTGGGACTATTTTTATAAGATGGGTGGGCTCTGCTTTTAATGAATGTTGAGGGTTTCCTTGGAGGTCAAGATGTGAATTTGGAAAGGACAAAGGAGCAGGCTGGGAATAAGAGGGGAGACAAAAGTTATTGAGCATACTGCATGCACTTTTCATTTCTACAGTTTACAGTTACCAAAGAGGATGGCTTGCTCATTTATCATATGAATAACGGTGATGATAGTTGCTATTTTACAGGAACTAATGTGTGAGGTCCTATGCTAGAGGCTTATACTAGTCAAGACTCTCTTGGTTGCAAGTGACAGAGAAAGCCAATTCTAATTTGCTTGGGGGAAAATGGGGTATTTACTGGAACACGTACTTGAAAAATCCAGTGGTATGTGGGATTCAGGCACAGCAGAAACCTGCCTATGACATCCATTCTGTTGTGAAGGTAAACAAAAAAGAAAGAAAGAAAGAAACCTGCCTATCTCACCACTCTGCTTTCCTCTGTCAGCTGCAGTCTCTGGCACAGTCTCCCCAGGTGCTGGCCAGATGGTCCCCAGCTGTGTCAGGCTGCCATCCTGCCTCTTCAGCAACCACGGAGGAAAGAGATTTAGTGGGAGTAATGGTCTTGAGATGCTTCCTCATATCTATTTTCCCTGTAGGAAGCTTTTCTTTTTTCTTCCCTATAGCCCCTTTCTCCATTAAGGCTCGGTGGGTACCACTCAGAACCCAGAGTCCACAGGGGGAGGAGATGCCTCCTCTAGAATGGAAGGTAGCATAGACATCCTCAGGGAATCGGGAAGGTGAGGTAAAGAAACAGGATGTGAGTCTAGGGAGTGTATGATGCCTGATTCCATGAGGGCCTGAGGCTATCCCTATACCAAGTGTGGACCTAGGGAAGGGGGTGGTACAAAGACACAGATCTCAGATAGGTTAAGGAGGAAGCTGAAAGCAGAAAGGGCCTGTGTCCTATCTCCAGGCTGAGACTCTGCCCCCACAGTATGCCCTGCGCTGTCAAGCAAAGCGCTGGTGTGGCAAATTTTGCAGAGAAATGGCTAGAGATGGTGCCCTGAGTTACCTTTAGTCCCCTTGTGACAGAGAAGGGATCCAAGAGTGCCTACATGCTCCCTGCTGAGGGTGATAGTGTGTCCACGAGTGAACCCACCTGCCATGGAGTCACAGAGGCTGAGAGCACAGCATGGACATGTGGCCCAATCCTGCAAACAAAGCCAGGTCCAAGGCTAGTTGCAATGGCTGGCAGAGAAGCTGATTTTCTGCTAGAACTAGAGCTGTGAGGCTGTGAGCCTGGATCTGCCAGGGTCTCATGTGCGCATGAAAGCGTAGTTCATGTGGAAGACAGCAAAACTGAGACGGGGAGTCCCTGAGACCCTGGGACTAAAGCCAGGCCTGAAGCAGACAGGCTCTTCATGTACACAGCGGATCAACCCTTTGTGATTTAAGTTAGTGTGAATTGGGTTGTCTTTTACAGCAGAAAGCACCTTGACTAACCCATGTAGAGAAGAGGGTGACAGTGTGAGCTAAGCAGTAGAGCCTGCAATCCGTGAGAGGACAATCAGAAGGGGCAGAGGAGACATTGTTGGGCGGGCTGCGGTGGGCTTCTGTGGGGGCCAGGTGGGAGAGTTGGGGGTGATGCCAAAGGGGACAGTGAAAAGATTTTGTGCTCATGGATTGGGAGAGGCTGTCAGTATTCAGGGCAGAAAAAAGGCCCGGGATAGCGCTGCATCGGGGGAATACCAGAGGCGGACAGGCAGCAAAGTCCGGTACTGACGAGCCATTAAGGCACCTGATGAAGAAGGCATGACAGGTGGCTGAGAGAATGGCGAGACCACGGGGATAAATGGAGTTGGGAGCTTGGAAGAGGTAAAATTTAGTGCCAGACGTGGTAACTTGAGGAGGAAAGTTCTAAGAAAAAAACCGGAGGGTAGGGGGAAATATGGCTAACATATCTGAGCCAAGTGTGTGGATTTGAGAGCCATCAATCAAGGAGAGAAAGCAGAAGTCAAGGGATGAGATCCTCCCAAAGGTGCACCTCAAAGGTATATAGTAGCAAATTCGAATCCGTATCTATTTTGCCTGAGGCTAGTTGTGCTAGGACACACAGGGTTGCTGTAGACCTCGAGCTGACAGCAAAGACCTCTCTGATAATCGCTGTTGGTCGTTTCATCTCCCACAGAGAAATCTGGTGGAAATCTCCACCAGCTGGAACCTAACATTTGCAATAAATGACCCACAAATACTGATCAAACCAAATACAACCGTTCGCCTATCAGATGTCTAACGGGGCGTTACAGGCAGCCCTCAAGTGCTCTGAGGATCTTCAGCAGCGGCTCCAAGGAAGCCGCGGGCCGGGAGCAGGTGGGAAGGGCGACTGCGCGGGGCCACGACCTCCCCGGGTCTCTGCAGACCGTTGGAGACGGAGCAGCAGCGAGGACTAGAGCAACACAAGGCCGGATGTGTTCTGAGCCGGAAGAGGAGTGTGGGATAGGCCGAAAGGGGTGGGGGGTGGGGGGTGACAGTTTGGGTCTACGTGGCAGCAGGCGCACCCCAGACGCGCGCGCCCACCCGGCGATAGCATCAGCGGCGCCAGGGCAGGCACATGGCCCCAAAGCACCCACACTAGGGCCCGGGCCGGCCAGGGCTGTGTTCCTGGGCCTTGGCGCGCCTCCGCGCAGTCCCTGATCGCAGGTCAGGAGTTGTGAGGCACGCGAGAGCCCTGCGCGTCTGTGGTCGTGGTCCCTGCGCGCTCGGCTTGTCCGTGCCCGTGGCTTTGCACGCCGAGGGCTCTGCAGACTGACCAGTCTCTCCGGGCTGTGCTGGGCCTCCCAGAGGCAGTGTCCTCTCAGCAACCCCGCGCGGTCGCCCCCGCCCAGCCGCACCGCAACACCGCCTCCGGGGCGGAGCTCCAGGGCTCCTGGTGCAGGGCCGGCCGAACTGAGACGGGGCGCGGCGGGGTCGGCAGGGGGCGCTGCCGGGCCCCGCGAGCTCCCCGGTGGCGGGTGCGCGCCGCCCTCGCCTCCCCTCGCGCCGGGAGGAGCTGGCGGCGAGCGCCGAGCCGGGCGCGCAGCGACGGAGCTGGGGCCGGCCTGGGACCATGGGCGGTGAGTGCGGCGCGGGCCTGGGCCGGGGCGGTTGCCGTTGGGGCCGAGCAGCGCAGAGGTTCTAGGCGGGTGGGCGTCCAGGGTCCGAGGTTGGGAGACTGAGGGGGTCCCCCTAACTCGCCAGTGGGAGAGGGGCGGGAAGGCTGGGGGCGCTTCGAAGCGTCGGGTCCGAATCCCGCGACTAAGCCTCCTCCTTTATCCCCGCGCTCGCCCCTGAGCCTAGGACTTGCGCCCTCTTTCCTGCCACTCCCCCCGTGCGCCCGGTGTCCCAGCCCCGGCGCCCGCCCCATAGCCCCCTTCTCCCAGAGCTGGCGCCGTCTCACGCCCGCTGCGAACCCCCGGCTCTGTCTCCAAGCCCTCGCCCCCCGCAGCCCCGCACTCTCCCGCGGAGCCCGCCTCCACCTCGCCCCCGCCCTTCCAGCCCTCTCCCGCACGGCCCCCGCACTCCCGCCGCTGGATTCCAGCCGAGATTCAAGCTCCCGGGATCCCCCTTCCCGGGCGGTCCTGAGCCGGCTAGTCTCCAGGTAAGGAGGCGGCCGCAACTTCGCGGCCTTTCCCGGAGACGGGGCTGGCTCCTCTTGGCAGCCACCTGCAGCCTGACGCCTCCGGGAGTCCCGGGCCTGGCCACGGGGCCGCCCGAGCGCAGGTTAACATTCCTGGATGCGCAGGTTAGGACCGTGTGGTGTAGACCCACGACGTTGCTTTTGCTGGTGAACTTGCCTATGTCCTGATCTTTTAAATAAGCTGGGTTTGTCACACACACACACACAGAGAGAGAGAGAATGGATTTGCTTAGGGTAGGTTGCCTGCTTTGCAGCCGCAGCTGCCTTTTAAATTGTACCTGTGGATGGTAAAGGATTCACGGTGCAGGACGTGGAGCCATATTTTCCCGCTTCGGCTGTGAGTTCAGCGATTGCGAGGGGGCTCTGTAGTGAGTGAGGTTATCACCGCCTGGCTAGCCAGTGTCTTTGTGGAAAGGCAAGGATCCTTTGTAAGCATTCAACAAGTAAAATCAGGAGAGATGGGGAATCAGATCGAGCTGTGAATGGGGAAGTGTAGGGGGGTGGATGGGGGATCGGAGAGTGCTCCACAAATGGAGCCGTTTGTTGATATTTGCAGAAGGCCCGTGGGTGTGAAGCTGGCAGTGCGGAGCCCACCCTTTCAAACGGGATGCGACTGCGGTCGGGCTTGGCAGTAACTTACCCTCCTCAGAGGTGTTGGTGCCCAATCGGGACATCTGTGGGAAGGGGATTTATAGCAGATGGATCAAAAGGCCTCGGGCGCGGTGGCTCACGCCTGTAATCCCAGCACTTTGGGAGGCCGAGGCGGGCGGATCACCAGAGGTCGGGAGTTCGAGACTAGCCTGACCAACATAAAAACCCCGTCTCTACTAAAAATACAAAATTAGCCAGGCGTGGTGGTGCATACCTGTAATCCCAGCTACTCAGGAGGCTGAGACAGGAGAATCGCTTGCACCTGGGAGGCAGAGGTTGCAGTGAGCTGAGATTGCGCCATTGCACTCCAGCTTGGGCAATAAGAGCAAAACCCTGTCAAAAAAAAAAAAAAAAAAAAAACCCTCGTGGTCCCTGGAGAGAGGTGAAGATGCACGGGACAGCCTGAAAGCCAGTGTATGAATCTGCCCCATCCCTTCTCCTGGCTTTCATTAAGTCTTGGATTAAATTAATTGCTTATCTCAGAGAAAGGATGTGTAGGGGGAACTTCTCTGTTAGGGATTGGCTCCTGGCCAGCCCATCCTCACTGATGCCTTGGGAGGCTGCGTTTGGGCACCAGGAACAGCGTGGGCCACCTGGCCTTTGGAGCACAGCACTCCGAGTGTTTGTGGAACTGCAGTATCTGTAACTCTTTTTTCTATTGATCAGCTTGAATAGTTAGCTCAATATTACTTCACTATTGATTAGATAAGTAGCCCAAGGACATACTGGGGCTCAGTAGGGTCTCTCTGTCCAGAAATTCCCGTGGGCTTCTCCTTGGCCCTCCCTACACCGCTCTGTGATGAGTCGCTGTCAGATGCCCCACTGTGCAGGAGCATCTTCAGGGATGGGTGGAAGGAACCACCTCTGTGGCCCCAGGTCCCTGCCTGGTCCCCCCTGTCTACCACATAGGGGTACTCAGTGTTTGTGAGGAAAAAAAATGGATGCCCCGGTGAATTAGTCTGAGTTCACAACCAATGTTTTCTACACTTTGCTACACTGTTCAAAATGTTACCCTTAAATTCAACAGTTTTTTTTTTTTAATGTGTCATATCACCAGAGACAAACTCATTTTTGTGTGTGTTTGGAGCAGTGAGTGCAATCTACGGATCAGTCTCTGATGGTGGGTCGTTAACCTCAGTGGGGACTCCAAGATTTCCATGAAGAAAATCAGTTGTCTTCATTCAAGAATTGGGGTAGGTGGTGGTGGGCGCCCTTGGAAGCTACTAAGTTTGTCTGCTGAGGGTTGAGTCCACCATAGCTTAACCTATAGTGCCCAGAGCTGTAGCCCCAGTCCCCTTTAACATTTCCTATCCCTGCCCACTGACGGAGGAAGCTCCCAGGGAGACAGGGTACCACTTGCAGAGCCCCACTGGCCACTTCAGATTGCACCATCCCCACTCCAGTGGGTGTTGCTTCCTGTGGCGAGCTGGGAGTGCCTCTTCTTGCACATTTCTGGCACTGTGGCTTGCAGCTCTATTGGTGGGAGGGAGGTTGGTGTTTTGGGCCAGTGCTTTGGTCTCTTGGAGGTGGCTATAACCCACTGGCAGATGGGGCAAGGTCCAGCTCTTGTGCCTCTGTCAAAGGCCACCCCCAGGCAGTACAGCCAAATGCTGAGGGGGTGGGAACACCTCATGTCCCCCTTTTTTTGTGGGGGAATCTGGAAAGGGCTAAAATTGAGACTGCCACTTGGCTGTGGGAGCCTGCACTGCCCCTGGCTGTCACGAACTTATCTTTCTTACCCAGATTGTCTCTGTCTTCAGGTCTGGCTCAGAATTCCTGCAGCTGGTGAAAATCTGTTTTCTAGAAGAGGTTTAATTAATGCCTGCAGTCTGTGAGTAAGAGAAAGGGAGGAGAGGGAGAAAGAGACATACTACTATCTAGAGGTGGGTGGGAGAAAGGATAGGAGAATGTTCAAGGTCCTGAAAATTCATAGGGGGAGATTTTGGCCCCAGAACCTGTCCCTGGACAAGGTTCCTGGTTGGTGGATAAGGAAGTGTGCCCACATTCCAGTGTAGGGGTTACCAGTTAGGAGCAAAGTCACTGAGATAGGAAAAATGACCCCATGGGAATCTGAAATCCATTTGCTGGGCCCATCATTCTGGTTTTGAGAAGGCCTTGAAAGCCAGCTGAGACTTGGGCTTAGCACGGCAGGAGAGCACTGAGCTGTTTGAAGTTTTTGAATGAGGTGTGTGCCCTTTTGGAAATAATGGCTTGAGCAAGATTGGTCTGGGGTTTGGCCTGGGAAGCCACTTTACCATGGCTTAATTTATAGGCCCTGAGCTGTAGCCCCAGTCCCCTTTGACATCACCCATTTTCCAATGGAGGAAGCTTCCAGGGAGACAGGGTACCACTTGGAGAGCCCCCATGGCCACTTCAGATTGCAGCCATTGCCACTTCATCTCACCTGAGGTGCTGAGGGGAGAGTCTAGGTAAGTGACAAAAGGAGCAGTGGCTTGGAAGGTCTGTGCACCTGTATTTAGGAGGTGAAGAAGAGGGAGCAGCTTTCTAGTAGGATGGTGGGCCTTTTGATAGAAGCATCTCCCAGGGACTCTTTTTGAACCTGCTGTGCAGCCTTGCAGGTAAACGACGGCCCATTGGAGCCTCTCAACCTGGAGATGCTGCATGGCAGCCACGAGGAGGCACCCGTGAACCCAGAATGAATTTCAGGGTCCGCTCTGAGTCCAAAAGGCAGGAGGGCCCTGGCCAACTAACACCTAACTGAGCCACAGACTCTGGCCTGTTTATCCTCCACCCTCAAAACCAGCAGGCTTCTCTGACCCTTTTTGGACTTTGGCTGGGGAAGCCACTGGCTTTTGGAAAAAGTTCAGTCTGCAGTGATGGCGGGAACAATCTCAGGAGTCTGGAAGAAGTTAATGATTAAAAAGGCATGGAAGAAGAACTGGATGGCGGCTTGGGGAGTAGTTTCTGCAGTCAGGAGGCACCCTTCACCTCATTCCCTTGGCCCACAGTCATCTGTGCATGCGTCTGCCCCTCCCTCCATCAGTGGAGCTCCCTCTGAGCTGCGTACTCGAGGGTGGAGGAGAGTTTGGGGGAACTCAAACATGTGGTAGTAGAGACTGTAGTAACTTTAAAATTCTCTTTGTATTTGCAGAATCATTTCCCCAATTTACACACTCATGTTTCAGTTTACAGGGCATCCTTTTGTCACCTGCTCGCCACCCTTATGCCCCTGGGTGTGACCAGCTTCCTCAGAAAGAGCTGTAATCAATAGCATATTGATTAAAAAGCATATTAAGATGAAAATTATTGCACCTGGTTTTGATGCCCCCACTCTCTCCCCTTTCCTCCTCCACTTCTGTTTGTGGTTACAGCCATCATTTACATTAAAGTTACAAATCATTTTGAATACTATTTGTCCCACCCCTCAGTTATTCAGAGACATGTGTCTTTTCAACCAACAAAACCACAGCTTGCTTTCCTAAGCTTACCTCATTCTTGGATCTAACACCAACCTTCAGGCCTTCAGAGATCCAGCAGTATCATTTTGAGCTTTTAACCGTAAAATAAAATGAAGCTCTTACTTGCTGTTTGTTCTCTGCAGACATAGGAGAATCTAGTTAGAATTAAACATTTACTGTCTTGTTAAGGCTTTATGCTTCTAAAATGAAAGTGGCAGTTGGATTACCGTAAAGTTAGTAAAGTTGTAGAACAAATTTTTGGAAGCTCAGAAATAATAATGGAGGGACTTACAGAAATAAACTATTAAGCTTAAATCTTAAAACATAGATATAAATATGAACTATCTTGAAAGTATAGAAAATTTGGCAAGTATAGATTAATAAGTATATAATATTTTATGCAAGTTATATTAATTATTAGGATCATGCATTATGTTTATACAGTACCTTACTATATAAAAAAGCAACTTTGTCCATATCTCATTTGATTCAATAAGCCTGCGATCTGCTTAGAGATGGGGAGATGGGACCTTGGGATGGTTAAAAGGCTTCCTCTAGAATTCAGATCTCATAAGCAGAGAAATACTATGTAAACCTGGATATCCCTGCCCACGTTGCTTGATAACCAAATGTGGTTACATAGTTTTTTGAAAATTGTAGGTGGTCCTATTCTTAGGGATAAAAATAGGCATTGGTTTTCTCTAAAACTTTCTGCAAGTCAAACAAACAAACAAAAACTCTGTATGTAGCACCCAGAAACCTGAAAGGACTTCTCAAGGTTTGTAGATGTCAGAGGTTCTCTGTTGATGACTTCCTAATACTAGAGTACCTGAGTTGGTTGTGTATTCAGCACAGTGCAGTGATTGAGTGTGTACATTCAGAGGCCAAACTGACTTTAAACCCTGGCTCTACCATTACTAGCAATGTACCCTTGAACAAGTTACTTCTCTGTGCCAGTTTCCTTATTTGTAAAATTTGGGTGGTGATAATAATACCTACTTCATGGTACTGTTGTGAAACTGAAATATAATAATACATGATGAGGGCTTAGAAAAGCACCTACCACATGGTACATGCTTTAAAAATGTTAGCTGCTATTCCTATTCATTTGTTTCTTAAAATTACCTTTTAGGCGCCAACTGACTGCACTGAGATGATGGATACAGGATAATAGTCTCTGTCCTCATGGAACAGAGGACATTATATTTCAGTTTGTGGTGAAGGACATGAATGGCGGTGCAGATCGATTTCCAGGCACTTGCTCACTTACAGCCATGAGAGGCTGTGAAGGGGCTGACCATGGGGTGGTGACCTTGCCAGCTCTTTGAAACAGGCACTCATTTTGACTCATCTGTGTCTGACACATGCTGGTTGTTTTAACTGTCACTCTTGGCCACAGGTTGTTAGTGGGAAGCATGATAAGAGATCCTAGATCTGTTTAGTCACCTGGTTTTGCCAACACTATTTTTGGTCCTGGTTGACAGAATGCTGCCCTGGCTACTATTTTGGACTGGACTGGCTCTTCAGCAGCCCCAGAAACCTTTGGTACTATCAGAGACCCAGTTCTCTGAGCAAGAAATGGCACAGCTGCTCCTGAGAGCAGGTAGGGGACTAGCCAGAGGCAGGAAGCCAGAACACTGCATTTCCTGTGTCTGCCGTAGCTAGAAACTTCTTGACCCAAAGAAACTATGTTGACGGGCATGGGTTTCCTAACTGGTGCTGGAAAGAGAGGACCTTCCTCCTCAGACCTCGCTTTGCTTGCTCTGTGCGTCCTACAGAGAGGCTCCAGCATGGCAGCCTGCCCGACTAGCACCTGCCATCACGGAGCTGGCACGGCCTCCAGCAATGGGCTGTCGACCAGAAAATCCTTCTGTGATTGCTGCTTCAGGAACTCGAGTGCTTCTCTGCCTCGTTTGAGCGTGATTAGCCCAGCTTGTACTCAACATACACTGGAATACTTCATACCGATAAGTCAGCAGTCAGACTGGAAAACCAGTCATCAGTTATCTTAGTGGCAACCAGCTTATTTTTATTTACTTTAAACTATGGTTGACCCTTGAACAACTCAGGGGTTAGGAGCACTGATTCCCCCCACCATGGCCCCCCACAGTTGAAAATCCAAGTATAACTTTTAAATCCCCAATATTGTAACTATACATAGCCTACTGTTAGCCAGAAGCCTTACTGATAATGCAGTCAGTTAACACATATTTTGTATGTTGTATGTATTATATGCTGTATTCTCACAATAAGCTAGAGAAATGAAAATGTTATTAAGAAAATCATAAGGAAGAGAAAACATTTCCTATTCGTTAAGTGGAAGTGGATCATCATAAAGGTTTTATCCTCATTGTCTTCACATTGAGTAGGCTGAGAAGGAGGAAGAGGAGGGGTTGGTCTTGCTGTCTCAGGGGTGGCAGAGGCGGAAGAGAACCTACGTGTAAGTCGACCTGCTCAGTTCAAATCCGTGTTGTTCAAGGGTAGACCTATGTCCTGGAAATTTTAAATGAAGTTTTGTCTTAAAAAAAAAAAAAAAACCTTGCCCCACACTTGTAAAACAAAGAAACAGCAAATAATGCCAACCTTTTGTATGTAGGGAGAATTAAGGTAAAAGGGGGAAAACCCTTTCTCTGTTTTACAAATGGCTCCCCAGGTGCTCTGACTTCTCTGGTCATGATCATCTCTTGATTTCCCAGACTGGAACCTCTTTTGTCGCCAGTGTGTCTGTCTCCGTTGCAGTCCCTAATGGAAACACAGACCTGAAAAATCAAAGCTTGGGCATTTATGGTCGAAGGTCATGGCATGGATGGTTGATTTTTTTTGGCTCTGTCTTCAAAGTGAAAAATCACTGTCTTCTTTGAGAAAGAAAGTATATTTTGGGAGGTGGCTAACGTCAGCAGGCAGGAAGATCTAAGCAAGCCTGTCTCATCCTCGGTTCACATAATTTCTAGCATTGCTAAGTTAGCAGCATATGATTTTTTTTCTCTTGTGCATCTTGCTCTAATGACTGCTGATTATCTTGAAACAGCTGCATTAATTGATGGTGTTTAACGACTCTACTTACACTAAGTAATTGCAGTTGGCTTGGCTGAGGATCCCGAGTTCTTTTTACTTGCTTTTTAGCTTGAGAAGTGTTTATTTACTCTGTGTGCCAAATGCCCGAAGGGGAGTTGGGAATGCCTCACCTCAGTGCCAGCCCACTGCCCAATGCTCACACTCTCCTGGGACATCATCATGTGCCACCACAGCATCCATTCCCTGTGTATTCTGATTGTCTGCTCATGGGCCTCTCTTCCAGCTTGATAGGGAGCCCCTAGAAAGCAGGGACCATACCCAGCTCATCTGTAAAGCTTTGGCCTTTAGCACAAGGACTGGCATGAAACAGGCCTCAATAAAAGTTGGGTGAATGAATGATGAGTGGTTGCAAAGCATATCAGTTATGAATGTGTCTGGCTGAAAGTAGCAGAAAGCCCTGGCTTAGTGGCTTAAGTAAATAGGGGTTTGTTTATCTTATGTAACAAAATGCGTGAAGATAGGTGATTGCTGGTGTTGGTTTCAGCAGCTGACATCTGTCTGTACTGACACTTGTGTTACTCTCTTGGCCTTTCCTTCATGATGGCAAAAAACACCAGCAAACCAGATGTCCCCTGACATTTCATGGCCAGAACTGTATCACATGGGTTGCCCCCAGTTAAACGGGCCATGTGAGTGTGTAGTGGGGCACACTGAGGAAGGCTCACTGCTTAAACAAAGTATGTTTAATGGTTCAAATATGGTAGGCATTCACTTTTTGCTCACACACAGTCCAAAATGGCTGTTTCTGCTTGGGGCTTTCCTCCAAGAGGATATTCAGGGACTCAGGCTCTCAAGGCTGCCATGCTCCTTTGCCTCACTCAGCTGAAGAGGAAGGAACATGGAGGATGGTGTGTGGGAGGATTTTGTGGGCCAGGCTCAGAGGTGCTGAACTACTGGCCCTGACATTCCACTGGCCAGGGCTCAGTCGTGTGAGCATACCTTCCAAGGGGAGGAAATGTGGTCCAGCCACATGCCCAGGAGGGAAAGGAGATGGGTATCACAATTAGCTGGCAGTCTCTGCTACACTGTCTGCCCCCTCCTCCCCCCAAAAATCAGGATTCTCTTAACAAGAAAGAATGAGTGGATATTGAGGGGCTAGTGGGGGTGTTTTCTTTAGAAGGAAATGCTGTGCTAAGAAGGCTCCAGCCAAAAGTCGTCTTCATCCCCAGGAGATCATCTGTTCTGAATCCCTGCTTCTGTTCCTACCTTTGGGAACTGGGCCAGATGACTCAGTAGGACAGTGGGAGGCCCTCATTATCCCCCTGTCTTGACACAGGACATGTTCTTAACAGCTTTGTGGGAATGTGTCCTAGTTGATTCACATCAGCAGTTGGAGGTTACCCCAGAGGAAGTGGTCTTTAGTCCCCCAAGGCCAGAGGAACCTATGAGAGCTCCCTGTTTTCAAGTGCCCCTGCCCACTCAACCTTCCAAAGCTTCTCTTCCTCTCCAGCCCCCACCCCAACCCACATCTGGAGGGGAGGAGAGGACACAACAAAGAGTAACCTGATTCCCCTCTAATTCATTAAAAAGTGTTTTCCCACTACTTCCTGCTAGTTTTCCTCAGTAATAATTGATGAGTGGTATATTGATATACTGGGCTGTAGTGCTTTATTCTTGTTTAGTTTGTCGTAGGTTTCTGTGATGGGGCTATTCCGTCCGCAGCATTCTTCCTGGTGCTCACCCTTCCTTTTTCCCACCCTCCCTCCCTTCCCCTACACACCTGTTGAGCACCTGCTGCTTGCTCTGCTGTCTCTCCACCCAGCCCTGGGGAAGGTGGGCAAGGAAGCTGACATGAGTCTGTCGTGTTGATGAGTAGAGTGGGAGGGGTAGGCTCTGAGGGCTGTGGTTGCCCAGTATTGGAAGATGTCACCCAGCCTTGGGGTCAGGGAAGGCTTCCAGGGGAAGGTGGTGCTTAAGCTGAGTTTAAGGATAAGCAGGAGTTAACCAGGTCAAGAAGACATCTGGGCCAAGAGAGTGGAATGGGCACAGACATTGAGTTATGAAAAGGGGGAACAGCAAGTCGACTGTGCCAGAGTCGTGCGAGATGGTGTGGCCATTCACCCGTCCAACACTGCTGTGCCATGGGGCCTGGCCTTACAGGGTTTGCAGAAAAGGACCAGCCCCCATGGAACTCATGGGCTGGCTGTGAGAGGGGATGAGTCTGCAGAGGAGTTTGGGCCAGAATCTGAGGAGGGCTTGGCTGCTGTCCCAGACTCTGCTCTAAAGGGTCTGCTGCTGGAGGCTGAGTAGGAGAGGGGCCCCATCACTTGTGCCGTCACGTCTTGTGCCCTGTCCCTCTGTGTCTGATTCTTGACTGGTCCTTTGCCCGGGCATTACTCAGGCTATAAAAATAGAGGCTGGCACCAGAACTCCAGCATGTAGTTGGTGAAGAAAGCTGAAGCTGTCATTACATATCAAGATACTTGCCAGGGAGATTTTTGATGGAGCACTTTCTTGGAGCCCAGAGGATGAAGTTCTAAAGTTGGCTTATAGTTTTTTTCTCCCTTGGACTTATACCAATGCTTCTGGCTACTCACTTGGAATATGTACTGGTTGTGCTTGTTACTCACCCCCGCCCCAGGCTCATACATGCCCTCGAGGACACATTGAAATGAACGCTCAATCCTGAAATCCACCAAATGAGGGCTCGCCTTGCCACAGACTGGCCTGATTAGAGGGGCTGAGTCCTCTCCATGGGGCCCGCTGGAGGCTGGTGTGCAGTCCATCAGGTGTTCATGTCCCATATAAGGCAGGACACCCTGGCCCGAAAAAGGAACTTTCAGCACTGCCTGAGAAGGTAAGGGTTCTGATAACTGTGCTTTCTTTCCCTAAGGAAAAGAGGGCTGAGCCAGGGTTTAGCAAAGCTGTCAGCTGCCTTGATTGTGATGAATGGTTCCAAGGGTGATTTCCTTCGTTCTCCCTCCCAGCCCTGTTTATTAAGGTGGACTGGAGACAGTGCTGGGGGGTGGGGTACAGAGAGATGAACCATCATGCTAGTCTAAGCCAAGGGCTGAATGAACTGCACTTTGCTTCAAGCTGGGTTAATCTGTATTTGTAGACAGAGACTGAATAGTTTGATGCTGTTTTTTGGGTGCCTTCTTGGTCCAAGTGCTGCAGGGAATGCAAATAATAATGAGAACGAAATCATGACTGTCTTATGTTTTCCAGGATGGATCTCATCTAATCCCCTCCATGCCCCCTGAGGCAGGCAGCAATATTACACTCCACTAGAATAGAAGCTCCATGAGGGCAGGAATTTGGGGCTGGTTTGGTCACTTCGAATCCCCAGCTTCTATAACTATCCTTGGCATAGAGCAGATGCTCAGTAAATATCTGAATGAATGAATGAATGAATTACTACTTGCAGGTGAGGACACTGCAGCTCAGAGAGATTAAATACCTTGCCCGAGCTGTTAGGTGGTGGAGTAAAAGGCCTGGTCTCAGTGCCAGGGAGGGACCATGAGCTGTGACTTGGGGACCCCAACTCTACTGCCCCTGGAATGAGAGCTACTTCTAGGATAGCAGTGTAGGAGGGCCAGAGCCTGCCTGGCCTGGTCTACTGAACACAGCACAATCTTGGAAAAACCCACCAGTTGTATGATGATACAGCCACAAGGACCCAGGAGGTTGGAGGGTGTCTTCCTGCTGCCAGCGCCATGATGTAACTCAGAGGTGGGGTGATATGCAGGCTGTATCTATCAGCAGCTTGAGAGTGACATTTCAAGAATACCACCTTCATCCAGTCAGGCGTATGCTGAGAAACTTTCAGTGGCTCCCTACTCCTACGGGAACCCAGTCTGGCTCCAGCCCTCCTCCACCCTGTTCACTGATGACTCACTGCATAAGGCCTGTCATCCACGGTACGGTGACATAGGGGTGGGCTTTGCAGCCTGCCTCTGTACCATTTATCCTCACATCAGGCACGCCCACTGACATCCTCCCTGCCTTTTAGTTTAGCACAGTTTCCGCCTCTTTCACGCAGCCCTCTCGCTGATCATCCCAGCACAGTCCCCCACCCCTCGGGTGCCTGTAGCCTTTGTCTGTCTGTACGGTGCATTTCCTAAGGATGTTCTTGGAACTCTGGGTTCGGCAGGTGGATGGAGCTGCTGCTAAGTGGGGCACGAGGCCCCTCCCAGTCCACCTAAGCACCTCCACTGCTACCTGAATTCCACATCAGATTCCATGTTGTGATGAGTGTTGAAAGAGGATACTGTTTGAAAACCACTGGTCTCTATAATTTATCATGTGCCTGCCTTGTGAGATACTGCTTAACTGCATTGTTTAAAAATAATTTAAATATGTTTTACAGTACTCCTTTTTTCTGATTTTTAGAAGTAATACAAGTTTGTTTAAGAAAATTTAGAAAATGCAGAAATATATGCGAGCAAATAAGCCTGCCAGGATTCCTACTTACTTAAGGAATAGTGAGCCAGTCTTCTGTCTTGTAATTTGTTTGTTTTAAAGAAAATTGAGATTACTTGTCAGTACAGCTATAACCACTCATAATATTTAGGACATATTCTCTCCTTTTAATGTTTTTCCTTTTTAAAAAAAAATTGTTACTTTTACAAATAGCAATTATTTAAATTCATTTTTTAAAATAGCACAGGTTCAAATTCTAAAGTGTACAATGAAAAGTCTTGCTCCTACACCTGCTTCAAGCCATTCAGCCCAGCCTGTACATTCTATATTGTAGCTTGTCTTTTTGACTTAACAATATAACGTTTCCCTCTGTCATTACTCACCTTTTTTTTTTGTTATTTGCACCCAACATACTATAAAATCAAAGCATTAAAATATGTGAGTAAATATTGGAAAGTTCTTCCTACTTCACAATAGAGATCACACTGTTAATTTCAGCAGCCATCTCCCGCTAGACCTTTTTCGGTAAATTTATGTTTTCCGAAAATTTACATATATATGTTGGGATATGCTAGCGTTGGTTTTACCTAAGTGAGATTACACTGTATCTAGTATGCTGCTACTTTTGTTTTCTGTCTTTTGTTTTTAACTTGGCGATATTTCTTGGAGGTTTGTCTGTCCACACCTAAGCCCACTTCTTTCTTTTTTTAAGGCTGAATCGTGTTCCATTGTTTGGACAAACTGTGATTTTCCAACTGTTTCCCTATGGATGAACATTTCAGTCATTTTCACATTTTTATAATGACTCCTAATGCTGCTTTGTACATAGGCGGTAACACTTTTGTAGGATAGAAACCTGAAATACAAATTCTTGGGGCAAAAGATGTGCATGTTTATTGTTTTGGTGGAGACCACCATTTCCCCTTCACAGATACTATTCTAATTAATCCTCTCACCAGCAGTGTATGAAAGAACTCATCCCCCTGAGACTAACTAACATTCATGATAGGTGAGAGGTGAATTTTTTTGGCCAATCTGAAAGGTAAGAAATGCCACTAACTCCCTTTTTTTTTTTTTTTTTTTTTTGAGACAGAGTTTTGCACTTTCATGCAGGCTGGAGTGAAGTGGCGCAATCTTGGTTCACTGCATCCTCTGTCCCCCAGGTTCAAGCAATTCTCCTGCCTCAGCCTCCCAGGTAGCTGAGATTATAGGTGCCCGCCACCATGCCCAGCTAATTTTTGTATTTTTAGTAGAGACAGGGGTCTCTACTAAATATAGCTTTGTCATGTTGGCCAGGCTGGTCTCGAACTCCTGACCTCAGGTAATCCACACGCCTTGGCCTCCCAAAGTGCTATGATTATAGGCATGAGCCACCCACACCTGGCTGCCAGCTCATTTTTAAATGTATATTTCTTTCCATCCTGGTTTTCCAAACATATGCATAACTATACATATTGATTAGAATCGTGCCATGCCTTGTTCTCTGTCCTTTTTTCCTTTCACATTAGGTCAGGGACGTTTTCTCTGTTCATTGCATTCTCTCCAAAAGCTCAGTTGTTCAGGGTTGCTGGCCTGTTGAGCTATTGCAGATCACCTGGAGTGTTTTTTATTTTAGTTTATTTGTGTCTTTGATCTTCAAAGATCCTGGGAATGACAAGTCATAGAAAAGAAAGGAGAAGAAACACCTCCTGCAGAGAATTGGCACAAGGAGTGTCCAGTAGACAAGAACCAAATGAAAATCAGAATTAGATATTTGCTCACGGGCTCATCTCTTAGGTATTTGGCGGAGAGGTCCCTAAAATATCACCATGAGCTCTTGTTATATATGGATATTGTATACTCTGTGTTATATGTTAAGCTTGACCTGTTCCGTGCATTCTGCTATGAAAAGTACACAGCTTTGCTGTTGTTGTTTGGATAGAGAGATTATGATGTTTTCAGAGCATTTAATGTCAGTGGAAACATCCAGGAGTCAGTGTGGTATGATGGAAATAGCATTGAACTGGAAAGTCAGGAGAGCTGGCTTCAGACTCTAGTTCTTCCCCCGACTGACCGACTAAACCTGGAGAAGACACCTAGCCTTTTGGGTCGCCTGGGGTCTGCGTGGCAAGGATGACCTGGGTGTAATGGGTTTGGAAAGCTTGGTGGGGGGTAGGCTAGCAGTTAGAGGTCAATTCCAGCTTAGTATTAAAAGAGAGCTCTCTAAGAATTGGCACTTTCTAAGATGAGACTGGCTGTATGTTGCCAGTTTTCAGAAATGTTCTGACAGGCGGTCAGTCAGCTCTCTGCAAACACGCAGACACTACCCCTACTGTCATGTGGCTTAGGGTCAGTCGCAGGAGACAGCCAGCCACCCAGGAATTTCACCATGGTCATTTGATTACATAATGAATAGTGCTGAGAAGTGTCATGGAGGAGAAATACAGGGTAACTTGAGAGTGTGAGACAGGGTGCTAAACAAGGCGGGTGAGTTGAAGGGCAGCCTCTATGAGAAAGTGATCTTTGAGCTGGGATCCAGGGCATGGTCAGCAGTCAACAAGGTGAGAAAGTGGAGGCACAGAAGAGAGGCAGCATGCTGGCTGGAGGCAGGTTGGGGGATTGCTACTGGCTGTAGTGAGTCCTCCATTCATTAATCTCTTCATTCATACATTCATTCACTCTCTCAACAAATATTGGTTAAGCACCTGCTCTGGACCAGGCAGTGTTCTTGGCCCTGGGGATACATGTATAGGGAGCAAGACTGACAAAGTTCCCAGCCTTGTGGAGCTCAGTGTTGCCACATAGTAAATCATTCCCAAACTTGGTGCCTTAAAACAGCCGTCATTTTACACTTATCCTCATAGTCTGGAGGTAGACCAGGCCCAGCTGGCTGTTTCTCATACATGTGTCTCACACAGTTATTCAGGCAATAACTGGTCTCATTCTCTGTGTTTTTGAGCACTTCAGCCTTGGCTTCCAACCCACTACCTGTCTCAGCTCACCAGAGTCCTCCCAAAAAGGCAGTCCAGTGGCGTTATGTGCTGGCTCCAGCATGCTCCTTGGGGTCTTACCTCCCTCCCCTGCCTCAGGCAGCTCCAAGAGTAACAGGTTTCTCCACCTCAGGTTCATTCTTGGGGAGCAGGAGTGATGCCCTTTTGACATTCCAGGCACCTGCCCAGCTGACCCAGGCCTGGAGTCCCCAGTGAGCAAGGCTCTTCTGTGGGGCTGAGAGATGTCTGGGTCTGGGAGAGGCATAATGTGAGGGCTTGAAGTGAGGCTGCACTGGTAGGTGGGGCCGTGGAGGCCATGGGCAGTATTTGGTTGACATCCATGGAGCATTATGGGAAACCACTAGAAGACCAGAGATCTGATGACTCCCTAATGGGAAGATTACAGAAGACAGTCCTTCTTGGAAAACAAGATTTTAAAATTAATCTGTTAGAATGATTTGTCTTATAAAACAAGGCTTTCAGGTATGTCCCTGAAATGCAAGTGTCCTCTAGGATTACTTGTCCTCTGGCTTAAAGAGAGGAAGCATAGATGTCCATCCTGATTCTATCAGTTATTATATCACAATCAGTGATATGGCAATCTGTGGTTCATTATCACAGAGTTGGTGGGTAGAGTCAACTTTCTATAACCAAGACTTCACATTCTACAACAAACATTCCCACCACTGCAATTTCCTATAACACACAACAGTACCCAAGCAGTAACTCCATGCGCCTTGTAAGAGAACTACAAAAACAAACCTCTAAATAATACAGTATAGCTTTTTGCCCTATTTGAAAGACGTATTAAGTAAGAAACTCCATCTAGAAACTTGATTTTATTATGATAATACAGAATAAGTACTTGCTCAGTTAGCTGCAGTTTGTGGAAACTGGTGTGTAAACAAGGATCATGGCCACCCCCATTGCTTTTCATTCTCAAAATTACTTGTGTCAACCACTTTGGCTCCCAAATTTCTCATTAAGTTACATCAACCTGGAGTTGTGTGTTTCATTACAACTGTTAGCTGAGCTGAATCAAAGCTTCGGAGCTTTTAAGAGTTTTTGTTTTGTTTTTTTTTTTTTTTTTGAGATGGAGTCCCACTCTGTCACCCAGGCTGGAGTGCAGTGGCGCAATTTTGGCTCACTGCAACCTCTGCCTCCCAGGTTCAAGCAGTTCTCCTGCCTTAGCCTCCCAAGGAGCTGGAACTACAGGTGCCCGCCACCAAGCCCAGGTAATTTTTTGTGTGTGTGGCATTTTTAGTAGAGACAGGGTGTCACCATGTTGGTTAGGCTGGTCTCGAACTCCTGACCTCAAATGATCCACCTGCCCCGGCCTCAAAGTGCTGGGATTACAGGAGTGAGCCACTGAGCCTGGCCTCTTAAGAGTCTTATTACCTACTTTATTGGCAGGGAGCTGGGACTCGAGGCAGTTCAGATTTCCTCCAAAGCTAAATGTTGTAATTGTGGGTAACAGTGCTCTTAGCTCTATTTTTGCTCTACCTGTCACTTTATAAGTGCAAAGGAGCAATATGTGTGCGTGTGTGTATATATATATATATACACACACACACACGTATATATATACACACACGTATATATACACACGTGTATATATATACACACATGTATATATACACACACGTGTATATATACACACGTATATATACACACACGTATATATACACACGTGTATATATACACACGTATATATACACACACGTGTATATATACACACGTATATACACACACGTGTATATATACACACGTATATACACACACGTGTATATATACACACGTATATATATACACACACGTGTATATATACACACGTATATATATACACACACGTGTATATATACACACGTATATATATACACACACGTGTATATATACACACGTATATATATACACACGTATATATATATATGGAGAGAGAGACAGAGTGAGTGTGTGTGTGTGTGTGTGTGTTTTGAGAGCTTGTTTTGGGATCTGAGTCAGAGAATCCTTGGATCTCAGCACGTGGAGGGCTCCGAAAGGTCACCCACATCAGCCCCTCTGTAGCATCACCAGCAGTGGCTACACACACTTGGCCACCTCCATGGGCAGGAGGGCTCATTCTATACTGACACTGTCAACCTCCTACTAAGTGAGACAGCCGTGTTCTCAGATTTACTTCTAAGGATGTAAAGTTCATGCCCACTGGCACTGGCAGTGATAACAAGCTACAGGGCTCCTGGTGCCCCACTCCTCTTCATGAATGAGTCATAGAATCACCTGCCAGTGAGAACAGGGTCTTGCCAAAGCTCTGTAGGTAAGTGTGATCCCAGCCTAAAAAGGCCTCATTGGGCAAAACGCCTCTCAGTGGCATGCGTGAGTGCTCCTGTCCATGAGTCCATCCAGAGCAAAATCCCGTTCCTATATAATATTGTTAACACAGAAATGCAGGCCTTGATAACCTGTCCTTTCAGGTGTGCCTGATTTACATTGCACAGCTATGAGTCTCAGGACTTTGGAAGCTTTTTTTTTTTTTTTTTTTGCCTTTAAAAGTTTGACTTTTATCATTCAAGCCTTGATATTATGCCACTTGTACTTCCAGTCTTGCAGCCTGCCTGTTTAATCCTCTCGTGCTTTCTTTGACATTTTAAGAAACTTTCAATTGACACACTTTGCTTGCAAAATTTTTTTAAAAACAGCTATATTTTTAAAGTGGCTTTGCGGTGAGTAAATCATGCCAACTGCATGTTCTCCTGTCTTTGTTGAGGTACTTATAGCTTCTCGACATTCTAAAATAATAATGCCAGTCTCAGATGTAGCTACTTTGAAACTTAAGAAAGAGCAAAGCAGTAACGTTGGATGGAACACAGACTTGTCTATGTCAAAAAATAATAATAATAATAACTGAAGCGTACATAAAAGTGAAAATCCTGGCTTGATGAGTTAGTTATTTTAGTCTGTTCTGGCCCTGAGAAATGATCAGATGCCTTGACAAGTTTATCCTTTGTAGAGTTGGAAAAAAAATCTCAAAGGAGAGAGTGGTTAGAACATGTAGTTCACAAAGGAAAAAAAAAAGTTTACTATTTCAGGGATTTAAAAATACTAAATCTGCAGATTATCAGCCTCAAATCCTTTTAGGAAAGAAATGGTAGCTAAATAATTAATGCTGCATATTTTAAAAACATGTAAAATATGAAACAAAAGGTCTGTTAGTGGAAGACGTACAGTCAGTAGGCTGCAGGAGGCTGCTCTGCTGTTTGTCTCTGCTGAATTACACCTGAGCAAACCAGCACTGATGTTTTTAAACATATAATTATGACTGTATGTGTTTTGATTATTGGATCTGAAAAGTTGTGGTACTGTCATCAGATGATTGTGTTTAAAAATAATTTTTTAGAATAATTGTGCATGTTGTCACACCTTCTCCAGTTGTGAGTTGTCACAAACATCCCCTTGCTCACTTACTCCTAACAGAGCCCTGACTCTATTCAGGTCTCTGCCCATTCTATCCCTGCGTGGGCGTCTGCCAGGAGGTGCATCCTGATTGGTTCCACCCAGTCGTTGTATCCATTCCCAGTGTCAGTGATTGGTTTGAGTGTGGGCACATGACACACTTCAGCCAGTGAGATGCGATGGGCAGCCTGGGGGAGGGATTTCTGGAGAAGGCTTCTTTGCTTCCAGTAGAGATGAACAGAGTTATCCCTTCTGCCTTTGCCCATGGCTGAGTATGGCTGTGATGCCTGGCAGTGTGGCTGCCAGCTTGCGACCCTGAGAGAAGCCAGCCTAGTAAGAGGACAGACATGGAAAGCTCTTGGCTTCCCATTGATGCTTGGAGTTGCTGAATCAACTAGCCTTGGAGCTGCTGTCCTAATACTATGGTTTGTCATGTGAGAATGTGGATGAGTCTCTTTGCTTGCTAGGGTTTTCTGTTACCTGCAGCCAAGCCATCTTTATAGATACATGAATTATTTAAGATAAAACAAAAACTAAAGTGCAAAAAGAACAAAGGTGACCACAACAGTGTCTCATATCATATCTAAGAGTGGTATTCAGCCTGGTCAGTGACGAGGTTTTCTGCCTAATGCAGCTCATGAACGCCTGTGCACTTACTCATTACACCTCCAGAAGGGAGCCCCATGAAGAGTACCAGCGTTCTGCTAACAGCAAGTTCTAGATCGGAAATTGGTTTGTCTGCTTAAACAGAAGTGAAATAACAATGGATTAAAATGCTGTGAGATTAATTTCTCTCACCCAAAATGATTTGAGCTGGAAGGCAATCAAGGAATGGGTGGCCTTGCCCCTTGGGGTTATCTAGGGTCCTTCTCTGTCATCCACTAGGATGTTGCTTCCATCTGCATGGTGAAAGTTGCTCCTCATCATGCCAGTGTTTCAGAGCCTGGAATAGGAGAAGAAAAACGTCAGGATGGTCTGGGGCAGGCAGCTTCCTTTTGATCTGGAATGGCCATATTACGTCCAATCACGACTCATTGGAAGAACTTGACCACATCTCTACAACAGTTGCAAGGGAGTTTAGGAAATATTCTCTCTAGCTGGATGGTCATGTATCCAGCTAAAATCCAGAGGGTTCTGTTCATAAGAGGAAGGAAGGAATAGACACTTGGGGCAGTTAGAAGCATCTGCCACATAGTATGTCTGCTACAGTGAAGAAGAACGTGACAAGGACAGATTGCTGGGTACCACTCTGAATGTGAAGCAAGGGTTTCAGCCATGCAGGCCAGCCTCCCTGAGCAGCTTGGAGCCTTTTGCCCCTCGGACCTGCCCTGGCCTCTCTTCAGGTAAATGAAGGGGTTTGAACCAAATGATATTTAAAACCTCTTCAAACTCTGACTTTCTCTGGCATGGTCTAGTGGAGATTCTATTTCTAGAGTTGGGGAGAGGGAACAAAGACAAGGGAGAAGTAGGGTAAGTAGCTCACTTGTGGCTGGTGGGTATTAAAACCATCAGCAAAATCACTGCTAATACTTACTGAGAGCGTATCAGAGGCTAGGTACTGTACCATGTTCCTTACATATCTTAACCCCACGACTCCCTCCCTATACAACCTATGAAATGGGCTCAGAGATTGTTCTCACTTCATAGATGAGGAAACTGTGGCTCATTATCACGTAGAGCAGGGCTCTAGACCTAGCCAGCTGACCCCAGGCCCATGCATTTAACAGCCTATTGTGGGTATGACTGGGAAATGAGGTGGGATTTGTGGGGTGTGGCCAGATCATAACAGGTCCTTAAAGCAGGGCAAAGAACATTGAGTTTGGTGCTGCCCTTTATTCAGGGCCTGCTTCAGGATCAATCTGCAGCACTGATCAGCACACCCCCTGTGTTAGTCCATTTTGTGTTGTAAAGGAATACCCAAGACTGGGTAACTCATAAAGAAAAGAAATGTATTTAGTTCATGGTTATGCAGTCTGTAAGAAGCGTAGTGCCAACATCTGCTTCTGCTGAGGCCTCAGGAAGCTTACAATCATGGTGGAAGGCAAAGGGGGAGCCAGCGTATCACACGGTGAGAGCGGGAGCAAGAGAGAGAAAGAGGAGGTCCCAGGCTCCTTATAACCAGCTCTCACGTCAACTAACAGAGCTAGAGCTCACTCACCAGCAAGAGGACGGCACCAAACCATTCATGCGGGAACCACTGCCATGACCCAAACACCTCCCACTAGGCCCCACCTACACTGGGGATTACATGTCAACATGAGATTTGGAGGGGACACATATCCAAACCATAGCACCACCTCAGCTCCCCACTGGCTTCCCCACAGCCAAGAGGCGGGTGTTACCACTCTATATCACATCTGGGCATGACAGTGACGCAGGTCAAATCACCCCTCACCACCCTAGGGTAGAAGACAGGCTGTTTTTCAGGAGGAGACCCCCAGGTGAGAGAGGGTCTGTGGTGCGGCAAAGTGCAAAATGTTCCAGGGGAGCCACGCCTCATGACTATTAGATATCCTTCAATATGTTGCCCCTGCTGAGAGGGGCAGGGAGGCCTCTGGGCCTGTTCCTGTCCAGTATTCCCCAAGGAGGCCAGGTGTTGGGAGGAGATAGGACCCTGGCCCTAGAAAATAAGGGTAGGTTCATGAAGTGGGCCTGTCTTTCAAGCTGGCCTGCCTGGTGGTGTGGATCCTGCAATCAGACCCCTCTTCCCGCTCCATCCTGCAGCTCAGTCAGCTTAGTGCCCAGAGGGCACTCCAGGGAAGGAGTGAGAATCAGTGAGTGTGTTTTCTGGTCCCACTGATGGTAGGACACCTTGAGGTCAGTGGGGAAGCTGGCCTGGGTAGAGGGCTGTGGGTGCTGGGCCAGGCAAGCCCATCCCTTGGAGAAGCAGACCCAGACATGGCAGGGGCACCCCAGCTCCGCCTGTGTGGCCTCTGGGCAGCTGGCTTTCCCTAGGCACAACACTTCCCTGCATGTATCAGTGTTGGATGTATCATCCCCCTCTCTGGCTCCTTTCACAACCCAATACCTCCCCACCACCTTTAACACCATCCCTTGAGTTCATTCTGTTTTCCTAAAATTCAGTCACAGATGCACCAACACCAATCTGCTCTTCAAGATGGAGTTCTGGCATTGCCACTTCAGAAATCCAATCTGCCGTATCCTAGCCTGGATGCAGTCTTCTTTCCTCCTGACAGCACTGGTTTGATAGAGCCTAGTGATCTGTTTACTCCCTACTTCCCTCGCCAGACTCTACACTTCTGTTTTTAAAAAAACTTCTTGAAACTTTTCTAAAAAAAAAAAAACACCTTTAACTTCTGACATACACAGAAGCAGAGAGGAGCAGATAATGAACCCTCAAGGATCTGTCACCCTGCTTCAACTATTGTCACCATTTTGCCAATCTTATTTCATCTATTCCCCTCAACCTTTTTATCTCCTCTGGAATATATATATATCTAATATATATTAGATATGTATATTATATATAATATATAAATTATGAATATATATATAATTTTTATTTTTTGAGATGAAGTTTCTCTTTGTCACCCAGGCTGGAACGCAGTGGCGCAATCTCAGCTCACTGCAGCCTCCACCTCCGGGGCTCAAGCGATTCTCATGCCTCAGCCTCTTGAATATCTGGGATTACAAGTGTATACCACTATGCCCGACTAATTTTTTGTATTTTTAGTAAAGATGTGGTTTCGCTGTGTTGGCCAGGCTGGTCTTGAACTCCTGTCCTCAAGTGATCTGCCCGCCACGGCCTCCCAAAGTACTGGGATTACAGGCGTGAGCTACCACGCCCGGCCCCTCTGGAATATTTTAAAGCTAGTCCTAGGTCTTGTATCGTTTCTCCCATAAATACTTTAGTGCCTTTCAGCTGGGACCTTCCATATGACAAAAACTGTGTCCTGTATCCTGTGTCCTGTGTTCTTACCACTTAGAATAGTGCCTGGCACTTACTGGCTCTCAGGAAATGTTATTTTGAATTGACTGACTGAATGAATGAGTGCGTGAACTGGCTTCAGCTTTTAGAAATGAGCCTGCAAATTAAGTGGAGAACTCTGGAATGTGAATAACTGCTGTGAACTCACAGCCCCTTCATCCCAGGTGCCTTCCTGGGGTTTCCAGGAGGCTCTGGAATCTGCGCATCTTCATCAGACTTCAAGGTTGGTTTTTCTTGGGCAAGCATCTTTGATTTGGCAATTAAACTCCACTTTGACGTGACTTTGGAAAAGGGGAACTATTAAGATATAGCTTTTACCTTTGCTTGACTCATATTTTGTTCACAATTGCAGACTTGAAGGGTTTTTTTTTTTAATTGTAATGCTGTATTTACTTAGGCCAAAATAATTCTGACCAAAAAAATCAACGTGTAGAATACATCTGAAGCATTTTCTTTAATACTACCTTTCTATTCTTGGTAATGGTATTTTAACTGCACAAATGAAAGGTAATTGTACATTTTCTTTCTAGCAGTTGTGGTCATGTTTAAAACCCTAAATTCTGTACACTTTGAAGGACAGCCTGGACCAGAGTTTGTCACTAGATGTGGTGTTTTCAGCTCTTACAAGGTGAAAAATAGGCCAAGGCTTGGGCCCTGGAACTCTCTGGTGGTAGAACGGTAGCTTGTAAAAATGCCTTTGACGTGTTCTTTTTCTCCTTTTAATTCAGAAATGGTATTCTTCATAATGTAATGGGAACTGCTTATTAACTAGTACTATGTTTCAAAATTGTATTCTAAAATCTTTTCTTTCACAGCTCAGACTTGTAATAAGGTTGAATTGAGTTAGCTGGGTTTTCTGTTTTTTGTTTTGTTTTTGCTGTTTCATCAGGAATTCAGAGTAATAATTCAATTTCTAGGTTTCAGATATTTGTACCACGTGGGTTTAGCACAGGGGACTGCAGCTGTGCCCAACAGACATGTGATGACTGACAACTATTTTATGTTCAGCCTGGACATATAACAGTTGTTTACACAGAAGTATTTGTGGGAATTGGATTTGGTCATGATGCCATGTTGAGCCAAGAGCATCTTTTCCACAGAAGGTGATGGGACTTGAGAGATGTTTGGGGATTAGAAGATGTGGGAGCTGTAATCCCATAGCACCTCACCCTGCCGGTGAAGCAGGGACTCTTCCTGTGGATCTTATTTTTAGGACTGTGAGCAAGCAGGCTGTGGGGGTCCCGCTCTGGGCTCAGAATCCTGGCTGTCGCCTGGCATAGCTTGTATGAGTCTCACCAGATGTCTTGAGGAGCTGCTATAGACCCCAGGGGTAGGCGCAGAGCTCCTATGGAAAGAAGTGCAGGAAGATGGCAGGAAGGGAACCAAGGACTGTGTGACTTCTTGAGTGGCTGTAGGAGCCTCCTACCTACCTGGAGATGGAAAGGGGGAAAGGGAGCTCTGGAAAACTCAGGCTGGAGATTGAACCACAGTGCCAGAAAGAGCCAGTTGGCTGGTACCTCATCCTCTTGGAGTGGGGCCCAACAGAAGCTGAGGCAGATGTTCCAGGCTGGAAAACCTAGGGCAAGGCAGGGACACAACAGCTGAGTCAGCCCCCAGGAAGGCTCATGGTGGCAGAGGAGCCATGAACATGGTTGCAGACGTGGCTGCCTACCCTGATGGATGGGATGGGGCCAGTGAGTAGGGGAGGGGCCAGTGGCCAGGATTTGAAAGCAGAGCCACAGCATGGAGCAGAAGCAATAGTTCAAGGAAAAGGGCGACTCCTTGTGTTTAGATTGTGGTATAGGTGTCTGTGTGATTCTTCCGGAGTGTGGAAGTCAGACATAGTACATATCTGCTCGACCGCAGGGCTCTGCCTGTTGTGAGATTTGCTCCCCACCGCCACCTGCTCTTTTGTCTCTTATCCTCAGTCTTATTTAAAAAGCAGGATCCTGCAGCTCAGAGAGGTGGAGCCAGTTGTCAAGACACACAGAAAATAAGCAGCAGAGCTAGGAATTGAACACAGATCTGCCTATCTTTGGAGCCTCGTCCTTTACACCACATTAGGGCTCCTTTCAGTCTCTTCCACTGAAGTGTCCCCAGCAAAGAAACACCCACAGCAGCAGAACTACGCACTCCACTTCTCATGTTGGACACAGGCACGTGCACGTATACATACACACACACACACGTATGCGCGTGTGCGCACACACACACACCCCTACTCCTTGGGGTCCTAGCTTCAGCTGCAAACTTCTTCAAATCCATGTGAATTTTGGATTCTATCATCATTTAGCCATTTTAATAAACCAAGACTAAAGTATGATCATTATCTTCAAGTTTTCTAGTGAAATGGGCTCCAAAAGAAGGCATCCTGGGATTCGGTGTTCCTCTGGCCAGGCTGTGTACATACACCCCTAGGGCTGTGATCACACCAGACTACTCCCTAGCACAAGTAGAAATAATGGAAATGCTGACCATGCTAGAGGCTATCAGAGGAGAGCCAGAAGTGGGAGGGTGCAGACCCCAGAGAGTATCAAGGGGAAACGGTGGATGTTCCCACTGTTCAGCAAATGAAAAGTCACAGATTGGTAGAGATGTCAGCAGTGCAGACTAGAAGCAGTCAGGCAGTTACACGATCCCAGCCATCTGGTTAACCTAACGTATTTAAATCTAAAACTAAATATAGCTGTTTTCCCAAAAAGCACTCCGCATATTAAAGAACGTAGACAAGATGGAGATTTTCATGTCGTGCCTACAGATGAGGATATTGAGATCTAGATCCTGGCTTAGAATTTCCTGGTGAAGATTCAAGGCATTTCCCATTTATTGTATCAGTTAGCTTTTGCTTTGTATCAAGCAAACTGTCACCACAGTTTGTTTCAAGGGAGCCTCAGCAGGGACTGCTTACCTTGGCTCCATGTGGTCTCTCATGCACCAGCAGTCTGGCCTAGGGTCTTCACATGGTGGTCTCAGTGTTGGAAAAGTAGTAAAGGAAGACAAGCCCCAATGCATAAGTACTTTTCAAGTCCCTGCTTGTAACACATCTGCTATTGTCCCATGGCCAAAACAAGTTCCTTGGCCAAGCCAAAAGTCAATATAGGAAAAGACCGGGTAAGCCCATGGATACAAAGAGCATGAAAAAATTGGGGGCTGTTACTGCGACAATTTACCATGCTATAAAACTGAGACTTATAGCAAGTAGCCACTGTTTCCACCAAATGCCCACCTGAAGACAACTGTAAACCATACTGTGGCTAATCCCTTATGAAAAGGCAGTGTCAGCCGGGCACAGTGGCTCACACCTGTAATCCCAGCACTTTGGCAGGCAGATCACCTGAGATCAGGAGTTCGAGACCAGCCTGGCCAATGTGGTGAAACCCTGTCTCTACTAAAAGTACAAAAATTAGTCGGGTGTGTGGTGGCAGCCACCTGTAATCCCACCTACTCAGGAGGCTGAAGCAGGAGAATCACTTGAACCCAGGAGGCTGAGGTTGCAGTGATCCAAGATTGCACCACTGCACTCCAGCCTGGGCTACAAGAGCGAAACTCTGTCTCAAAAAAAAAAAAAAAAAAAAAAGAGAGAGAGAGAGAAAGAAAGAAGAAAATGCAGTGTCAAGTAAGACCATAGGAAACATACTTAGCTGTCCTACTGGCCTCTCCCACAAGTCAGGGAGAGGGAAATCCCTTAAGAGCATGGAAGCAGGAAGTAGTTGAGGGACAAGACATGACCCAGCAGCAGAAACAAGGCCCTCGCCTCCCACATGCAAACGCAGGGCAACCAGCAGGCAGGTCGGCCTCTGAGGTGATGACACAAAAGACACCATGTGGCATCAGAAACCGGGGGTGGATGATTCCCCAGGGCCAGCACAGTGGCTTCCCAGGCCCAGAGTGAGAGGCCTGAAGACAAGATTTGCACCAGAGCTGCAGAGGGAGGGATGTGCAGGAGAACATGTGTACGTGTAGTACTGAGCTTCGGGCACGGAGGCACTGACTCTCGGTTAGGGATAGTGACTCATGGGACAGAAGCGTTTCCCTCAAGCTCTTCCTTTCCATCTTGGGCATGGGAGAATGGCTCCCACAAGAAGGGTGGCAAGAAGAAGGGCCATTCCGCCATTAACAAGATGGTGACCTGAAAATACACCATCAATATTCACAAGCACATTCAAGAAGCATATTCAAGAAAGGGCTTCAAGAAGTGTGCCTCTCCAGCACTCAGAGAGATTGAAGGAGAGGGGGACTTCAGATGTGCACATTCATACCAGGTTCAACAAAGCTGTCTGGGCCAGAGGACTAAGGCACGTCCCATACCGTCATGCGCGGCTATCCAGGAAACGTAATGAGGATGAAGTTTCAACAAACAAGCTCTATATTTGGTTACCTATGTACCTGTTACCACATTCAAAAATCTGGTCAATGTGGATGAGAACTAACTGCTGATTGTCACATATGCCAAATAGAGTTACAAAACCACAAAATCAATAAATAAAATGAAATTGGGATCTGTTTGTTAACAGAGATGCTGGTTGCTGGACACACAGGCGCAATCGTAAGGTGCAAGTGTGTTTTCATCAATCTGTTAGCAAATGTTCTCTTTTGGTAGAAAGTCTGACAGGTCGCTTAAACAAGTGGGTTTTCAAAGTCACCTACTGGGCCCTTGGGGAGGAGGTGGTAGGCAAGGGGCTCTGGGAGTCTGGCTCCTGCTTCATTCCCAAAAGATGTGCTTTTCGTAGTACAGCTTATTGAGATAGGATTCACCCCAGGTGTACAGCTCAATGGCTATATTCAGTTATATTCACAGTTACACAGCCCTCACACATTAGCAGATGAGCTTTTATCTGATTTTGTCTGTCTGATCTCTGAAGAAGATTATATTTGAATGGGGAAAAGATTCAAGTTTGAAATTACCGTTACAATCTAACTGTAGTTTAAGAACCTTTTCTAAAGAGACTATGGTTTGCAAGTTCTCTTTAAAATCCCAAAGAGAACCAGGAAATAAACTTGACTTCTAAAACTGATAGGGTAGAAGTTATAGTAGTCATTCATTTTTTTTTTTTTTCCCACAGAAGGGACATTTAGGACCTTATTCAGCTTTTTTAAAAAGTCCTCTTGCACACTTCCAATGTGGTTAGGGGAATTTTGAATAGGCAGGACGAGGCTTCCAGAAGACCCATGGATACAGCTGAAACAGGCTTAGTGGTCCAGGATGAAGGGAGGTCTCAATTAGCAGATGGAGCTAGTCGGTGTAGGAGCAAATCCTTTTGCACACCCAGACCATCCCCCAAGGCATTGGGGGACATGTTGTGATGATTGTTGTTCAGATTAACAATTACAATTAAAGAATACCAAGATCATTTCAGCAGAATGTCCACCAAAAAACCTTGAAGATTTAAAGGTTAAAGGTCACAGCAAGATGAGTCCGTGTGAAGATTTCCCTTATTGTCCAGCACATTGTAAATACCCAATAAACATCCTTTGCGTTTTTCCTTGGGAAGGTCATGTCTGTAAAATATCTCATTCCTTGTTGATGTCAGATAAGGCATTCAGGAACTAGTTTTTGCTTACTAACTTGAAGGGAGCATTCTCGCTTGGGCTTATTTGGGGGCAAAGACTAATCATAGAGCATGCTGTTGTTCTCCAGCTAGAGATGCATGCTTCCCTGCCGGGGGACTGGGCTAATCAGATTATTATCAGTTGACAAGTTTGGTTATTTTCAGTTGACAAATTTAGTTCTCCACCTCTAAACACTCATTTATCACCTCTGCTTTATTCACAGGACATGTTCCCGATTTGAGGTGAAACCATGAAGAGAAAATAGAATACTTAATAATGCTTTTCCGCAACCGCTTCTTGCTGCTGCTGGCCCTGGCTGCGCTGCTGGCCTTTGTGAGCCTCAGCCTGCAGTTCTGTGAGTAGAGCCGGGCCCCGCAGGTCGTGGGAGGGTAGGGGCTTCATAGGAAACAAGGAGGCCCCAAAGGCTTGTTTTATAAATGAATGATGAGGCTGAAGACAACGAAGTCTTTTTATTGTTGGCACTCACAGTGGCCGGTTGCAAGGAGGGATCCTAAACCACCGAGCAGTGTTCTGTGTGCTCTTTTGACTTTTGCATGAATTCCTGAACTGCCTGGTTATTCCCAGATTTTTTGTTCAGATTCACCAGATGGAGACACTGAGTGGCCCTGCTTGACTTCTTATGCTGAACCACACAGAGCAGAGGTGTTTAGCCCTTTGATTGGGTCCTTGCAAGTTGGGTGTCTGTTTAGCCTTCAGTCAGCCGCGGGGCTGGAGTTGTTTCGGGGAGGGTGGGGAGATTAGGTCACCAGTATCAAACCCACCCCCCAGGCAGCAGGGGCTGCATGGGAAATCCCCTGTGACGAGACAGGAGGACTCTGATAAAGCCAGGCCATGGGCCTCACCATGCAGCATCCTCCACTGAGATTCCTAGGCTCAGGCCAGGCCCCAAATCTGTGCACACTACAGCTCACCTAAGAGTGGCTGTTCTCAGACACAGATCTGGCCCCAGGACCTCCTTAGTGGCAACACCTCAGTGGTGGCCCATGGTCTTCTGAGAGGCCCCTTGCCCTCCTGTGGCCCCTCTCTGCTGCTTCTGTGCTCAGATCCTGGTGCTCCTTTGCCAAGAGCGTTCTCCTCCTCACCCCCTCTCATTGTTTCCCTTTCAGCCCTTGCCCCTTCTCCTCTAGGACCCTTCCAGGAATACTTAAGGGTTTGGTGCTTCTTTTATATACATCAGGATGCCCTGAATCCTTGAACCTGTCTCCCTCCCTCCTTCCCTTCCTTCCTTCCCCCGTTTTTTTCTTGAAATAGGGTCTTAGTCTGTTGCCCAGGCTGGAGTGCAGTAGCACGATCACAGCTCATTGCAGACTCAACATCCGAGTTTAGGAGTTTAGGTAATCTTCCCACCTCAGCTTCCTGGATAGCTAGGACTGGAGGCGTGCACCACCACACCTAGCTAATTTTTTGTATTTTTATAGCGACAGGGCAGGGTTTCACCATGTTGCCCAGACTGGTCTCAAACTCCTGACCTCAAGTGAGAACATAGGTGTTACATAAGCATAAACCTGTGCATTATGGATTAGTGCCATTTTTTTCAGCACAATAATAAGCAACCAATAAAGCAATTAAATAAATGGAGCAATTAAACTCCATTTCTACAGAAATGGGGAAATTCCAAAGTCACAGTTTACCTAGAAGAAGAAGAGCAGTAAGAACATCAGCCTCCCTAAGTTCTGGTATTACAGGCGTGAGCCACCACGCCCGGCCCCCTCCTTTCACTAACCATGCACTAGTATAATTTTCAGTTCTTGTGTCTTTTCCTTCTACCAGATTGTCTGCTCGTTGAGAGCAGGACCACATCCTGTTTCTCTCTGTATCCCAGGAACCAGCACTGCCTAGCACGTAGTAATATTTTGTAAATGTCTGCTGAATGCATGAATCCATGCCTGCTCTAAAAAGCAGATGGAACCTTATTTTCTTTCCTTCTGTTGCTGTGTATTTGAAGCTGAGAAAACATCTGTGTGATGCCAGGAATTGTGTTGTTGCTGTCACCTGCCTTCTCTCCGTTTAACCACCTCATCCTGATGGGTGGGAGACAAGCAGTTGGCACCCACACCACCCAGGACAGCTGTGTGAGGAGGGGCATTTCTGTTGCAGTTTGAATGATGGAAAGAAGGGCAGGTGGCTCGGTAAGTGGGATGTTATGAGTACACAGAGGAACATGGGGAAGGCTTGGCTCTAGGAGGAGGTGGTTTCAAGAGAGGAGACTTTGAGGAAGTTTCTCTGATTCACTTCCAATTGTGACATATTTCCATGTACATGCATATGACAGCCTATTTCTAATAGTAAAAAGAATTTAAAATACTCGTTTTATCCTTCCAGAATTGGAAAAGAGGTCAAAAGAAGGTGGGCATCAGAAGTTTAAAAATATTCCAGATGGCAAATGAATTGTAAAATCTGAATCCTTTCCAAAAAGTGTGGTAAGATATTCAGTAGTTTAATTGTTTATAAATTTTCATTAAAAATTTTCCATCCTTTGGTTGGAGAGGTAGGATGTTACAGTCAACCCTGATTTTATTTTGAGAGGCTGACAGGTTCTGAGACATGAATGTGTGTTACTTGTGTTTGTGGCATTTCTCTTGCATGAGCTGGTTTCCACGTCACTGAATTGGCCTGTGTGTTTTGCTTATATAACTCTTCTGAAAGTACCTTCTGTTTTAGGAAAGCCAATTTTCAGCCATACTTTTTTAAGGAAAATTTTGCAGGGTAAATTAGCCTGTCTGGGTCTGAGCTCTTTATTCTTGGATACGTTGGAGATCGGAAAGATATTAAGATATGGACGTTCTTACTGCTCTTCTTTTAGGTAAACTGTAACTTTGGAATTTCCCCATTTCTGTAGAAGTGAGTTTAATTGCTCCATTTATTTAATTGCTTTATTGGTTGCTTATTATTATACTGTAAGAAACAGCACTAATTCATAACGCACAGGTTTCGCTTATATACCACTTATGTTCTCATTCTTATCCTAAAATATATGGACTTTTTTCTTTACCATTTCTTTTTACTTATTTTTGAATACCAAATTAGCATATATAATTACTTTAAGTAACATATTTGAGGCAACTAAGTATAACTCGGTTTTCTCATGCTTTAAGTAAAGAATATAGCTTTGTTATCTGAAATGATCGTATATCTTATTTGGTCTTATTGGTAGTTTTCTTTTCCTGATGTTTTGAATGTGAAGAAGAAATAGCCCAGGTTACGATTCAAAAATCAGATTGCTTAAATAAGTATGTCTTCCTCTGGATACAGAAAGTATGTAGTGAACCTACATATATTTATTAAGTGCTTATGTGTGTTTGACGTTTTTCTACACTGTGGAAGTGGAGGTAGTAAGGAAATACAGAAAAGATTAAGATACTGTTCACAGTTTCTCAAAATATGTTCATCTTAAATGGTGCTAATGACTTGCTATATGCTAATTGTCTTTAATAAAAATAAGTCTATGTTTTCAAGTCTTTAATGTTTTGTGTTTGGAAGGTGAAACATTCTGAAATTCCTGATGTTTGAATTGTAGAAGGGAACAGGCAAGGCATAGATATTTTTGGTTATTGTAGTTAAAATACATACAAGTGGAAAAATAACTTCAAATTAAAGGACTCCTTTAGTGCAGCAAGGAAAGACTGTCAGGATGTGAAGACTTAGGAATCATGAGTTATGTTTCCACTTTTTGTGCTCATTTGTAATCATTCACTTCCCTCCTTGGCCCTTGCATTTTCTTAATGCTGATTTTATGCTCATTTCTCCATGTTCTGACCACCATTCCCAAAATGGTGTTGTGACAGGAGCACGCAGGCTCTAGAATCATAATTTGAATGTCAGCTTCCCTGCTAAGTGGCTGTGTGTCCTATTCCTTCTTCTGTAAAATAGAGTTAATTATTGCTGTTTTGCAAGGTTGCTGTGAGAACGGAGATACGGGAAAACCCTTGGCTCATGGAAGCATAGCCAACATAAACCTTTTAAGCAAACCAGCGCAGAGTTCCGTCATAGTGCACCATCATCAGAAACCAGGGCTCCTGGTGTTCCAGAAGTTGCCAGAGTTTATGTTACTTCAGCCACTTGGTGGGGAAAGCTTTTGAAATAGATCACGCATGCATTTGTTTTTAATCAGAGTGCGTTGGCCATGATGGGGTTAATTTATACTGAGCACATGGCACCCATATCTGGGGTTTCCCTCTTGGTCAGGGCCCCGATTGGCCAGAGCAGAGTCGAAGGAAATGCTGAAGGTGAACTGGAGATTCAGATTCCCAGTGGGAAAAGAGGAAAAGAGGAGGGCTAACCTGCAAAAATGAGAGTGAGGGTTGCTGTCAATATCTGAAGGGCCCTTTCTGCAAGAGGAGGTGAACATGGAGACACATTTCAGTTAAGCATATGGTAGAACTTCCTAAAAGTCAGTGCCATGCAGAGGTGGAATGGATGGTGTGTTCTCCGTCACTGGAGTCTGCAAACTCTGGAGGGCTGCTCTTTGAAGAGTAAAGTATTGGACAGGTCATTGAGTCTGATCCCATTTAAAGTCTCTTTAAACTCTAGGTTTTATGAATTTTATCTTTTCTCATTGATCCAGTGCCATGAGTATGTGACACTTTGTTCTTTAGCAAATGTTCTTTAGTTTCCACTGTGTGTTAGGCCCCGGGCTGAGAGTTTAATCCCTCATGGGCCCCAGGGAGCTCTTTGTCCAGTGGAGAAGAATCACAAGCCGACACCCTGGAATACCAGGTGCTGTGTGCTGGGACAGGTAAGAGGCAGCAGCACAGTGGGGTCAGAAAGAACGTGGGCTCTGGAGTCAGACTGCCTGGATCAAATCCTTGTCCTGCCACTTACCAGCTATGTGACCTCAGGCAACTTCTTTACCCTCTCTGTGCCTTGGTTTCCCCATCTGTAAAATGGGGACAATGATAGTTCGTATTTCATAGGGTTGGCAAAGGATTCAGCAAACTAATATTTATAAAACACCCAGAACAGTACCTGGCACATAGTAATCACTACGTATGTGTTTGTTAAACAAATGAATTAGAGATCATTTATGGAAGAGTAGTATGAGAGACTAGAGTACAGGAACCCAATCCAGCTTGGAGTTGGGGAAGACCCCCTAAAAGAGGTGGCATCTGAGTTCATCCTTTAAAGAAAGCAGGAGTGGTCAAGGAGGCAGCTGAGTACAGGTGCTCCTGGCCAAATGTGCAAAGGCAGAGTGAGAGAGAGCAGGCCCAGGTGAGTCACCTGTAGGTAGTTGTGAAGTTGGAACAAAGTCTGGGACCTACCTCCTATCACTACACTATTCCTGAGGCTGTGAGGAGCCACTGAAGCGAGGAAGACACCATCAGATTTGTGTCTTGGAAAGACTACAGTCCAGCACAGTGTTTTCCAAAGCACCTTCATCAGAATAACCTGGGAAGCTTGTCAAAATGCATGTTCCAAAACCAAAAAAAAAAAAAAAGCACATTTTGTGCCCTTCCTTACAGAATCAGAATCTTGGTGGTAGTGGAACCCAGAAATCTGCATCTTTAACAAACTCCCTGGGTGAGTCTAATGCACACAAAATCTAAGAACTGCCAATCCAGAGGCTTGTGAAAGGGTGATGCTGGGAGGCACCTCAGAGGCTGTTTTGCTCATCTAGTAGCAAGCTGAGGGTGGCCCCAATGAAGGTATTGACCCTGAAAGGAAGAAGCAAAGCCAAGAGACGTCATGGTGGTTCTGTGGAACTCTAGCTAATTGGGTGGTGTCGTGGGGCTAGGATGATGGTATCGGGGGGACTCTACCATGGCACCCAGGAGTCTGGCTCGGGGAGTTCAGTAGACACTTCATTCATGCATGCATTCATTCACGTAAATGACTCATCTCCATCTGGGATAAGTCTGCCATAGGTGGAAGTAAATTCTCAGAACACAGACTGGGAAGTCAACCATGCAGGGCTGGTGGCTCCCTGGGTCTGAAGAAAGAGGCCACGGGAAAGTGCTCAGAGCAGGAAGGGAAGTGGGACAGGGCCTAAGCAGCAGGACAATCTGGGGCAGAGCAGGAAGGAGACCAGGCTGGGAGGAGTCACTGAAGGGCATGGACATCATTGGAGGTAGCCAGCGGGCCCAGTGGATGCAGTGTCCTGCCTAAGAGTGGACCTGAGGGTCTGAGGCCTATGAGAGACCCTGTCAGAAGCCACCATCTGGGGACTTTGTATTCCCTGCTGGTGAAGCCCTGGTTTCCGGAGGACCAGGGCTCCTTGGAGCAGTGGAAGCTGCTCCAGACCAACAGCCTGTGAACTTGTTTTGTTTGGCCCAACCCCTGTTTTTAGATTTTTTAATTTATTTACCAAAGTTTTAAAACTAGGCAATTTCATGTAAACTTCCAGCTCCTCTTTGAAAAACCAGACTCTGCAGCAACCTGAGGCCCACGGAGCATTACGGGGACCGCTGGCAGGAGCCGGGCAGCTGAGTCGGGGCTGCCACCCTGGGTGGGGAGAGTGCTGTCTTGGTCGCCACAGCGCCCACCTGCCTAGTCCCTGTCAGCTTCTGAATTTGTGCCCTGCGGTGCAGATGGAAGAGAGAGCCAAAAGAAAATCTGGGCAGATAGAGGACAAGGGGCCACGAAGGAGACAGAACAGCAGCAGCCAGGGGGTGGACTGTGGACAGGAGTGGTCTAGAAGCCAAGGGGGCAACCTGCTTAGAAGTTCTCAGGTGGGGAGCTGAGGAGGCCCCACTTAGCCAGCTCTGTGTGTGTGAGAGAGGGAGAGACAGAGGGAGAGAGGGAGAGAGAGAGATGGGGGGAGAGAGGGAGAGATGAGGGGGAGAGAGGGAGAGACGGCGGGGGGAGAGAGGGAAAGAGTGTGCATGTGTTTTCGATAGTTTCCCTGGGAACTCTTCTACCTGCAGAGCTATCGTGTTTCCTGTGGCCCTGATCCCCTATATCCCCTCCCTTTTTCTGTGCTGCTTTCAGTCTGATATCCGCTAAGAAAGAAAATAACAATGCTTGATAGAACAGTGTGTACATTAACATAGAACTGCCTCTGAGTAGGCAAGCAAGGAGCCCTGACAGGTGCCAGGGTGCTGTGACACCTTCCTCGGTGGTTCAGACCCTTGTGTCCTCAGTCCTGCTCACTCTTGTAGATGGCCATTAGCATTTGTGGTTTCGACTCTTTGCAGGGACCCCTGAGATCTGTAGTATATGGTGATAGTGATTCTGCCGAGGCACACGTCTTGATGAAAGTAGCAGGAAGTGAGCTGCTCAGCTGCTGAGGGAGCCACGTCCTGCCACACAGCCAGGGGAGGTGGTCGTCCTCTGTTCTTTGTCCTGTGTACGTTCAGTGGAGAAAAGTACAGAGTGGTATGTTTGAATGTGGGGATGCGTGAAGATCTCAGTATGCTTCATGGAAAAGATTTGGGGATGCAAGCCCTTAGAATGCACAGGGTCTAACGTACTGCGTCCTCTATTCTAAAAGCCCCAATGCGCTTCCTCCTGAGCTTTTATTTTGTTCAGCTGGAGACAAAAAGTATGAGAAATTGAAAGTGAAGGTTTACATTGTTAACCTAAGAGTTCTGTCATATCGCCATCTCTTCATTGTGACCAAAGTTTTAAATTCTGTATTTTTTGTTAATTTTGGTCCTTTTCTTAAAGATTTTACTTTCTGTTTGATTTCTGGGAGTTTTAATTTGCTTTTCCTCAGAATGCTTTATGTCCAGTTGCCACATAGAGTTAAATATCTGCAGGTGAAAAAAAAAAAAACACCATAGATGAGTGACAAAATTAAATCTGACAAATAAGCTGTTGTCACAATTTCTTAAGCTCATGTTGTAGATGCATTGGAGTGGGAAGGTGAGAGTGTCATGTAGCAGGTTCTTCTGCAAGCTGAGAATGGACACATTTATGTCTGTGGGTCATTCCTAGTTTTCTTTCAGGGTGGAGCTAGATAATGACCTCCCTCCCTCCCTCTCTGTCTCCCTCCCTCCCTCTGTCCCTCTCTGTCTCTCTCCCTCTCTCCCTCTCTCCCACCTTCCCTTTCTCTCTTCTTCCCTTTTTTCTTCTTAGTTCCTTATCTTAAAGAAGTTCTCATCAATAATTAGATGAGGGGATAGAGATATCTGTTTAAAGATGTTTACTGCAGCATCATTTGTAATAGGAAACAAAGGAGAAGGCAACCAACGTGTACAACAGTAAATACCCCATTACCTCATGATCACATAGACCTGTCTCTATTGACTTGGAAGGTTGTGCATAATATATTAAATTTTAAAATGGTACCTTTATATGCGGGTGGGTGGGGGAGAGAGAGAGAGAGAGAGAGAGAGAGAGAGAGAGAGAGTGTGTGTGTGTGTGTGTGTGTGTGTGTGTGTGTGTCTTGAGTCAGCAAGAGCAAATACTATCACGGCTAGTTAGTAAAAATAGAAAGCATTAGTAGAAGTATTCAGTGAATTCAGGAAAGTGCCTGGAGATCTCTAAGATCCACTGAAGAGATGAACAGAATAGAAAGCCACAGGATTTATGTGGCTGTACCCACTGCAGGGAGAGCGCGAGGCCAGCTGGAGTCTGGCAGGCAGAGTGTGCGCCTGCTGAGCCAAGCCACGCAGTGCAGACCCCGCTCACTCCCTGTTGTCTTGGCAACAGGGCTTTGGCCCCATGCTGATGACATTAAAAGGAGGAAGCCCACCTTGAAATGAAGTGAGTGCTGATCAGAGGCAGAGCCCTGTTATGTACCAGCAGCCCCACCTCACAAGAGAGAAGGAAGAGGCTGATCTAAAAGAGGAGACAAGGGCAGAATCTGAATCCTGTACACGAGGGTGAAGTAGGGCGGGCACCTGGGAGGGAGCTCTGGGACTGCCTCACCATCCTGCCCTCACTACCATCCTGCCCTCCTGCCAGTGCGGCTGTCACACACACTACAGATGTTACCCTGTGCCTCAGAGCCGTAGCTCAGGGGTGGGCTCAGGTGGGAAAGAATGGGGAGGTGGCTGGGATGCATGGCCCCTCTCTAGGATTTATCTGGCTGGAGCTTCAGCATCACATCTTGCCTCTCTTTGCCTTTCTCTTTTCCCTGTGTCATCCGAGGGGCTGGACTCCACTGGCCAGGGGTCTGCCCGTCCACACCACCCCTAGGTATCTACCAGAGGGTGGGGCAGCTCTTGTGGGATGTCCACATGCCTGAGAGTGCAGGCCCCACCCTGGGCCACATTCTCTCTTTCCTTGAGGTGGCCTCCCCAAAGCCCCTCGCCTGTCTGGCTATGTCTTTTGAGCCTTTACACAGAAGGCAGACAACCCACCCACCCTCAAGGACAGGTTGCTGGTTTGGTGGCCTCAGTGGGTTGCAGACCTTTGAGACACAGGAAACTTATTTGCTCCTCTTGGGGAGAGAGAACAATGTCCTTGGGCCTGAGTGACCATCCGTCACCATTCCCACCGGAGCAGGGACAGAAGCACATGTTTAGCCTCTGGCAGGGCACATATATACTCAAATACTAAAATATTCCTTATGGGGTTCTCTGGGTGGTAGGATTTATGGGTGATTTTCCTTTTCTTTTTATACTTTAGTGTTGAATGACTATTTTATGATGAACTCATGTTTTTTATGACCCCTTTTTATTTTGAAAAAAGAAAATCTGTTCATCTCTTCTTGAGTGTTGAAATTGAAAACCTGTTTCCAGGTACTTTGGGTTCTTAGCCTGAACCTGTGGACTTCTGCATTGTCCCATGGGGTTTCAGGGGTCTTGTAAACCCCCAGAAGTCCAATTCACAAGACTGTGTTCGCATCGTCTTTCAGAGATGAGGATCAATCGTTTTCATCAGGTTCTCAAAGATGAGGGTCATAACCTTCATGACCCAAAAAGGTTAAGGAGACAGGTTCTTTTCATGGTTCTTTTTGGAGGCCTGTCCTGGAAATCTCTTATTTCTAGTTTCTGTCTTGAGTGTGTGGTGATTTGGAGTCTGGTGTTGGCATCATCTAATCCAATGGCCCTGTTAGGGTAAGGCCAGTTACCAGCAGCTCCCAGAAGAGTGTGGGGTTTCCTGACTCCTCTGAGAGGCTGCAACTGGGGCTCAAGCCCAGGCCACAGGGGGAGCCCCCATGCCCAAGCAATGGGTGGACTTAGGTCCCAGAGGCAAATGTCAGAGGAAAGGGTCAAGGAGGGAGGAGATAGAGCGTGCAAATAGCCCAGGGAGCAGAGCTCCAGGCTGATAGGATGTGCCCAGCCCTGAACTCTGCTGGAGTTCTCCGGCTCCCTGAATGCTACCAGGCGTATCAGAAGCACTTAATAAATTCTTACCTAATGTGGTTCACCATGAAGCAACATTAAGAATGAGGAAAACAAGAAAGGTTGGTGTATTGCAGCTCAAAGTGGATAGATCAAAATGGCAAGAGCAGATTCAACTGTTTGATCAATCTCATTTATGTAAAACCAAGTGTCTCAAAGTCTACAAATGTGGGCTTGACTTTTCCCATTTCACCTGTATAACATGATTCCCACTCCAGCCTTTAAAAGCAGACGATGAGAGGCAGATAACAACTGTGGACTCTTCGTTGTGGTTCTGGTTTTCATTTGACAGTTACAGTGCACTTTTAAAATTCAGTACAGGTTAGAGACAGGGCGGGCATTTAAGATAATTTAGTGGGTTGAGGAGCACTAAGGGAATTGTGGGAACTGACAGAGCGCGTCATTATTCCTTGGCAGACCAGTGAAGGAGAGAGAATTCAAGAACCTTTTGGTTTATTTGCGGGGAGAAATTGGAGAAATTAGGTGGCAGGACTGGGGGTGTTTTAGCTTATGAGGAGACGCTATCTCAGATAAGCTGAATGTATTTAAGGGAGCCAGAAAAGCTGCTAAAATTGGAGTGGCCAAGAGGAGAAGGGAGATTGGCTGGTTGTGCTTTTGTGAAGGGGTGGACGCAGGGGTTTGATATCCCTTCCAGATCCCAAGTTGAAGGGAGCGCCTTTTAAGAGCCTGCAGGAAACAGGAATAATCACATCCAGGGGATGGATGTAGAAAATAGCATTCATTCATTCATTCATTTATAAGATGGAGTCTCACTCTGTCACCCAGGCTGGAATGCAGTAGTGTGATCAGGGCTCACTGCAGCCCCGAACTCCTGAGCTCAAGCGATCCTCCTGCCTCAGTCCCCTGAGTAGCTGGAACTCTAGGCATGTGCCACCATATCCTGCTCACTTTTTAAACATTGAAAATAGTATTTCTTGATTCCTTACCAGAATCCATTCACAGGTGGTATCTCAACATCATCATTACCACCCTGATCTGTAGGTATCATCACCTTCATTTGACAGATGAAGGAAATGAGGCACAGAGAGGCAGGGATACTTGCCCCAGGTCACACAGCTAGGAGGTAACAGAGCCAGGACATGAATTCACATCTTTGTAATACTATAGCTCATTTGCAGCCCCCAGCCCCAGGCTACCTCCCTGCATTCAGAACCATGGTAGCAGGGGCAACTGAGGACAGATGTCAGTGGAGTTCCAAGGAAAAAGTGACTGTAGTCCCCTAAGGAAGTGACTAGCCCAGTGTTGAAGTCCCAAAAAGGGCAAGGCAGACCCTGGAGCTAGGAAGGTAAACAGATAGTGGAGCTGGACCTTGGCCCCAAGAGGTTCTTTGCTGGTGTAGTCAGTGGGGTGACTTGTGTGGCAGCTGATCCCAGAGCAATGGAGACAGAGCTGAGCCAACACTTTAGCCTCATCATGCTCACATTTCCCGGGAAACTCTGGGTCCCTGATACCCAACTGTAATCTGCCAGGTATCTGTGTAATCAGAAGAAGGCTGACAGCCAAATCACACAAGCATGGGGATGGCAGGAGGGAGGGGTTTGGAAGCCATCTGACTCCCACTGCAGAAGTGTCTTCCACATGGGACAGCCTGTCTTTCCTGGAAAGGTCCCTTTATTAGCACAGCTGCCTAGAGTCAGGTCCTCATCCCTGGGCTAGTTAGCAAGGCGGAGACATGGTCCTGGAGGAGCAGCATGACAGCCCCCACCGGGCCATGGGGTTGGCATGAGAAGAGGAGCTGCTCCCAAAGGAGGATGGGTCTGTCGCCACAGAAGGAAGTGGGGAGAGATGAGCTGACCCAGGGTTGGGGCCCTTCATTGTGCTCCATTAAAGTCAGTTTCAAGGCACCTGCAAGGAGCTTGCATACAGCAGTTTCCTAAGGCAAGAAGAAGGCCACATATGCAGGTAGATTTCTGTCCTTGGCCCTATCCCAGGGCCTTGGTATAGGGAGGTGACCTGGATATCAGGGAGGTTGGCTTGACACCCTAGGGGAAAGAAACTGGTGTGTCCTTGTGCAAGTCAGAGTAACTCCCAGATAATGAGGTGGCAGCAGATACTCGGTTATAACTTTATCTGCTGCCCCTATGGTTGTTGAGTTTCAGGGATAACTAAGGTGCCCTGAGGTTCAAAGGCTAGACAGGGGTTTGTGGCCTAGCAACCTGTGCTGTTATGATCTGACTCTGACCCTGGCCTTTTCCCTCCTTATTTTCTATTCCATGGGGACCATCAATGGAATAAACAAAAAATCAAAATGAGCAAATCATCATTAGATGAAACATGTCTCTCTAAACAAGTTTCTAGTGTTCGCTACTAACCCAAGTCTAGTTGATTAAGTCGTGTTTTGCTTAAAGCTGTTATTGACCACTCCTGGGCTCTCTAGAGGGACAGAACTAATGGAATATATACGTATATATATATTTATAAAGGGGAGTTTATTAAGTATTAACTCACATGATCACAAGGTCCCACAATAGGCTGTCGGCAGGCTGGGGAGCAAGGAAAGCCAGTCCAAGTTCCAAAACTGAGGAACTTGGATCCGATGTTCAAGGGCAGGGCGCATCCAGCATGGGAGAAAGATGTAGGTTGGGAGGCTAGGCCAGCCTGTCTATTCATATTTTTTCTGCCTGCTTATATTCCAGCTGCATTGGCAGCTTATTAGATTGTGCCCACCCAGATTGAGGGTGGGTCTGCCTTTCCCAGCCCACTGACTCAAATGTAAATCTCCTTTGGCAGCACACTCATAGACACACCAAGGAGCAATACTTTGTGTTCTTCAACCCAATCAAGTGGACACCCAGTATTAACCATCACATCTGGTAACTTCCCAATATTTCCTTTATATCCATGTCTTCACTGCATCGTTTCCATACCTGCACCCCCCAACCAGCAACCAGTGAGTGCAGGGGGCCCCGTGCCTGAGAAGGCTATTTTCTCCTTATGGTCCATGTGCTTTCTCCCCACCTTTTCTTATTTAATGTCTGACTGTCCCCCGCAACTGGATTGTAAACCCCGTGAGGGCAGAGACCTTGTCCATTTTATTCTCTGAAGAATCCCCAGCATGTGCTCCATACATGTTGGATGGCCAGATGGACAAATGCATAAATACCGAGCTTAGTGGGTGAGCAGGTCCGGGCTTACAGGCTTCAGGACCTTAGGTAACTCCCTTGACCTGCCTCTGCCTAAGGTCTACTGTCTGGCTGATGGTTACTCTTCCTAGGTTGAGATCCAAAGCTGGGAAAAGCAGAGAGAGGATCAGTTTGGCTTGCATCCTAGCTATAGCTATGGGAATGTTTACTAGTAATACATACAGAGTCATCCACTGTGCATTCGGGAGATGGGGTGGGGAAGGGTGGTGGGGAGGGAGCCTGCGTGGGATAGCATCTGGTTGTTTTACTCATGATTCTAAGAAATTTGTTGGTTGCTTTTGAGAGGGAGGGTCCCAAGGAGATGCTTTAGAGGTCATGTTCTCTGCCATTTCTTTGAAATTGAGACCTTGTCGGCATCTTTACACATGAGGGTTATAGATGTGTGGACAGGATGAAAGTGATCGTAGATGAGATGAGCAGAGAACACCGCCATAAAAGAGAGGCTTATTTCCAAAGGTAGCTTACGGAAATTTGCCCTCCTACTTGGTAATCACACCACAGAGAAATTGCATGCCCGTTGGTACAGAGTTAATCATCAGTAAAAGATATCTCGTATCCTGTTATTCGTGTTGGTCCTGGTGGCACAGTGGCCCCAGGACACTCATTTAGATTCATGGGTTTTCCCACCTACATAATGAAACTCGTTATCCTTCCATCTATTTATCTGCCCACTATTCTTTCTGATGCCCCCACAGCCTCTTTCTCTTGCCCTGTGACATCTGAGCTGCTGTCATCTGCCTGAGGTCAGCAGAGTTTCTAATTGTTCCACAGGACAGCTAGAGGCACGGGGGGCCTGGGCAAAGCCTGCTGGGAGGAGCAGTGTCCTGGAGCAGTGTCTGCCCCCAGCCCCTGGGTCTGTCCCTCAGCTCCCTTTATCTAGGTGATCGGGGCAAGCCTCAAGAGCTGATGTGGTGAGTAGCACAGCACCAGGGCAGAGGCGGCCTGCAGCCCGGGGTCTGCTCCTCCAGGCCCCTTCCCAGCCTTCCTCCTGGAGCCCGGCCTGCACATCGACCCTGGTGAGGCCAACCTGACCAGGCCTTACGGGACCCAAGGCGTATCCTGAGCCAGCTTGCTGACCCCCATCTGCCATGTTTGGCTGTGTTTCACGGCCTCCCCTCTGCTCCTCTCCTCTTCCCCTCCACACAGCCAGCTTCATCAGTTTTTCAGGCCCAGCTAGGTGTCTCCTCTGGGAAGCCTGTTTGGATGCCCCTCACCCCAGACTGGTTCGGCAACCCTCAGTGCTCCACATGAGGAGTCAATGAGATATTTCATCAAAAGCATGGAGCACAGCGTCTGCCCCAGTTCAGCAGGTATTTTTGGAAGACCTATCCTCTGTCAGTCAGCGGGGGATATAAATGTGAAAGACGCACACTCCCAGCCCTCTGGATGTTTGGGATGGCAGGGTGACAAACTGGGACACCCCTGCTTGCATATACTATGCTGTGAGCCATGACGGCAGCAGGAACTGGGTAGGCTCATAGAAGAGGATGTGGGAACTGGGGATTCAGGGCGGGCTTCCTGGAGGAGGTGACCCTAGGATCAGTTACAGTGTTGGTCAGATTTCGGGAGCAGAGGGTGAGAGTAGAGTTGCCAGCAAACGGTGGAGCATAGGCGAGAAACATCCTGTGGGGTGGGATGGCTCAGAGCAGCTCAGAACAGTGAGAACCAAGTTGGGATTGGGGTCAAGATGGAGCTGGGGAGACTTCTCCTCACAGCTTCTATGTGTCAGGACCTGTTTTGAATGCCTGGTATTGGGAAGGCCCCTTGTGAACTGATGCTATGTCCTGGTGACTCAGGGAGGTACAAATAGTACAGGGTGATCTCACACTCTGAACTAGTAGACACAGTTGACAGGCCCAGATACCAGAGGAAGCAGCAGATAAAATCTTTCTGGAGAGAAGGTCTCATTCTGATCTTTATCTGTGGTTTTCAAACCACTGCTTCCTTGGGTCATGGGTGGGTCATTTGCACCCAACCACCATGGTTCCCAAATGGCAGCCACAACAGGCCTCACCCCGGGTGCTTATAGATGAACTAGCAAACTGTGGGCACTCTAGGACACCCACTGTCCTCACCTGTGCCCCTCCATTTCTGTGTCACTCATATTATCCTGTCTCCTTAGCTGCTTCTGTCCCTGGCCCAGACTCCAAGGGAGTGTGCCCACAGGCATGGCCAAGGGGCCAGGACTTGGTAGATTTCACAAAAGAGCAGAATCAAGGACTGAGCCAGCCAGAAGGGCCAGGTCACTAAGAGACTGCCTTAGCACTTTTCTATATTTCCGTGCTCTTGTGCTAATCCCCCTGTAGTGAATTCCCTCTGAACACCTGGGCTGTGTTAGCCATCCTAGCACCTTCCAACTACTGGAAAGAAAGTGGCCCTAGGAGCAACCAAAGGGCTAATGTTGGGTGGGTGAATCACCAGTTCTGTATCTCTGTGATTGTTGTTTTGGTAACACAAGTAATGAAGGGAAATACGTTCACTGTAAAAAAAAAAAAAATGCTTACCTAGACAGCATAGAAATACAGAAATATATATTTCTATACATATAGAATACATTAATATGTGCTTACTATAAATACATATGCAGTCATGTACCACATAATGACTTCCATCAACGACAGAACACATATATGACAGTGGTGCCATATTATAATACCATATTTTTACTGTATTCTTTCTAAGTCGAGATATGTTTAGATACACAAGTACTTACCATTGTGTTACAACTGCTTACAACATTCAGTGCGGTAACATGCAGTTCAGGTTTGTAGCCTAGGAGCGGCAGGCTGACCAAATAGCCTAGGTGTGTAGAAAGCTCTACCATCTAGGTTTGTGTAAGTGCACTCTATGATGTTTACACTATGACAAAATTGCCTAAGGGCCATCTCTCAGTGCCTCCCCATTGTTACGCAACTCATGACTGTACGTATATGTGTGTGCGAATATACAAACAAGTAAAAATACTTTTTCACACCCCATTCCATCCTTTCCCAGAGGAAAACCACTGCTGTGTTATGATGGATAACCTTCTAGACATTTTTTCTATGCATTTACGTAATAAACAAATCCCTGTATATTTATGCATTTATGGTTTGTTTTTTTTCTTTACACAAAGAGGATTATATCAGTATACAGTGACTTGGTGTATTCACTTCACTTAATTTATCTTTGATTCTTTTCCCTTCTTTTTAACTGGGATAGAACATTCCACAGTAGGGACATAACGTTCTGTTCTGCTAGAGATGGATATTTAGGTTATTTCCCTTTTTTGTTATTACAAACAGCACTGCAGGGAATCTCTTTGGCCACACATTTTTGTGCGTGGGCATCGCTATCTTTATAGATACAGAATGGATTCCAAGACGTAGAATAACGAGATCGGGGGTAGTGCACATATACCATTTTGATGGCTACTGCCAAACACTCCCGAGAGGTGCCGGTTTCCACCCTCCCCATGATGTTTGGAAGCGTCAGGTTTCTCACACCCTTCCCAATATTGAGTGTTATCATTAAAACATGATTTTCCAGTTTGATGAGGAAAAATTATTAATATAGTCCACTGTTTGATTTATATTTCTTTAATTATGAATAAACAATTATGAAAAACAGTATCACACTGTTGTTTTATCTGTATCTAATTATGAACAAACTTAAGCATCTCTTCATGTGTTTATTGGCCATTGGTATTTATTTTTCTGCGATTAGCCTGTTCATATCCTTTAATGATTTTTCAGGTGTAGGGTCTCTTATGGACTTTGGATATTAATCATTTGTCTGTTAGGTTAGTTGCAAATATTTTTCTCTCAGTGTGTTGCCTTTTATCTTTGTTTATGGCATCTGTTTGCCAAAGGGAAGTTTTAAATATTTATGTAGAAGAATTTGTAGAAGTAATTAGGGAATTTACATTGATTTAGGCTGGTGGTTGGTCCCTGTTTTAGCTATTGTTCGTGCGCATGTGTAGATATTATGGTGATTAATAAATCTTTTAGAAGTTAAAAAGATCTGTGAGCACACTTATTTTCATGTGTTTCCCTCAAAGGGCGGATGCTGAAAGTATGACTATACTGTGTTGGGAGTTCTAGAGGATCTATGATGCTACAAAGACATTCCCTAGGCACGGAGAGATTAGGGACCACTGAGACAGAAGCTGTTCATGAGGGATAGATGGCTGGGCAGCCCCACATTTCCATTCTTACAGATTAGCATCCGAAAGAAAAAGAGCACCTCTTCTAGAGTCTGTATATCACCTGTCTCGAGGAAAGGGAGTCCAGTTGCCCCATTACTACCCTTATTGACTCTGGTCACATGTCCACCCCTGCCAGGGGGTGGGGACACTGTGATTGACAGTCCAGCCTGACCACACGTGGTGGTGAAGGGTCAGCTCACTAATGGAATGAGGGTAGTAGATGGACAAGCACACAGATTGCAAGACCCACACATGCCACGCCGAAGACAGTGGCAGGGAAGCTGGCCTGAAGTCAAGGAGTAAGCGTGAGACAGGCTTTCACCCACCACACATGCCTTGGTCCTTGGCTTTCTTCTGTAAAGTGCTCTCATGGGTTAGATGAGCGACTCTGAAGGCCCACAAAGCATAAAGCAGATGATGATAAATGGGATATGTCAGACACCCACATCTGGCACCTAGCAGGTCTTCAATGAGGAATGATGGTTTTCCTCCTTCTTGTTGTTACTGGAATTAAAGGGCATTAGGAAGAGGTAATCAGGTCCTAAGAAGTTAGTGTGTGAGTTCTTCCTCCAACTGCCCTGAGAGAGGCCCCTTTGCTTGGGAGGCTCCCCTGGTGTTGAATAGATGATAAGGAGAGGGTAGTGGCAGTGACGAAGGGGCAGGACACAGTGGGGCTCAGAAGCCCTTCTTGAATGGGAAGCTGACTTCTGCTCCACTGAAGTGCACCTTGATTCTCAGTGTAAGAATAGCTCCTCAAAGTGAAATCCAGCCCTGCGCTGGGCCTTGCAGCTGGCCTGGCGCCCCAGGAACTGTGCGTCACAACCTGCCTTACTTCGTTTCAGTCCACCTGATCCCGGTGTCGACTCCTAAGAATGGAATGAGTAGCAAGAGTCGAAAGAGAATCATGCCCGACCCTGTGACGGAGCCCCCTGTGACAGACCCCGTTTATGAAGCTCTTTTGTACTGCAACATCCCCAGCGTGGCCGAGCGCAGCATGGAAGGTAGGCCTGACTGTGCCACCAGGACAGATACCCCTTTGGGGACTAGTTATTCCAGCAGCATTGCACAGCAGTAAGGAGCAAGATGGCCAGGACCCAAGTCCTGCAGTTGCCACCAGGCTGTGCCCTTGAATGAGTTCCTGGGTCCTTGCATTCTCCTCTATAAAATGGGAGTAACTCACAGGACTTATGCCTGGGACTGGGGAGGTTTCAGTAACTGCTCTGAACATACCACGTGGCTCACGATCAACCCACCACAAATGTTTGCCATCATCATGATCTTTAGTGAGACAGCAGCAAGGTAGAAAGGTGGCCTTGGCAGGCACTAGTGCAGCACATTGAGACACTCTGCTTTTCAGGGTAGCCTCTTGGGACTCAGGATGTCCACAGGATGTCCTGCTGGCGTCTTGCCATAGAAGTGAGGCAATTTCTACAAGTTTTGCTTTTGTAAAAGTGTATCAGAGCATAGTGTTGAATCCTTATTGATCTCTTTATGCCTTCTCTGGTCTCATGAAAGATTTAAAGCAGAAATCATTGTTTCTAGTATTTCCGTGGCTCTCTCCCTGGTCTGTGCATGTGAGTGAGGCCACATTAGTAGTCATGCCCGCATTTCACCAGCCTCCCGTTGTTTCCAGGAGGTCTGGGACATAATCAGCCTACTCATGTTCCTCTGTCCCGCCTTGTAAGACTATTCAGTGGCCCCCATCCAGAATGGCAGCCAGGGCCCCTTCACTGTGGTGGCTCTGCAAACCCACGGTGGCCCCTGCTGCCTCCGGCTCAGATTCCCAGCCCAAATGTGGCCAGGTCATCCCCTTGGCCCCCTTCTAAAAGGATTGACACCTATTGAGTGATAACCAGACAATGTGCTTCTCTCGCGCAGGTCATGCCCCGCATCATTTTAAGCTGGTCTCAGTGCATGTGTTCATTCGCCACGGAGACAGGTACCCACTGTATGTCATTCCCAAAACAAAGCGACCAGAAATTGACTGCACTCTGGTGGCTAACAGGTAAATTGCACTTTTTCTAAAAGTCATTTTCAAGTGTCTGTTATATCCTGTAGGATAGAGAATGACAGGACCTACACTTGGTGAACCATACTGTTTGCAGGAGCCTGAGCTCAGAGCAGTCCTACATGTGAGTGCCATTATACAGTTGAAAAGATGGAGGCCCACAGAGGCGGGGACACCTGTTTGAAGCAACACAGCAGATATACTGAGCCCAGGCCAGTCTGAGGCTCACCCTCCCACCCTGATGTTTTTCACTTTAATAAACAGTTGGGACACAGTACAGTGAGCACTGAGTTAAGAGTCCTCCGCCCCAGCTCACCTGCTCCATTCAGAGCAGCGGGCAAGCCCCTTAGTGTCCTCTGAGCCTCAGCCTCCTACCTCTGAAACGGGGATCACAAGGCTCCCCATGCAAAGTTGGGGCAAAGAGTAAGTGAGATGACACAGACAAATGCACGTTAGCAATTGCAGAGCCATATAAATGTAAGAATTATTTCACCCTTCTAATTTTTCACTGGAGTAGAGGCAGCCTGTTCTTGGTTGAAAGCCCTTAGGATGAAAAATAATTGAACAGAGTGTGGAAATTGTATGGAAATGGCATGGCTCTAAAATTAGAGGCATAGTTAGCAATAAAATATTGGGCTAGACCTCAGCAAATGTGTCTGGAGGCACATAACATTCTAGCAGAGTTTAGTGAATGAGGTCAGGAGATGAAGTGCTCAGTGGGGAAGACGTTATTTTGATGGAATGCTTCTGGGATGCCAGCCTGCCCCGGGAGGGCGAGCCTGGTGGAGCCATGGATTACCTCACTACAGCCAGGGCTGTTCTTTAAAAGTGACACTTTGTAGCTCGTCTTGCAGGGCCCCTGTCACAGTGATGCCAGGACCCTCTAATGGGGCCATTTTTGGCGCTCCCATTTGAGAGGTTCAGTTCCTAGGGACCAGTTGGCCTGGCTGCCTCTGCCCTCATTTTCCTTTGCCTAGTTTTATTTTATTGAACATTCTGTATTTTTAGAAGCCACTTTAAATCCTTTGTGTGAAGAGGGTGGAGTATGCATAGTTACTTAATGTCATTTAATTAATTTAATCTTTAAAAACAGTAATAGTTGACTCATCATTATAAACAGGTACTTAAGAGTAAGAGTGAGCAGGAACCCCGGTGAAGGGGACCCTCTCTAGGCTGCTGACTCCCCCAGGACTGTGGGATCTGGGTCACGAGCAATACCTGCTGTCTTCCCAGGTGCTACTTCAGCTTTAAAAATTACTAATGTTGTGATCTCCTAAAAGGTGGTGTGCCCTGGAGCATGCCCATTATTCTAGTCTAGTGAAACGGAATACTGTGGCCAGCAGGCAGGGTGCAGTGAGCTGAACCAAGCACTAGCTGGCGGTCCACAAGTTTGTTGCCCCAGGGTTTCCATCCACGATGCCACACCCTGTGACTCTCAAAGCCTTTGTAGTAGAAGCTGCCTCTTTGTGAATGCCATGTGCTTTATAAGGAAGGTGCTATTTTAACCCTCATAGTATTACATTTAGCCAGCATTAAGGTTATTAGTTATTTATATGCCATATTTAGTAAATGCTTTTTTGCATTCATAAATATGAATTAAATATGCTTTTCTACATCCAAGGAGGAGAAAACATCCACTTTGATCAGCATTTATTGCACAAATTTTAGTTTTATGCTTCTATCATGTGCCAGGTACCAGAAGGCAGTACACAAGCAGGCACCTACATGAAGTGAAGGGGCCAGCCCTGTGATGGTCCGGGGACAGAGCGTTCCCTATGGAGTAAGCAGCAAGTGCAGGGGGCCCGAGGCTGAAAGAACTGGGCA